>NC_000010.11:129728148-130039628 GCF_000001405.40 Homo sapiens | reverse complement strand
CTAGTGAAATATTATTTCTGGGTGTGTCTGTGAGAATGTTTCTGGAAAAGGCCTTGAAATCAGGAGACTGCATGAAACACTCATGAGATCAGTGTGGGCAGGCAGCATCCACCTCATCGAGGGCTGAGTAGAACAGGAAGATGAGGAGGGCACGTTTGCTCTCTCTGCTTGATCTGGGCTGCCCATCTTCTCCTGCCCTCGGATGCTGGTGCTCCTGGTTTTCCAGTCTTCAGACTCACACTGGGACTCACGTGGCGGACTCCCCTGGCTCTCAGGCCTTTGGGCTTGGACTGGAAAGCACCACCGGTGGTCCTCGGCCTCCGGCTTGCAGACAGCAGAGTGTGGGACTTCTCAGCCCCCAAAATCACATGAGCCGACCCCATAAGAAATCATTCTCCATGTATCTGTGTATATCCTGTTGGTTCTCTTTCCCTGGAGACACTGGCCAATACACAGATGGACAGAGTAGCACTGGCTGGGCTAGTGTCACCGTTCCCAGCTGCTGGGGTGACAGAGCAGCACTGGCTGGACTAGTGTCACTGTTCCCAGCTGCTGGGGGACCAACTGTCCTGGTTTGTCTGAGGCTGAGCCTTTCTTGGGATGCAGGACTTTTAGCACCAATACCAGAACATCCTGGGCAAACTGGGAAGAGCGGTGGCTCCACACATTATCAGTCAAGCCCCTCCCTGCGTCCTCCCTGCCCAGTGCAGCACTCCCCTGCCCTGTGGTCAGAGCCTGCTGGCCCATCACTCCCTCCGGCCTTGCTACCGTCTCCGCCTCCTCCAGCTTAGCAGGAAAAAGCATACACAGTCGGTGCTTAATGGTTGTGCTCTGTGCTGCACTGAGGTGGGCTGTAGGCAGGGCCAGCAGATGATAATTGGGAGGGCAGCCCAGTCCCAGGTTCATTAGCCAGGGAGGCTAAGGCCAAGGATGGCCCCAGGCATGGCTCAGCCTGGGGGGTGGGGAAGGGCCTGGGCGGTGTTTGATGCCCACACCTCCGTCTGTCCTGGCAGTCCCTTTACATCCATCATTTAAAACGAGCAAACGCCAATTAATAAAATAATCCCCCGAAACCATTTTCCTCCCGGATTGTGAGCCTATATCAGAGGTAAGCCTGCAGGGAAGTGTTACACAGGCTCATCAAGACCTTAAGTGAGGCTGTGGGGCCCACCCTCATCCCAGGGGCCCCCAAGACAGATGCTCCTGGATGAGATGAAGTGTAAGCCAGGGCCTGCAAGGGAGCCACAGGCTGGGGTGGCCTTGCCTGGACAACGGCCTGTTATTCTCCATTTACTGCATTTCTCTCCCGGTAAACAACATACAACTGAGGACCCACTTCTCATGCACAAATGAGCAGTCCCGAACCCGAAACTTCAGTCAGCGGCTGGCCCTCTCTCTCAGGCCACCTGTCACCTGCTGGCCCAGTTGCTGCAGGGTCCATGCCTCCCTCTGTGCCTGTACCTGCTGGAAGAGGCCGCCGCATGTTACTCCCTGTCAAGAAAGAATTAAAGAAGCATCTTGGGTAGGAAGCAATTGTGGAGGGTGGAAGTTTCTGGCCAGGCAAATAAATTGGATTTAAGTATATTACAGTCATAATCTTTTTCTGCCCCTCTCCAGACGGTCTCTGTACATGGAAAAATGAGAATGTATTCGCAGACAAAGCTTGACCTGAGGGAGACGCCTGCCGGAATCTGGATTTTCAATAACATAAGACAATAAAGCTTAGACTTCTAACCTGCCGCAATATGGGAAAAGTATAAAGAGCTTAGCTGCTAATAAAAGGGAAGGGTCTTCCCCTCATATTTGAAGATCCGGACCCCCCAGAAGGACACTTCATGAAGATCACAGTGGGTTAGCTGGGATCATGCAGACACGAGGCCCCTTGTTGACCGATTGTCTGACAGTTGTCACGTATGGGTCTGATATTAATAAGGCCCGCATTGATTTCCTTGGGGTATTTTTGTCCCTGTGAGTGCACAGCCTCCTGTTGTGGCTCTAGCCTCAGTGGCGCTGAGCTACAGTTGCCCTCAGCAGGATGCACAGGTGGGGCTGCCCTCCCTGGGGTGTGCACACCTTGCCAGTGGCACCTCCCTCGGTGGGTGGCTGGAGGGGAAGAAGGGACATGCTAAGGACAGGGGACAGAGTCAGGGCCACTCCCTTGGAGACCGGGCACCCTGGTCCACCCACAGCAGGCAGGGCTTGTGAACGATGGGCTTGGGAGTGAGCCTTCTCTTGTTTCGCTTGCTCATCCAGTACTTCCTCTAGGATGCAAGTGGGCTGCCGGCAGTGTTACTGGGGTAAGTAACTGGGTGAAGTCAGCCGGAGGAAAGCGGCAGTGCTTAGTTAAAAGTGTTCTTTGACATGTAACATACGGCGGAAGCGGCGGCCCGGCCTTGGTGAATTTCAATGCTAAGAAGCCTTGTTGCTCACCCATCTCCTCCCACAGGGCAGAGGGCATCGCCCTGTCCCCTTGGTCCCCACCCAGACTTTCTCCAAGGGCACTCTTCAGTGTCATCTGCACTTTAAAATGCCATTGAGGCCAAGCTTTCCAAAATAGTCCAATTCTGCTTGTACCAGGTGCATCCCTGCATCTGCACCTCAGAGGAGCCAGCCTCATCCATAGTGCACACTGTCACCTGCTGGCCCAGTTGCTGCAGGGTCCACGCCTCCCTCTGTGCCTGTACCTGCTGGTACAGTCAGGCATGCAGCCCACCTAGTTGCAGCCCCTGGTGAGAAGGGCGAGCAAAAAGTGCGGGATGCTGGGCGCTCCAGGACAGGCCCATACCCTGCCCACCTGCTGGGCACCATTGTTCTCTAGGAACTTGCGCCCAGCACCCAGCGTCCTCTGGAGAGAAAGGAGCACAGGACAGTGTGCACCTAGGTGGGCTGCATGCCTGACTCACTGCTGTGTCCGTATTTTGGGAACCTTGGACACTTTCTACAGTGAGTCAGAACAATCTCCAAGCCATGTGGGCTTCCCTCTTTGTCAAATACTATTGAAACGCAGGACGCTTACAGGAACCAGGTGGCAGCTGGCGAGATGGGGGCCGCTTCTCTCAGGGTGGAGGCTCCAGGCAGAGCTTGGAGAAATGGCCCAGCCCAGGGTGTTCTGGGGACCTGCAGAGGGAGCTGCCTGCTTCTGGGTCAAACAATCAGGGCTGCCAGGAGCCAGGGCTGAGCCTTGAGATAGGGACTGAAGAACCATCTCCTCCCCTCCAGCCAGCATGGCAGCTGCCTGGACAGGTGATTACCATCGTCCTATGACAGGAGGGCCTGAGGTCTGTGGATGGTGTCCATGACCTATCGGGCCTGGAAGACCAGAGCTCAAGACCCCAGATGGGCTCCTCGTCAGACAGGCCTGGCATGGGAAGTGGGCACCCAGCTGTGTCACTCCCTAGTTCTGTGAGTGGATCTTCCTGAGCCTCAGTTTCCCCATCAGAATACAGGAGAAACATGGAGTTTCTATGAACTGAATTGGGTCCCCCTAAAATTCCTATGTTGAAGCCTTAACTCCCAGTGTGACCCTATTTGGAGAAAGAGCCTACAAGGAGGTAATAAGGGTTAGATGGGGTCCTAAGGATGGGGCCCAGATATGATCGAATTTGTGTCCTTATAAGAAGAGAAACCAGAGAGCTCACTATCCCTCTCTCTCCACCAGGTGAAGATACAGCAAGAAGACAGGCATTGGCAAGCCGGGAAAGGAGGGCTTACCAGAACCCAGCCATGCTGGCAGCATGATCTCAGACCTCCAGCCTCCAGAATGGAGAGAAAGTGAGTTTCTGTTGTTTAAGCCACACAGTCAGTGGCATTTTGTTATAGCAGCCTGAACAGACTAAGACAACATTGGGCAGATAACTGAATTAACCATGTAAAGCACAGGCCCAGGATGCAGTGAACACATGATGTGTGGTGGTCTACTCACTTCCCAGCTGTGTGGAGTCATTCTCACGTCTGCAAAATGGGAATCCTGGCAGCTACCACCCTAGAGGATAGGGAGGATAAAGTGAGACAGGACATGTGAGGGCACCGAGTAAGCAGTGAGGGGGCAACTGATGCCTGGGGAGTTGCTGCCTGAATGCCCCACAACATAGGGGCCATGAGGCAGCTGCACCCCTTTGCAGCCTTTTAGGAGAGGGTAGTCCTCAGCCTCTGAAGGGCAGTGTTATGGCTGAATTGAGTCCCCCCAAATTCATGTATCGATATCCTAACCCCCAGTAAATCAGAATGTGGGTATTTGGAGATAGGGTCTTTAAAAGTAACAAAGGTTAAATGAGGTCTTTGGGGTGGGTCCTAATCCAATATGCCTGGTTGGATAGAAGAAGAGGAGGCAAAGACACAGACGAAACACACCAAAGGATGGCCATAGGATGACATGGGGAGAAGGCAAGCATCAGCAAGCCAAGAAGAGGGACCTCAGAGGAAACCATATCTGCTGATACCTTGATCTTGGACTTCCAGCCTCCTGGATGGTGAGAAAATAAATTTCTGTTGGTTAAACCACCCAGCCTGAGCTGCCTAATACAGGTTGATTTGTTCACAGCTGCCTCTGCCCTCTGCCTAGAGAGAGTTGCTCTTTTATTCCTCAACCTCCTCTGAAGGTTTTTCCGTCTGTCACTAAGTCACCTGCTCACAGGCTTCCCAGCTTTGTGACAGGTGAACAAAACACTTACATGTTAGAAAAAATATGGGCATGGCCTTAACTCCTACTGGACCTAAACCTCTTGCAAATAAAAACTACAAACTCTAGACAAAAAAGAAAAACAAAAAACAAGCTCTACTCAATTCTCTGCTTAACTTTTGAACTACACATGCTTTTAGGCAGACTCAATGCATTTTAGCTAAGGATAAAATATCTAAACTGTGATTTGAGCTGATACGAAAGAGACAAATTTGCCGTTTAAGTTTAACTGAGAAAAAAATGAACATTCTCTGGAAGATTAGAACAGAGTTTAGAACCTCCACAACATAATGTTCCTAATATTCAGGATACAATCTAAAATTGCTTGACATATGAAGAACCAGGAAAATGCGACCCAGTTTAAACCAAAAAGTCAATCAACTGAGAACAATTCTGAGATGATCAAGATGTTGAAATTAAAAGACAAGGATTTTCCCAGCACTTTGGGAGGCCGAGGTGGGCAGATCACGAGGTCAGGAGATTGAGACCATCCTGGCTAAAACGGTGAAACCCCATCTCTACTAAAAATACAAAAAATTAGCCGGGCATGGTGGCAGGTGCCTGCAGTCCCAGCTACTCAGGAGGCTGAGGCAGGAGAATGGCGTGAACCCGGGAGGCGGAGCTTGCAGTGAGCGGAGATCGCGCCACCGCACTCCAGCCTGGGTGACAGAGCGAGACTCCGTCTCAAAAAAAAAAAAAAAAAGACAAGGATTTTAAGAAAGATATTACAACGATATTCAATGAAGTAAAGGGAAATATGCTTGCAGGAAAGAAAAGATAAGAAATCTCAGCTGAGGAATAGAAACTGAAAATAAGGACCAAGTGGAAATTCTGGAACTGAAAAAAAGACAATATCTGAAATTAAAGATTCACTGGATTGTCTTAATAACAGAACAGAGATGAGAAATGAAGATCAGTGTACTTGAATACAGATAAAATCTATTCTGAAGAGGAGAGAGAAAAATGATTTAAAAATAATGAACAGAGCCGTGGGAACCTAGGGGGTAATATCAAAGGATGTAACATAGATATAATTTGGGTCCTATGAGTAAAGGAAACAGGATGGAGCAGACAAAACATTCGAAGGTGTAGTGGCCAAAACATTTCCTAAATTTGTTGTTGTACCACACAAATGTGAGATTGTAAAAGTTCAGTGAACTCTGAATTGGATGATTTAGTCCTTTTCTTGTTTAGAAAAAAATGTGCAGCTTGCTGCCAGCAGTCAATTAGTTTTACATAAACATGCTCTTTGAGGCTGAAGCAAATCTGACTAAATTTCAATGTGAAAATAAAATATAAAACTATTCTTGGGGTTTGATTTTTTTTTTTTTTGAGATTGGTCACTGAGGCTGGAGTACAATGGCATGATCTTGGCTCACTGCAACCTCCATCTCCCAGGTTCAAGTGATTCTCCTGCCTCAGCCTCTGGAGTAGTTGGGATTACAGGCATGTGCCACCATGCCTGGCTAATTTTTATTTTTAGTAGAGACGGGGTTTCACCATGTTGGCCAGGTTGGTCTCGAACTTCTGACCTCATGATCTGCCTGCCTCAGCCTCCCAAAGTGCTGAGATACAGGCGTGAGCCACCGCGCCTGGCCTCTTGAAGTTATTTCTGAACAGAGCTCACATCAGAATTGTCTGAATCATCAGGATTGTCTATTCCAGAAAAATCTGATTCATCAAATGAATCTTTGGCCAACAACTGTTAGAGAATGATGATAACATCATGTGTTGGAAAGCCACATTTTCTAAGATTTGACATTTTTAGCAATGAAGAATTACTATATTTTGTAAATGAAAATATCACTGCTGAAAACAGAATGCTATAAATAGAATGATGTATTTTGTTTCCAAAGTTGATATACCAGAGTGATGCCAAAATAATAATAAAAGGCTGGGCGTGGTGGCTCATGCCTGTAATCCCAGCACTTTGGGAGGTTGAGGTGGGCGGATCACGAGGTCAGGAGATCGAGACCATCCTGGCTAACACGGTGAAACCCCGTCTCTACTAAAAATACAAAAAATTAGCCGGGTGCAGTGGCGGGCGCCTGTAGTCTCAGCTACTTGGGAGGCTGAAGCAGGAGAATGGTGTGAACCCGGGAGGTGGAGCCTGCAGTGAGCCGAGATCACACCACTGCACTCCAGCCTGGGTAACAGAGCAAGACTCTCTCTCAAGAAAAAAAAAAGTTCTGGAAAAAGAAACTATCAACCTAGAATTCTGTAATCAGAATAAAGGCAAAATGAAGCTATTCTCAGATCAAAGAAAACTTAGAAGTTCTTTGAAGGGAAATAATACCAGTTGGAAATTCAGATTTGAAGAAGTAATGAAGAGTATCAAAACTGGGAAAGGTGTCCCTTTCCCAGAAATGAGGAACATGAAACAGAGGGAAGAAACAGAAAACAAATAATAAATTAGCACACCAAATCTAACCATATCAAAAATCATGTTAAATGTTAATGGACTGAGCATTATAATTAAAAGGCAGAGATTGTCAGACTAGATTTTAAGAAACAATACCCACATTTCACAACCATTAGGAAGGCTACTATCAAAAAAAGAAAAAGGACAGATATTGAAAAGGATGTGGAGAAATCAGAGCCCTCGTATCCTGTTGGTGGAAAATGTAAAATGGCACAGCTGCTGTAGAAAAACAGTATGGCAGTTCCAAAAAATTAAACGTAGAATTTCCGTATGATCCAACAATTCCACTTCTGGGTATATATCCAAAATAATTCAAAGCAGAGTTTCAGAGAAATATTTATACACTCACGACACCCACATTAATAGCAGTATTATTCACAATAGCTAAAAGGTGGAACCAAAGTTATGGACAGAAGAGTGAACAAACAAATGTGGTATATCCAAAAAAAGGAACAGTATTTAAACTTAATAAAGAAGTAAATTCTGATACATGCTACAACATGGCTAAACCTTGAGGACATTATGCTAAGTGAAATAAGCCAGTCATAAAAAGACAAATACTGCATGATTCCACTTACCTAAGATATCTGGAGTAGACTAACTTACAGAAACAGAATGGTTGTTGCCAGGGGCTGGAGAAAGAGAAAAATGGGGAGTTATTGTTAATGGGTAACATGGTTTGGGTCTGTGTCCCCACTCAAGTCTCAAGTTGAATTGTAACCCACAGTGTTGGAAGAGGGGCCTGGTGGGAGGTGATTGGATCATTAGTGGATTTCTGCTTGCTGTTCTCATGATAGTGAGTGAGTCCTCATGAGATCTGGTTGTTTACATGTGTAGCGCCTCCCCCTTCTCTCTCTTTCTCCTGCTCCAGCCACATGCCTTCTTCCTCTTCACCTTATGCCATGATTGTAAGTTTCCTGGGCCTCTCCAGCCATTCTTCCTATGTATCCTGCAGAACTGTGAGCCAATTAAATCTATTTTCTTTATAAATTACTCAATCTCAGGTAGTTCTTTATAGCAACGCAAGGATGGACGAATCCAATGGGTATAGAGTTTGTTTTGTAAGGTGACAAAGTTCTAGAGATGGGTTGCATAGCAATGTAAATATACTTGACACTACTGAACTGTGCGTTTTAAAATGGTTAAGACGGTAAATTACATGTTATCTGTATTTTAACACAATAAAAACTGACTTTTTAAAAATGCAAGACCTAGCTGTAACAATCATTTTAAGAATTCACTTCAAATATGAAATCTTGAACAGATTGAGCATAAATAGTTGGAGAAAGATATACCATGCAGCCAGTAAGCATAAGAAAACTGGAGTGGGGGCCGGGCACGGTGGCTCACGCTGGTAATCCCAGCACTTTGGGAGGCTGAGGTGGGTGGATCACGAGGTCAGGAGTTCAAGACCAGCCTGGCCAACACAGTGGAACCCTGTCTCTACTAAAAATACAAAAGTTAGCTGGGTGTGGTGGCGCACCCCTGTAGTTCCAGCTATTCGGAAGGCTGAGGCAGGAGAATCGCTTGAACCTGGGAGGTGGAGGTTGCAGCGAGCTGAGATTGCGCCACTGCACACCAGTTTGGGCAACAGTGCGAGACTCCATCTAAAAAAAAAAAAAGAAAGAAAAAAGAAAACTGGAGTGGCTGTGTTAATATCCAGTGAAACCAACTGCAAGACAAAGAGCATTAAAAGCAATGAAGAGGCCGGGCGAGGTGGCTCACGCCTGTAATCCCAGCACCTTGGGAGGCCGAGGTGGGTGGGTCACGAGGTCAGGAGATTGAGACCATCCTGGCTAACATGGTGAAACCCTGTCTCTACTAAAAAAAAAAAAAAAAAAAAAAAATACAAAAAAAAAATTAGCCAGGCGTGGTGGCGGTCACCTGTAGTCCCAGCTACTTGGGAGGCTGAGGCAGGAGAATGGCATGAACCCGGGAGGCAGAGCTTTCAGTGAGCTGAGATCACACCACTGCACTCCAGCCTGGGCGACAGAGCGAGACTCTGTCTCAAAAAATAAAAAGGGCGATAAAGAGGGTCACTTCATGATGACAAAAGAGTCCGTGTATCAGGAAGACATCACAATCATAAATATGTATGCACCTAATAAAAGAAGAAATAGACAATCATACAGTCTTAGAGATTTTAGCAGCCATTTCCCAGCAATTGATAGAACAAATAGAGAAAAATTCAGTTAAAATATAGGTGATATAAAAAGATGATCAATGACCTTGACCTGTTTGGTATTTATACTGTATGCTGCAACTTCAGAATACACATTCTTTTCAAGTGTGTGGCATGTTCTGCAAGATAGACCACCACATGCTGGGGCACATAACAAGTCTTTATACATTTAAACAATTGAGATAATGCAGAAGGTGTACATCAACAAAAATGGAATACGTTAGAAATCAATAATAAGAAGATATCTGGAAAAATTCCTATGTTAGACAGAATAAGGTCACCCCCCACCCCACAAGATATCCATATCCTAATCCCTGGAAGCTGGGAATATATTACCTTTCATGGGAAAGGAGAATTAAGGTTGCAGATGGAATTAAGGCTACTAGGCAGCTTACTCAGAGAACAGGAATATTATTTTGGGTTGTCTGGCTAGGTACAATGTAATTACAGAGGCCTATTAAAGTGGAAGAGGGAAGAGAAGAAGCAATCAGAAGGGAGTAATGTGAAAAAGTTTCTGCCAGCCATTGCTGGCTTTGAGGATGAAGGAGGTGGCCATGAGCCAAGGAGCACAGGTGGCCTCTAGAATCCAGGAAAAGCAAGGAAATTGATTCTCTCCCAGAACCTCTGGAGAGGAATGCAAGTTGCCTGGTGCCTTCAGTTTAGCCCAGTGAAACCCATGTTGGACTTCTGACTCACAGAGCTGTAAAATAATAAATTTTGTGATAAGTCACTAATTTTGTGGTAATTTATTATGGCAGCAATAGAAAATTAATACAACCCCCAATTTCAATTCACTAGGGTTGTTACGATAATTAGGCTTAATTAAAATTAAGGAGGTTAGAAACTAAAGAGGAGCGTGTCTTGGAGGAGAGCTGCATCTGGTTCCCCCTGTGCTTCCCTTCCCTGGCACTGCAGTGGGGTTTGGACAGCAACATTCACCTTTGTCACAGTTGGCTGGACGAGCAATTCCCATATCCAGCTTAGTGGTTGGTTAGTGTCCATCCAAAAATTCATGTCCACCCAGAACCTCAGAATATGACCTTAGTTGAAAATAGGGTTTTTGCAGATGTAATTAAGGCTCGAGATGAGATCCTGCTGGAGGAGGGTGGATGAAAGGACTCAGACATGGAGGAGAAGGCGCTGTGACCGTGAATGCCGACACTGAGTGATGCATCCGCAAGCCACGGAGTGTGAAGGATGCTGGCAGCCCCCAGAAGCTGGGACAGAGGCATGGGATGGGTTTTCCCTCAGAGCTTCCCGAAGGAACCAGCCCTGCCCACACCTTGATTTCAGACATTAGCCTCTAGAACTGTCAGATAATACACTTCTGTTGGCTTAAGTCACCCAATTGCTGGTCTGTTATGGCAGCCATAGGAAACCAATCTGCCCAGAGTGCTGGTCTCCTGAACTATCACCACCAGAAGCAGATGCCCAAGGGCTCCAGGGAGAACCAGGCTGCAGCATCGGCTGGCATGAGCAGACACGGGGAATCATACTCACTTCCTTCTTGAGGTTTTCTGGACTCATTCTGCCTGCAGTGAAGTTCCTGAGGCATCAGTGGTCTCCCTTCTACGTTCATAGCAGCCCTGACCCAGGAGCTGGCCTGGCCTCCTGCCCCTGTCCATTCCCTGGGTGCTGGCCCATGCCCAAGACCCACTCTGCCCAGGGCCACAGCGGCAGCAGGAATCCCTATGGTCATGGCTGGGGCCTCATTGGAGGCCGCATCACCTCTTATACCCTGAAGCCACCCAGCCTCTGGGACTTGTGGATGAGTAGTCTGGGCCCACACACTGAGTCACCCCCTCTTTGCCTTTACTTCTCAAGCTTCCTTTCAGGTCAGGCAGAGCTATGGGGTCAGGGGACCCCTGCCCTGCCGGTCCCCCACAATTGCCAGCTGCTGAGGACTTGCCCAGAGCCCACCTCTCACTCAGGCAGGCGAGGCATCTGGGTTGTTGCCAGAGAGGCCCGTGCAGCCGGCTGGCTGGACTCACCCAAGGAAGGGAGGCCCTGGCTCTGTTGGCGCTGAGCCCAAGCAATACACAGGACCAAAGGGAGAGTCCCCGCCCACCGCCCAGGGCTACTGATTCTACACAGGGTGCATTTGGAGTGGTGGTGCCTGAAGTGTCCGGCCTATGCAAGGCCCTCAGAGGCAGGCGCTTAGCACAAAAGACAGTTGTCCATTCAGGATTCAGAATCCCAGGGAGTCATCCCCTTCAACAGGACAGGCAGCTGAGCAGAGGGCTTGGGACCCTACATCCAGGGACGGCCCTCGCCAGGGGCAGAGCGACCCCTCGCCAGGCCCTCCTGCTGAGACAAGTTGAGGAGGCAGCAGGGGAAGCTCTGCACGTGACGCCCACAGCACACGCACTGAGGAAGGGGTTTCGGCCCCCGAGGAGAGCACAGCAGTACCTGGGCCTTCGGGGAATGTCCTGATTATTCCAAGCAGCTGCAAGTGAAAGTCTCACGGCCGACGGGCCGGGGTTGCCAGGATTGGGGTGGTGGCCGTTCAGGGTCTCAGGATCCCCCGTAGAGAGGAGGTGTTCAGGGATCTGCAATCAAACCTACTGGAGTCTCAGCTCTGACGATGACGCTGACTTGAGCCCCGGCTGCAGCCTTGGCTCTTGCTGAATGCTAACTCAGCCCACCTTAGCTTCACTGAGAGCCACAGGGGAACTGTAGCGCATCCTTCCCTGTCTCCCTGAACGCTAACTCCCAATCTACCCTAACTTCACCCCATGGCGGGATAGCAAGTCCCCAGGTGGGACTGTAGCGCATCCTTCCCCACCTTCCTGAATTAACGCTAACTCCCATTCTACCCTAACTTCACCCGGCGGTGGGATAGCAAGTCCCTGGGTAGGACTGTAGCGCATCCTTCCCCGCCTTCCTGAACCCTCTCAGTCTACCTTTAACTTGATCTCGCTGGTGGGATAGCGGTCCCACACATGGGAATGTAGTACACTCTTCTCCATCCCAACAGTTCTGGGGGCAGAGTGTGGCCCTATGTCCCCGGCTGGCCGTGGTCTCCCCTCGGGTGTGGAGGTTTTGGGGGAGGATGTGGGGTGGTGGGCAGGCGCGTGGGTCGGGGGAGGCTGCGAGTGGCTCCACCCCATCGCCGGGCCTTGTTTGGCCCCCCGGGGAGAGCCCTGAAGTGGGGCAGGGGGAGACCGTGAGATGGCAGCTGTGAGGGCAGCAGCGGTGGCCTCCGGCTGGGGACAGTGTTGGCGCCTCTGTGCAGCCTGGAGTCTGTTCCAGCAAAATGGCCGTGGACACGGGGACATTTCTATTCAAACAAAACTCTTCAGGAGCGGCGAGCATGTTGGGCAGTAGTACGTGGACGTTTCTCACTAGAGCTCCCCCAGGGCCTGGCAGCAGGTGGGCGGTGGGTGTGGGAACCTTCCCCTCACTCGGAACCCCTCAGAGTCAAGGGGCACTTAGGCTCGGGCTGACAGCCTGAGGACTCAAGGCTGGCGAGTGCTCACTCTCAGCCTCCTGCCTCCCACACAGAGGGCTGTGCTCCCTGGAACACCGTGGGCACGGGGTCCTGCCAGGGGCATGTGTATATATATACATATATATATATATATATATATATATATATATTTTTTTTTTTTTTTCTTCAGATGGAGTCTCGCCTAGGCTGGAGTGCAGTGGCGCAACCTGGGCTCACTGCAACCTTCACCTCCAGGGTTCAAGTGATTCTCCTGCCTCAGCCTCCCGAGTAGCTGGGACTACAGGCACCCACCACCATGACTGGCTAATTTTTGTATTTTTAGTAGAGACAGGATTTCACCATATTGGCCAGGCTGGTCTCGAACTCCTGACCTTGTGATCCCAAAGTGCTGGGATTACAGACGTGAGCCACTGCGCCTGGCTCCTTTTGTATATTTTGGTATGCATGGAGAGGTGTTTATTGCCTGAACATGGAGCCCAAATTACCTGCCCCCACCCCCCACACTGGTCAGCACTGGAGCTCTGGTGCCAAGCTGACCTCTGGGATCATTTTGTGGATTCTCAAGGGCTGTGAGGGGAAAACATTTCAAATTAGGCAGGATGCCCAGTAACTAGGAGCACTTGGAATCTCCAGCCTCACAAACACAACCACGTCTAAATGAGATTCAAAGAGAGGAAAAATTACCCTCCATGAATATCCCTTGAAATTGCCCAGCAGAGAATACTCTGGAGCGGCACGTGGATGCATCCCGAGTTCTTTGGAAGGAGGATGTGAAGAGTGCCCAGGCTGGCACCCCCTGGATAGTATAGCACAGGCAGTGTGGAGCCTGATGAAGCACAGGCAGGCGCGATGTGGACAGCAGCACGGACGTCCGGCCGCCCAAGTGTCCCCTCGCCTTTCAACCGCAAATCCCACTGTCAATGCTGCAGACAGACACGGTTCACTCCATAAGATCACCCGTGAAATGGGAGCGCCTGACCACATGCCTGGAAATGTGAAAGGATAATTCTCACCACTGTGAGCGGCTCCTAGCACTGTTCATGGGAACCATTTGCCTGTAAACACAGACGTTAGAACACATCCTTCTTGGCATATGGCAGGGTATCAATCAGCAAATCAGTCAAAATACAGAATTCTAAGGATAAATGAATAAGATCATGGAGGCTTGCTGTATTCATCTTTTGGGGCTGACAAAATGCCATCACCTGGGGCAGGATGTGTTAAACAACATGTTTATTCTCTCATTATCTGGAGGCTGGAAGTCCAAGATCAAGGTGCCAATAGGTTGGTTTCCCCTGAGGCCTCTCCTCCTGGCTTGCAGACAGCAAAGGTGCTGTGTCCTCGCCTGGCCTTACCCTCTGTGCATGCATCCCTGGTGCCACTCCCTCTTATTATAAGGATGCCAGTCCCATTGCATTAGGGCCCCACCCTTAGGACCTCATTTAACCTCTGTTACCTTCTTAAAGGGCCCAATTCCAAATATAGTCACAATGGGGGTCAGGGTTTAGAGCTATGAACCAGGAGGGGCACAGTTCAGCCCCTGACAAGCACCAACATGCTGTCCTTCCTGGCTTGAGTGTTGGTTAAAGCTCCTGCTTGGCTTTGGCCCATAGAATCTCACAGATCCCAGAATAGAAGCTCGCCCATCACTGCTCTGAAGCAGGGAGCCTGGGACCGAAGGCCCTGGGGTGAGAGCCTCCCCCGCGCCAGCCATGCTGCTGGGGGTTTCTGCACCTCATCTTTGATCCTTGTCACACCTGCAAGACCAGGGGTAACAGTCCCATTTGCAGAGGGTGGAACTGAATTTCTAGGAGGTGAAGCCACTTGCCCAAGGCCACTGGGCTCATGTGTCTGGGCCCTGGAGATGGAGCCGGGCCATAGACCTTCCTGGCCTTGTCCAGGGTGAGAGACAAACGCGTGACGTGCCCATGCACCCTGTGGATAGCATTAAATGGCCACGCTGATGGGCACGGGGTGCATCTCAGAAGCGTTTTGTGAACCATCCTGTCTCCAATTTGCACTTTTTGTGTACTTTTAGAAGGCAGCTTGTAAACTGCTTCCAATGAAAGTAAAAGAAAACAAACTTCCAGCCATCTCTTACACCTGCGTTTCATGAATGTCTGCTGACCTCAGCAGGAGCAAGAGTTTCTCAAGTGGGAGTGAGTTGGTCTTAGGGGATGAGTGTGCACAGCAGGCTCTTGTGAGGCTGTTTCCATCATCTGCAGGAGACGGGCACAGGCAGAAGATGGGCACAGGCAGAAGATGGGCACAGGCAGGAGATGGGCACAGGCAGGAGATGGGTACAGGCAGGAGACAGGTACAGGCAGGAGACGGGCACAGGCAGGAGACAGATACAGGCAGGAGACGGGCACAGGCAGGAGATGGGCACAGGCAGGAGATGGGCACAGGCAGGAGATGGGCACAGGCAGGAGACGGGCACAGGCAGCAGACAGGTACAGGCAGGAGACAGGCACAGGCAGGAGACGGGTACAGGCAGGAGACGGGTACAGGCAGGAGACAGGCACAGGCAGGAGACGGGCACAGGCAGGAGACGGGCACAGGCAGGAGACAGATACAGGCAGGAGACGGGCACAGGCAGGAGACAGATACAGGCAGGAGACAGGCACAGGCAGGAGACGGGTACAGGCAGGAGACAGGCACAGGCAGGAGACAGGCACAGGCAGGAGATGGGCACGGGCAGGAGACGAGTACAGGTAGGAGATGGGCACAGGCAGGAGACAGGCACAAGCAGAAGGCAGCTATAAGTGTGCCGGGGGCAGAGGCTTGAAGCGGGGTGGGATGTGGGCTAACAGGGTGGGCCTGGAGGGAAAGCCGCCCCAGGTCTCTGATCCTGGTGGGCATCCCGTGGGGCCGGGGCAGCTCTTCATGGCATCAGAAACAGGGTAGTGGGCCACTAGGGGCCAGGCTGCCGGGCAAACACTGCCACCTTGTCCATTGGAGAGCTGAGGCCACGGCTGTCTTGTTCTAACACATCAGAAATTTCAGGACGACTTCCTGAGCGAGGACGTGAAGTGGGAGTGAAGCCTGTCGGGAAGGGGCCACACACTGATTCTCACCAAGGCACAGTCTGAATGAAGGAGACCGGGCCCAGCGCCCTGTGGGGGCAGAACCATCCTCACCACCTTGGCTTGCACAGAGAAGGTGACTGTGGCTCCTGGGGAGGCCTGTCCTGCCAAGCCAGTGGGGTCCCGGGCTCAAGATGAGCAGTCCAGCTGACACATGGCTCTGTGGTCTGGCCCTCATGGACTCGTGCCTTCTGCACCCAGGTGTGCTGGCTGGGCCTGGGCCAGGTTTGGAGGAGGCAGATGGTGAGGCACACCAGGGTGGGGAGGGAGGCCTGGGAACGCGTCCCATCCTGCCCCACTATGTCTGCAGGAACCCTGAAGCTCTTTGACCCTGAGGTGGCCCTGCTTGCCCCACTCAGCTCTGTGCCCCATGCCCACCTAGGCTCCCAGGACAGCCAGCCCCGGTGCTCCCCACCCAGGAGTCTGGATGGTCAAAAGAGGCGCCCTCTCCAACCTCGTGAAGCAGGGCTCAGAAGTGCGTGTGGCTGCTGCTGATTATAAACAGAATCGCCTAAATTAAGGGAATTTGAATTTAATGTCAAAATGTCAGCCATTTTCGCTGTGAATGCGAGCTGGGTGACTGTCCTGTTAGCAAATCGAGCACAGGGCTGAGGTGGTTCCCGGGTCCGTCTGAGAGGAAAACTCCTCTTGGCCTCACTCCTCCCTTTTGTGTGGGGCTGATACCACCTGAGAGAGCAGGGGTGCGCACGAGAGTGGGTGGCACCCTGTGGCTGCCAGAGCCAGACCGGCAGGGCCCCCCAGTGACACATCACGGGGGCTCGGTCACCTCACCTGTCAAATGGGTATAGGAGCATCTCCCTCACTGGATGTGGGAAAGAACGAACCCATCCAGGCAACGCGAGCCATCCAGCCCCCGTTCTGACAAATGTCAAGCCCTTGACAAACAGCGACGGTTGCTTCTCTAATCCCTGCTTTGCCAACAAGGCCCAGCTGTTTCTTCTTTAAGTACAAGTAAAGTTCAGTTCAGCTGAATGATCCTATTTGGTGATTCATTCATGAGTCTTCTGTGGGCCGGGGACAGACTCCAGGACCTGCGTGCAGGAGGGAGAGGCAGATGCCGATGTAGATGATATAATAACACCCCCTGAGGTCATCGGAAAAGTGGGATGTGCGGCAGCAAAGGGGACCCAGAGGACAGGGCAGGGCCCAGGAAGGCAAGGAGCCCATGGCACACCGAGAGGGACGAGGGCTTTGTGCGGGGGGTGCCCCACGCTCCCTCGGCAGGGCAACCCAACGGTGCAGGGTGGGTGGGCTGCAGCGTGGGCTGCAGGGAGCTGAGTTTTTCCAGTGGCTCCCTGAATCCCTGAATGAATTTTCTAGGGCTGCCGTCGCAATAAATGGCTGCAAACTTGGATGGCTGAAAACAATAGACATTTATTCTTCCACAGTTCTGGAGGCCAGAAGTCCAAAATCAAAATAGGGTCTGCAGGGCGGTGCTCTCTCCCAGGGCTCTGGGGCGGGTTCCATCCGGCCTCTGGGTTCTCAGTGCTCTCTGGGTTCAGTGGCTTGCAGCTGCTGCATCCCGTCTGCCTCTCCAGCACCACATGGCCATCTTCCTCCCTCTGTCTGTGTGTCTTTCTCCTCCTCATAAGGACACCAGTCACTGGGTTAGGGCCCACTCTAATCCAGCATGACCTCCTCTTAACTAACAGCATCTGCAGAGACCCTATTTCCAACAAGTTCCATTCTGAAGTGCCAAGTGGATGTGGATTTGGGGGGACACTGTGCAACCCACTCCAGTCTTTTTGGGAAGTCTAAAGAGCAGCTCCTGTGTGCCCAGCTTGGGATGACTTTGGCTTTTCTTCTCCAGGTGATGCCTGTGATGCCCCCAAAGGCTCATGTGATATCGATGAATATCACAAGTGTTTTGCATTCTCCATGATGAAAACAGCATGGGCACGGAGTTCTGTCTGGGTTAGCCGAGCAGCCCTGTGCGTTCTCCTCTGGGGAGGGGAGGCGCTTCCCCCGAAGCCTAAACTAAGCCCTACAGCAGTGACAACGGGGCAATGGGTGGGGAAGGAGCTGCTGGCCTCAGGTTCCAGCTACTGAAGGGCTGAGCTCCTCCTGGCATCCCTGGACACACCATTCTTGCCCCTCTCTGCTGGTTGCACTCGCTGCAGCTTCCACCACTGCTTTAGATTGGACTTATTTAACGGAACTTCATAGGGCTCATCTGCTTGCATGTGGTAGACACAAAACGGAAACTGGCTCAAGCAGAAAGAATGACTCAGTGAAAACACTTGGAGATGCCTCAAGAGCCACTAAGCTACTAGAAAAAGCAAGAATGAGCCAGACTCTGAACACGAGCTCCAGGCCACAGATGCCCCTGGGGCCCTGCCTGCTCCTTCCCCACTCTCCTCCCTTGGCATATGGGCCATTGGCTTCTTTCGCTTGCACTGCAAATTGGCATTCTCCATGGCAGCCAACAGCTTCCAAATGGGATCTCAGCTGACAGAGAGAGCCCCACTCCCCTCTCCAAGTCCAGAAACCTCAGAGCAGCGACTCATTGGTCAGGGCCTCCTAATCAGCAGAGGCCAGCCGGGGACAAGGAGCCCCCGCGGGACGGTGGGGGACCAGGCAGGCA
The DNA here is from genome assembly GCF_000001405.40 of Homo sapiens. Classification (NCBI taxonomy): domain Eukaryota; kingdom Metazoa; phylum Chordata; class Mammalia; order Primates; family Hominidae; genus Homo; species Homo sapiens. The sequence goes on along the minus strand of NC_000010.11, from coordinate 130,021,204 downwards.
AACCAGGGAAGTCCACACCACGCTGCCATCACACAGTGATCTTCGGTTCCGGGAATGGCATTTGGAAGCCCCTAGGCAAACGTTTGTCATTTGAAACTCATTCCCTGTGCAGGGCTGGGCAAGTGCCTGGTCTGGAGCTCAGAGCAGCCATTGGAGCCATTTGGCTGGCATCTGCTTGTGCTTATAAGTGAGTGATGCTCCAGCGCCGGTGCCACCAGCTTCTTCCAGGGCCTTGAGGTGCAGTGACCAGGGAGGGTGTGGAAGCTTCTCTAGGCCAGGAACACCATGCTCTCAGAGGGCCTTTTCCATCAGCTTGCCCGCAGCCAGCCTGACAGTCGCCCCCACTCCCTGGGTTAGGGATTCCAAGTCCCTGAGCAGACAGTGCTGGCTCTCACCGATGACAGCCTCGTGTTCCTGCATGCTTTTCAAGTGCAGGCGAGCCCGTCAACAGCTCAGAGAAGACAGCAGGAAGTAAGGGGTGGAAGGGAGAGGAGGAGAGGCAGACACAGAGCGCTTGGGCCACACAGGCAGGGGAGTGTTCTCCTGGGACGGAGCCAGAGAGCTGGGAGGAATCTGTGGACCAGAGGACCTCTGAGGGCTGCCCGGTGCTTCTCAGTGGGGGCCAGATTTCAAAATGGTAACTCTCTGAATTGGGAATTTTTGATGACAGCTTGAGCAAGTTTAGAAAGAGGACTTACTGGGTTGAACTAGAGAGTCTAAAAACATCAGTGGCTTCAGGCATGGAGTGACCCATTTCAGGGGTTGGCAGCCTGTGGTCCGAAGGCCAGATCTGCCCTGCCACCTACATGCGGCCATGGACATTTGTTCAAGTATTGTCTTTGTCTGCTTCTACTCTACCGTGGCAAGGTGGAGTAGGTGTGGCAGAGACTGTTGGCCTGCAAAGCCTACAATATTTATTGTCTGTTCCTTTAGAGAAGAGATTGACCGACCTCTGCCCTGCAGCTCTGCTGTCCAATATGGCAGCCACTGGCCACATGGGACTCTTGTTTTCTGCACTCTCGAAACGTGTCTAGTCTGAATGGAGATGGGCTGTCAGTGCAAACTACAGAACACACCAGGTTTTAGACTTAGTGTGAAGAGAAGAATGTGAAGTATCTCATTAGTAATGTTTGTATATTGATTACATAGTAAGATGTTTTTAAATTGTTGGGTTAAATAAAACATAGAGTTAACTTCACCTGCTTATTTTTACACTTTTTTTTTTTCAAAGATGGGGTCTTGCTGTGTTGCCCCAGCTGGTCTTGAACTCCCGGGCCCGTGATCTTCCTGCCTCAGCCTCCCTAGTAGCTGCATGACAGGTGCATGCCATTGCGCCCAGCCTATTTTTACACTTTTAACAGGGCTGCTACAAATTTGAAATTGTATTTGTGCCTCCCTTTGCATTTCTGTCAGACAGGGCTGATTCAGAGGCTCAACCGTGTGGCATGTTTCTTCCACATCCAGGTAGGTTTTCCACACAGGATTGGCGAGCTGGCTCCCATCACCATCTTATTCAGACTGCAGCCCATTAGTGAACCAGGAAATCTTGGTCATGACTATATAGTAGATCACGACCAGTATTTTTGAAAAATGAGATAGAATAAAATAGAACACGTTTAGAGCAAATTACACACTACAGATGAGTGCTGGTTTGCAAAACCTATTTTAGTTACACATTATTTATTTCATCCACCTAAGTGGTTGTACCATGATTTTATGACCAACGAAGAAAGAGAACACAGCCAATTAAACCATGGTGCAAGGCATTGATGATAGATATCTGGAACAGCAGAATCAGTCACAGCAGCCTCTTGGTGCTCTTGAGTTTCCTCTCTATTCCAAGGGATTTGCCCATTTCTTCTGCTTCAGTTGCATCTCCCTACACATGTCCTGGTCACCAAACACAACAGTGGCCAAGTGGCATCTGGTGCCTCTGTGTACCCAGCTGCCCTGAGGTGTCCCTTGTGTTTTAGCAGAGATCCTATGGAAATGGTTTTGAGCATCTGTGCACTAATAAGGAGAGGCTCCGAGACTCTAGCCAGCCCTGTGGCCTGTCTGCCTTGCAGTTCTAGACGAGCATGGTGAGCTCACCTCCCTGGCACCCCAGGTGAGTGGGGGCCCCACTGCCTGCAAGTCATCTCTGCAAATGGCTTCTCGGCCTTGTGGGTGCTGACTACACAGGCAGCCCACAGGTCTTGACCAGTGGTCCACCCTGTCCTGGCCCTCACTGCAGAAGCCACCAAGGTCTCAGGCCTGGACATATCGGAGTTTACGTGGGTGGTGAAGCCTGAGAGTTCTTTGGACTGGGCATCCAGTTTCTCTTGAGATGCACAAAACGAGCAGAGCCTGACTTCCTGCCTCTCTTGGGTAATGGTGGCAACCTCACCCCATCCCCCTGGCATTGTTTTTGTGTGCCGCACAGCCTTCAAGCACAGGCTGCAGGGCCATGACACAGCTCTGGTAAGTGAGTGCAGAGCACACGGCTTTATAATGAGGTTGGAAAGTTTTGGGCTATGCGTTTAATGAATTTTGTATTAAGGTTTAACACAGATGCTAGCATTTACATTTCACAATGCTGTTTGGAACAGATGTTTAATACTAAATGAAGAGTAGATTTGGATATGGCTATGCATCAAACACCTGCCGTTAAAGAAAAGAGCTTCAAATGCAGTGAAGTCCTCCTCCAGCAGTGGTTTGCAGCAGGAAGCAATGACTCATCCAGCTGGGCTGCAGGGGGAAGGATGATCTTGAAGGAGGTGGATCACACACCTCAGCTCCCTGGTTGGACAGTGGACTCGCTCTCGGAGCCTGCAGCACAGCAGCCCCCTCCTGCTATCGGGAGGGGCTCTCCAAGAGCCCTGAAACTGCTGCATCCCAGCTGACCGCCAAGGCTGGTCCAGCCCAACACCCTAGCTCATTCTGAAGAAGCCTTGGTGAGTTTTCCTCTCCAACACAGAATGTTCTAGAAAGGCATCCTAGCCCTTGCAGACGGATTCAGGAAGTTGAAGCAAAGTTATGGATATGTGACAGCCCTTCTATATATCACGATGCATACTGTGTTCCATGGAACACTACAGCGTGCTTATTATAGTTTATTTCATAAGGAGATGCACCTTAAAAACAATTTATTCAAATATTAATATCTCTTAAGGGAGACATCATCAGCCTGACTAGAAACATTATTATGGTAAAGTCCTGGGGAAAACCTTATAGAGCAAGGCAACGAAATCGATGGAAAAAAACCCAGCAGCACGTGGTCTGTGTGATGAAAGACATGAGGACCCTCGCTACGCCGAGTCACTCTGGCCGCCTCAGAAGGGCTGCTTGCAGGCAAGCCTGGAACCCTGCCCAAGGGACCACCGTCCACCCTGACTGTAGCCCAGGAGGGCCAAGCTGGCTGAGAGCCGGGCGCTGTGGCAGGACAGACCCTGCCTTTCTGGAGGGAAGGAGCCTCACATAGCTGAGAGCTGTGATTTGCCCCCAGGGTGGGGCCGAAGGTGGGGGTGCGTGTGATCACCTGGGAGAGGGCAGGGGAGTCAGCAGATGCTTCTGTCACCGAATGCAGGAGCCCAGGTGATGGGGGGGTAAGTCGCAGCTTTACATCTATCAACCAAAAGGCCTCTGGTGAGTATCTCTAAACTTTGCGTCTCCGTGCCTCAGTTTCCTCCTCTGTAAAATGTGAATAATGCCGTGACTTGTGAGGGCAAAGGGGGTTAATAAGGATGCAGCGCTCAGACCAGCCCCGGCACAGAATGGGCACCACGGCGGTGTTTGTTATGGAAGCTGCTATCACGATCACAAGTAGCTGCAGGACATCGGACAAGTCACTTCCTCTCCCTGGGCCTCAGACTTTTCCCCCACAAAATGGAGACAATAACACTAGGCATCACCATAAAACAATTAAATTTATGGATGGCCCCAGCTGGCATTGGCCCACCCTGCCCGGCTCTCTGTGGATGGAGCCACCTCCCACCCCCAGGACCCCAGCTTCCGGCTGCTTCCCAAGCCTCAGGATTCTGCCTGGAGAGAGGCAGGCCGGCTGTAGCCCCAGCTGCAAGGCTCATTTGGAAAATGGAAATGTACGTCATAACCCCATTTGTCATGCGATCGTGCTCCTGACAGCCAGCCGCACACTACCGTCCAAAGCAGAGATTTAGACCTAACGGGGAAAAATCTGTTAAAATTGACATATCCATTAGAAGATTTTAGAACTGAAAACGTATTCTTCATGGAGTGTTAGGATGACTTCTTGGGTGATGCTAAATCAATATCTCATACTTTGGGTGAATTCATTATTTTGTTTTACAAGAACTGTCTGCTAAGAACCTACATTCTTCCTGTGTTGCATCTTCAGCACTGCCCCAGGAAGGCCATAGATGAATCTTTTAGATGCCAGCCATGGTTCTGACCCAAAGTCCCCCTGAAACGATGAAAGATAAGGGAAATGGGCAGATGGTTTCACGTAGATCCGACGTCACTAAAGGGGGCTGCGCTCTCCTGTCCACCACGTTGCCTCCAGACTCCAGTGCAGGGCCCCGTCCTCTGGAGTAGTCCCTGGGACCCCGTGCTGGCACCTCACCTGCATCTCCCCTCTGAGCTGTGGGCCCATTCAGGGCCAGGTCCCCTATGGCTTCCTTCTGCCTTCTTCTTACTATTTTATAATTTCAACTTTTATTACAGATGAAGGGGTATGTGTGCAGGTTTGTTACATGGGTATATTGCATGATGCTGAGGTTTGGGGTCCAAATGATCCTGTCACCCAGATGGTGGGCACAGGACCCAGTAGGTGGTTTTTCAGTCCATTCCTCCCCACCTGGTCATCCTCAGTGTCTGTTGTTCCCATCTTCATGTCTGTGTGCATTTAATGTTTAGCTCCCACTTATAAGTGAGAACATGTGATATTTGGTCTTTGGTTCTTCTGTTAATTCACTTAGGATAATGGCCTCCAGCTCCATCCCTGTTGCTGCAAAGGAAATGGTTTTGTTCTTTTTAAGGGCTGTGTAGTATTCCAGGGTATATATATCCAATCCATTGTTGGAGGACACCTAGGTTGATTCCATTTGCTATTGTGAACAGCACTGCAGTGAACGTACGAGTGCCTGTGCGTCTTTTTGATAGAATGAATTATTTTCTTTTGCATATACCCCTTGCACTTCTCTCAGAGTGGACACCAGAGGAAGGACAGTCTCTCCCACGCAGAGGGAGGGGACACTTCTGACTGCTGTTCTGCTGACCAGTCAGGTTTCCATGTCTCTCAAAATGCATGGGAGACTCGACCAGTGGCCAGCGGAGGGATGGTGGGGCCTCGGGGGGACGGTGGCATGGGGGGAGGGCTGGGGGCAGAATCTGGAGGGGAAGAAGCAGCACAGGAGCAGCCCAACCCCCACCCCTGCTCCCCAATCCCCAGCCTGCCCGCCTGGCCCCAGGCCCACTGGGATAGGGCCCTGAGCTTGGCTGCTGTGCACGACCAAAGCCCTGGAGGTGAAAATGGAGGTTTCCGTATGATTTTTGTCTCTGAATCAACGCTTTCATTCACATCGAAGAGCACACCACATAATAGGAAAACCACGAAATTCCATGTAAAATATAAGCCTTCAAATCAACCACTTGTTTTGGTAAGTTTGAAATAGCTCTCCTGAGGAAGCAGCCCAGGACCCGGGTGGACAGGAGGCGTCTGGAACCAAGTCCCTGCACTGAGTGTGACCTGGGTGTGTTCCAGCCACGGCTGGGGCAGCGGCTCTTTGTTTCTGCTTCTCTGTGACGGGGACAGGATCCTTCCCACCTTGTAGAGTTCCATCTGAGCTCTTCCCATTGCTGATTGGTATCATCTGTTATTATTATTCCTGCTGTTGTTTTCAACCCACATGGCAAGGGAAGGAGTCTTCCTGGCTAGGCAGTGGCCCAATGTTTGTGGCAGCCGGTTGACCTGACAGAGACACGCCCACGTCCCGGGCCAGTGCCCCAGGCCCAGTACCGCGGCTCCGCTATGCCAGCGCCCACCCGTTCACCCTCACCGGCGCTCTACCTGGCTCATTCACGGGCATTTCGGTTTTCCTGAGATTTCTCTGAGATTCTGCGAGGCCATCCCATTCATGCCCAAGAGAAATGTCCTTGAGAAGAGAATGGAAACATTAGGTCAACACAAAAAGCCGAGAAAGCGTTGCTGTTCATTCAGGCAAGCATCCTCAGCACGCCTTCACCCCCGCCGTGGCCCGCCTTCTCTTCCGCTAGCTTTGTCATATCAGGCGGGGATTCAGAAATGACTTGGAGGGAGGGCGGGAGCAGAAGAAATGCTCAGCCACGTGGGTGGGCCGGGAGCAACTGTGCTCGGAAAGACCCGCCGGTGAACCCCAGGTCCCCCAGCTCCCAGCTTCGTGGCCTCAGAGAGCCGCCCGGAGATTTTGAGCCTGGAAAACCTCGCTGCCGGCTTGGGAGTGTGATGCTGCCTGTGTTGTTTCCCGCGGCTGTCTGGACAGATGATCGCAAACTGAGTGCATTTAAATTTATTTTAAAACAGCGGACATCTATTCTCTCACAGCTCCAGAAGCCAGAAGCTGAAAACCAAGGTACTAGCAGGGCCGAGCCCTTGCGGAGGCTCCCGGGGAGAGTCTGTTCTCGCCCCTTCCAGGTCCAGGTGGTCCAGGCATTCCTGGGTTTGCAGCTGCACCCCGCCAGTCTGCCTTCCCCTCTGGGTTTGTATCACATCTCCCGTGCACACCTCTATGAGGACACGCAGTGGCATTTAGGAAGCCCGCCGGGATGACTGGGGTGCACTCCGCACTCAAGAACTTCACTTCATTGCATCTTTTGTCATGAAGGTAATAATCACTTGCTTGCCATATAAAATCACATTTGCAGGTTCCGGGGATTGGGTCATAGACACACCTTTGGGGCCACTATTCTGCCCACTCCACCACCTTTCAGGCACGGTGGGGATCAGAGGAGATGTCGCTTGGTTTCCGGTTGGTGGCCCTGGTTGCTCGCCCTGGTTGCTCTGTTCGGCCTGCATGAGGCTGAACACTGCAGCCAGGAGCGGAGTCATGGGACATTGGTCATCGCTCCGCCCCGCCTCTGAGCCCCAGGGTGTTTCTTGCAGGATGAGAGGCCCCCGTGTTACTGAGACTCTGGGAGCTGCTTACGCATTTCCTCCACTGTGTGCCCAGGGCCACTGTGTGCCTGGTCCCCAGTGGGGCAGCTGTGCTGGGGAGGGCCCTATTCGTATCCCTGGGCCCACCTGCCCGGGGTCCGGCCCCCACCAAGGCCCCGCTCTTCCAGGCCTGCTCCTGTGTTCCAAAGCTCCCCTCACTAACCTCCTGCATCCTCCGGATGGGCTCGGAGGGACCTCACCAAAGGGAGATTTGTGGATCTCCTGAACATGTCCTGCCCCTGCCTTGGGCTACATTTCAGGACTAAGTACACCAGGCAGGTGTTTTCTTCTCGAATCTCAAAAGCAAGAATAAAGCAGAATGTGGACATCCAGATCTCGGCTGGGAAGGAACAGAGTGGCATTGGCAAGGCCCCGCTCTGATTTCAAATCCAGACTTTTCCTGCTCGGCGCAAAGCCCCGTTGTGACTGCACTTTGCCTGTGGCCTGTCACGCTTTCCTGGAAGCACACGTCAGGGGTAAGCACGAGAAAATAAGTTTATGTTTCTGAAAGATCTAACACACATTCCAGACCCAGGCTGCCTTTGGAACTGAAAGTCTGTTTTGTTAAAAGTGAAAAAAGCAGAATACTTATGACGCGCTATGAATTTCTGCTCCAACAATGTTCATCTTGCCCAAAACACCAGCCAAGACCCATAAGTCATGGTGATTACAACCAGGCGACGGTCGGCAAGCCCGCAGCGGCTGCAGAGCCCTGCGTCAGGTTCCCTGCTCTAAGAAAAAGAAACGGCGCTTTGTGTCTAATCCATCTTCTAATTATCCATTCTGAGGACAAGGTTTATAACCAGACCCTTTCAATAACGATGTGATTGATACGGAACCTGATTCAGGTTTGCCCTAAATGGCTGTGATGCCATCCAGAAATGATGAGTCTGCCATGTTTACCTATGAGCACGCACGTGTGTTTCCTGGATGTTCACGTATGTACTTGCTGCTGTGTGGAGGACGGTGCATCTCAGTCAGGCCACAGAAACTGAGTTTATTCACCTGGGCTGGCCCGTGGGGACGTCCACTTTTTTCAAAATCAGAAAGACAATGCCAGCAAAGCCACGGAAGTTCACATTCGTAGAAACTGTTTGTATCTTCCTTTTTGTTTTTTCTCCTTTTTTCAATCCTTATTGAGTTCCTACAAAACAAAAGTAATTGCTTATTGCAAAAATTCATCTAACACAGAAATAAAGCAGACATAGCATGAAGTTCAAAGGGAAAGCCCCTGTCATCCTTCTCTTCCTTCCAGACCCCCTCCCTGGAGCAAAGGCCACCAGCCAGTCTTGTCTATGTACAAATATACACATTCTCTTTTAAACAGCTTTGTTGAGATACAGTTCACATATAATCCAATTCACCCATTCACAGCATACAATGCAGAGGTTTCTAGTATATTCACAGATAGTACGCTCATCACCACAGCAGTTTTAGAACATTTTCAGCACTCAAAAAGAAACCCCTCCCCCTTTAACTGTCCCTCCCACCTCCCCCACCTCATGCCCCTGATCCCTAAACTACACCAACCTCCTTTCTGTCTCTATAGAGTCCCCTGCTCTAGACAATTCAGATAAACGGAGTCGTACAATATGCGCCGTCTCGTCCTCTGGCTTCCTGCACTTCCTGCTCGGTGTCCGAAAGCACGTAGAATCTGCATGTCCAGCTTTTCTGGAAATTGGGAGGAGACAGCCACCTGCACCCCTCGCCACTTGGCATTGGCACTGCAGGAGCACCTGCCCATCACCCCAGCAGCTTCGTCTTGGCCACCCTTGCTGGCCTCCCTTGCTGGCTGGCACTCCTGCTCCTGCCTGGCCCCTGAAGCACGGGGGTTGCGATTCTGAGCTAAAGACTCCTCCACTGATAGATGTTTACATTGCTTCCTTTGTTTGATTGAATGAGCTAGCAACAGACAACTCCCAGATCATACTGTCTTAACATAGCCCGGTTACTTCTAGCTTGCACTGCTGGTGCAGCACGGGGGAGCCTGGCCTGCTCCAGGAGCCCAGGCTGGCGGAGACACCTTCCTTCACAGGCTCTGCGACCACCCAGAGTGGGGAGCGAAGGGGGTTTGAACATAGAACTGAGGCCCTTAAACTGTTTGTCAGGAAGTGACACATGACCCTCACGTGGACCTGTCAAAGGTCAAAGGGATGTGTCCATCTGAGTCTGGAAGATTTGCCAAATGGTGCTGGGACTCCCTTGGGTACCAGCTGGGCTACAGGACATCCTGGTACCTGCATGCTTGGTGGCTTTTGGTCAGACACAGACAAATCACCTTTGATTTTGCCTTTCTTACTGTAGCCTACAAGTAATGCATCCCCTTCTAAATGTGGTATAAAGTTCCTATGTGGCCTATTTTTAAAAGAATGGAAGGAAATAGGCACCATGGTTTTGGGCTACTCCATGAACACTCAGAAGCGTGGGTCCGTCTGCTGTGTTTATCCTGCTCTCACCTGCACAGCTGACTGGGGGAGCCCTGCTTCCTTCGAGGACCTGCCCTCATTAACCAGGTGGTCCTCAGAGCCCTGTTTGTTTCCCTTGACCCACCTCCCAGGCCACAGTCACTGCATGAGGGAGAGGAGCAGCCAAACTGCCCTGAACCACCCTCAGGGTCTTTGCCCATCTTCCTCTATGGAAAGGACCCCTGTGAGTCCCAGCAGAAACCATGGACCCCCTGAGAGATGGAAAAGACTCCTGTGAGTCCCAGCTGAAACCATGGACCCCTGAGAGACTGCCTTTCACAGCTCTGAGCAGCTGGGCTGACTAGGACTGGTGCCACCCTGAGCAGGCTCCTTAGAAACAAACACTAGCCCCACATCTTCCTCTGCCTCGCAGCCAAGCAGCAGGGGCCTTGGTGATGGCGGCCATGGAGCAGCGGTGGGGCCCTGTGTGGGAGCAGCCCCCAGGCCTAGGGGCTGGAGGGCCTTGTGGAGCCAACTGTGGGCCCATCTCAGCACTATTCGAGGTACGCGTGGGCTTCGCAGGGCTGCATGACAAAGTGCCACCAGCTGGTGGTTTATAATAACGGAAATTTATTATTTCACAGATCTGGAGGCCTTTTTCATGTCCAAAATCAAGGGTGTTGGCAGAGCTGTGTTCCTTCTGAGGGCTCCAGGTCGAGGCTCCTTCCTGTCTCTCTCACTTCAAGGGGTTGTTGGGGTCCCTCCGCATTCCTTGGCTTGGAGCTGGAGCACAGTGATAGCTGCCTCTGTCATCACACGTCATTCTGCCTGCCCATGTCCCTGTGTGTCCTCTCCTCTCCTCGTAAGGACAGCAGTCAGTGGGTTAGGGTGCGTCTCTGTCCATTTTGCATTGCTATAAAGGAATACTGATGCTGGGTAATTTACAAAGCAAAGAGGTTTATTTGGCTCATGGTTCTGCAGGCTGTACAGGAAGCATGGCACTGGCATCTGCTTCTGGTAAGGACTCAGGAAGCTTCCACTTGTAAACCAAAAATAAAATTCTAAGCCCTACAACCATCTGAATGGACCTCTCCATTCAGCCAAGGGCATTGTAAAGTCAACCTGAAAACTCATTCAGGCTATGGTGGGAAGGGGGAGCTGGACGTGCCTCGTTACCCTCCTCCCTTTTGGAATCACTGATTGAATAGGATCTTTAAGTCTGATAAGAAACGTTTACAATCTATTCCCTCTGAAGCCTGCTACCTGGAGGCTTCATCTGCTGATCAAACTTTGGTCTCCACAACCCCTTATCATAACTTAGACATTACTTTCTATTGATAATAACTCTTTCAACCAATTGACAATCAGAAAATCCTTAAATCTACTGTGACCTGGAAGCCCCCACTTCAAGTTGTCCTGCCTTTCTGACCACGCCACCGTACATCGTACATGTGTTGATCGACGAATCACATCTCCCTAGAATGTATAAAACCAAGCTGTACCCCAACCACCTCAGGCCCATGTTGTTGGGACCTCCTGAGGCTGTGTCATGGCGACATACTTAGCCTTGGCAAAATAAACTTTCTAAATTGACTGAGACCTGTCTCAGATAGTTTCAGTTTATTTACTCAATCCTGCAAGAACAGCACCAAGCCATTCACGAGGGATCCAGCCCCACAACCCAAACACCTGCTACCAGGTCCCACCTCCAACACTGGGGATCAAATTTCAGTGTGAGGTTTGGAGGGGACACACATCCAAATGGTATCAGGGTGCATGCACCCTCATTTTAACTAATCACATCTGCAAAGAACCCTGTTTCCAAATAAGGCCCCATTCTGAGGGTGGATGTGAATTTGGGAGAATGCTATCCAACCGAGTACAAGGAGAGAAATAGCATCTTATTTAAATTGCAGTATCCTTTGAGACCCTTGGAGATGACAGCTTTACCTGCATCCTAACACACTAACCAGTCAGGTTACCTCCCTGGTGATTTGCGCCAGGGGCCAAAGCAGCCAGGAAGAGCTGACATCTCGAACAGAGGACGTGCTAACTTCAGAAACAGAATATCTCTATAAAAAGAAAGATGGTGCATCTCGCAGCCCCTAGCTAAGACCCTCTAGCCGCTGCCTTGGGTTCCTCTGTCTCCAGCTTAGAGAGTTCCCCTATGTAGCCCCTGCCGTGGGAGACCTTGCCCCCATTGTGGCGGGGCCTCTACCAGCCCCTCCGCGTGGTGTCTGCTGGGGGCTGGAAGGGCTGCCCCTGACCATGCTGCTCTACCCTTGAGTCTTATGTTCAAGGTCCGTCTCCCTGCACTGGGGTTCCCAGGGTCCCAGCACAGGATCAGTGTAAATGCCTTTCTGCCCTCTGCATGCCCTTCAACTCTCCAACCCACATTTGAAGTCTTGGGCAGGGAGCCACAATTTGGACACCCCTCTCCCAGGCAGCTGGCTCTGTCCCCCCGCTTCCCATGATCTGCAGGGCAGTGGGGCAGGCTTTTCTTTCCTTCTCTGTCCTCAAAGAACCTTCTTAAAGGTAAGATCCCAGGATCTGATCCACCAACCCTAACCCACAACACGCTAGAAGTTAAATGAATTTAGAAAGTCCTTTGTTTTTAAAAATGCCTGTACTCTAAATCTTGCCATAAATTCCAGCTTGGATTGGAATGTCAGAACCTGGACATTAACTTCTTCTTGCTGCAGAAATGCTCACCCACCCTCTGCCCACAGAGGGGGGTGGATGCTCCTAGCTGCCCGGGAGAAGGTTGTCTGTGTGCAGAACAAGAAAAAGAACATGAGTGTCTTCCAAATATCAGCCCATTACATGGAGTTACCCTTCTCTCAGGGAAATGGCACAGAATTCATCTGAGCCACAACCAAAAACCATGTAGGCCTTTTATGATGATTATAAAAGTGATAATATGTGTCCATTTGTAGAAAAATTAGAAAATCCAGACAAAGAAAGTAAAGACAAAAATTAAAGCGTCCACAATTCCTTTATTCATGCATTTATTAAAAGCAATCATGCATCACTTAGTGACAGTGACATGTTCTGGGGAGTGCATTGTTAAGCGACCTTGCTGCCGAGCTACACACTGTACAGCATGTCACTGTACCGATCCTGTAGGCGGTTGTATGAAGGTATTTGTGTATCTAAACATATCTAAATATCACAAAGGTACAGTCACAATGCAGCATTAGAATTTTGAGACCATCATTGTATACATGGTTCGTTGTTGACCTAAATGTTGTTATGCAGCACCTGACTTTACTAATTTTGGGTCTACTGGGCGCATCCCTGGGTATACAGTTGTGAGCAAAACTGGTGCTCATGGCTCCCCTGGACTAGTAAAGCAGCAGTGAGGAATAGAAGGACACACGAGTGAATATATTGCGAATTCTGATAAATACTAGAAAGGAAGGAGAAAACCTCTGCTCCACTTGTAACCATGAGACTCCAGGGAGATCCCTCATCTATCTTGATATTAAATAAGTTAAATGTTTAAATGAAAGTAACTGTGAGCATTCTAGAATGTATTTTTCCAGCTGTGTGTGCAAATGCGCATGTATGTGACTACAATTGAATCATGCTATTATATTGATTTATAATCTTTTTTTAAACATTTAATTTATATTAAGAATATATTTTTGTGTAACTAACTATATATGTCCAGTACTATTTTAATGACTGGGTAGCACTGATGATATGGGTTACCTTCATTTACTTCACCCTTTCCCTATCTGGAATTGTTATGAGTTGAATCGTGTTCTCCGGAAAGATGTTGAAGCCTCTATACCCAGTATCTGTGAATATGATGTGATTTGGAAATGAGGTCTTTGCAGGATCCAGTTAAGATGAAATTATTAGGGTGGGCCCTAATCTAATACAACTAGAGTCATTACAGACCTGGCAAACGTGAGCACAGAAACACACACACGGAGAACACCAGGTGAAGATGAAGGCAGAGATTTGCAAGCCAAGGGAGTTATTCCATTCTCAAATCACTATAAAGAACTATCAGAGACTGTGTAATTTGTTAAGAAAATAAGTTTGATTGGCTCAAAGTTCCACAGGCTGTATAGGAGGCATGGTTGAGGAAAGCCTCAGGAATCTTACACTCGTGGCAGAAGGCAAAGGGGAGGCCAGCATGTTGCACAAGGCTGGAGCAGGAGGAAGAGAGCAAAGGGGGAGGTGCTACACATTTAACAACCAAATCTCATGAGAACTCAGTTATGAGACAGCACTAGGGGGATGAGGCTAAACCATTAGAAATCACCCCCATGAACCAATCACCTCCCACAGGTCCCACCTTCAACACTGGGAATTACAATTCAACATGAGATTTGGGTGGGAACACAGAGCCAAACCATATCACCAAGTAACACCTAAGATTGCCAGCAAACCACCAGAGGCTAGTGGGGCAACCTGGGGAAGATTCTGCCTCCCATAGTCAGAAGGAACCAACTCTGTTGACACCTTGATCTCAGATTTCCAGCCCCCAGAACTGGCAGAAGACAAATGTCTGTTATTTATAATCACCTATTTTGGGGTAGTTTTTTACATCAGCCTTGGCAAGCTAATACAGGGATAGAGAGTTGGTTTCCAATGTTTTGGATTGTTATTATTTTTTAATTCCTTAAATGAACATCCTTGTAAGTACCAGGGACAGAAGAGGCACTCAGTCAATACTGTTCCTCATCCAATTGTTCATTTGTGTCAAGTGAAGAGCTGAGGGATCCGATTGAAATATATTTTTACATACTTACTCAATTATTTTCTTAGGCTAAATTCTTAGACATGAAATGCTGGGCTCACAGTAATCTTTTTTCTAAGTTTTGATCATGTTATCCAGTTGGTCTGAAGAGCCCAGGGCACCAGGCTCCCCGTACATCTGTCATTATGAGCTCTTCTCCCCTCCCTCCTTTCCCTCCTCCCTTTCCTCCTCTTCCTGCCACTTCTCCCCATACCGCTTTTCCTTCAATTTTGCTAGAGGTAAAATGTTAACTGACTGTCTTATTTGGTGATTTTTAATTTCTTCTTTGGTGAGTTTGTATCCTTTCTCTCTTTTTTTTCTATAGACATATTTAAGGATTTTTGTTATTAATTTGAGAAAGTTTTTTATATTAAGAATGTCAACCTCTTTGTCCTCCATATCTGTGGCAGATATTTTTCCCTAGTTGAGACAAACTTTTTTCAGATGTGAAATTCTAGAAGTTTACAGCATGAATCCTCACATAAGGGACATTTGGTGACATAATGGACATGAATGTCTTTTATTGCAGTTTTCAAACAATATAGATACACTCTTCAGATGGCCATTTTTTATATTGACCCTCTATAAAGTCCAGTGGCATAATACTAAATCATAAATAAGTGAAGACATTTTTACAGGAAACAAGGATATTGAGGTCTGTGTACATAGCTTTTTCCCCACATTTTTTAAAATTATAAAAGTAATACACACACAAAGTAAAAATATTAAAGCAGTATAGACTGATATTAAATGAAAAAAGTAAAGTTTCCTGCCCTTAGTCCCGCTCTCGGGAGAGAACAATTTTAACAGTTTGTGTTTTCAGATCTTGTTGTTACCACCATAATTCTAAATAAAATGCTTTTACTTTGTTTCTGGATTTATCAATTTTCGACCATTTCTATTTGATGTCCCAGTATGAAAGAGAAGTTTAAGTCATTTCCACTTCCTACATTGTCCCCTTAATTTTGTTAGTTATGTCATTTTTAGCTCTTCCATGTTTTTGGAAATAGCCTGGAGTCATGTGCATAGACCTCTGTTTCTGTTTCACCAGCCTGGGCACTGTTTCATGACTCCCTTCTGTGTCAAGTGAAGAGCTGAGGGCTCCTATGCTCTATACCCTATGTGCCAGCTGGTGTCATGAAGCCCTCATGTTTACATTGCTCAGATATCATTTGCTCTAAAAAATGTAGTGAGCACCTGCTATATGCCGGCCACTATTGTAGGCAGCAAACCAAACAGACAAAAGCCCCTAGCCTTACAGAGCTCACTTTCCAGTTTGAAGGAGAAAAAAAAAAAAACAAGATCAATAGGTAAATTAGACAATATATCAGGTGGTGATAAGAACTATGGAGAGAACTAAAGCGAGGAATAAAGGAAGAGAGAGTCATAATTTAATAAGTAGCCAGAGAAGATGTGTAACATTAACTCTCTGTTCTGAATCTGTAACCATGTCTTCCCTGTAATTGCCAATATTTTGAGTCTATAATTCTTAAGCTAGGAAGCATGTATTATGATTTCATAAATATTATTCCTTTCTGTACCCAGGAAGGAAATGAAATCTTACACCCCTAAGCCTGGCTGCTGGCAGGGGATAATCTGGGAGCCAACGTTTAAATGGATATTTTTTACACTCTTATCAATTGCCGATGATACTCTTCTATAACTCTTTGTTTATCCTGGCCTTGCTAATTGCCTTTGTTTTTCCATATTGATGGAAGAAACACGTGAGGAAGACCATCCAGCATCCTCATTGTACTATTCTGAATGGTTCATTTGTATCAGCTGCTTTTTAGACTTTCAGACTAGAATTTTTTTTCTGTTGCACATGGGGTAATGCAACTGTTTTCTGATCCCATTTCTCTTTTTCTTGAATTCCTTTTGTTGTAACTGGCTTTATTGGAGTACATCCTGAAACAATTGCTTCTCAGAAAAAGCACAAAAGAAGGAGCAGGGGATAAACATCCCCCAAACTTGCATATCTGGAAATTCATCCCCAGACATAATTGATGGTTTAGCTGGGCACAGATCCTGAGTTCAAAATACTCTTCTTTCTTACAATTCTAAAGGTCAGCTCTGTGGTTTTCCAGCACCCACTGAGCCTGATGAAAAGTATGTTGCCAATCAGATCCCCATTTCTCTGTAGTTTGCCTGGTTTTTCCTGTGTGATTGCTCCAGAGATCTTTCCATAATTCTTGATATCCTGAAATTCCCCAAGTCTGGTATGAGGTTTGAGTCTCCTTTCAGGCACAAGAAACAGAATCTCACAGGACCGACAGGGTTGGGTAGCTTGAAACATGAATGCAGGCTGTGGCCAGCTGCTGTGTTGTAAGAGGGCCTGTGCAGGGCAGACAAATTCATACTAAGGTGTGAGTGGCTAATGGGCCAACTGCTCCCAGGAAAGGTAAACAGAGAGTTGTAAGGTCCGAGGAAGCTCTAGTTCTTGGAGTGTGCATGGAGACCTTCTGTGGCACAGAGCCCCTCCTACCACCACAGTACCCACACACTCCACTTCCTCAACCACACCAAGCACACTCACAACCTGACTCACAGATGAGGGTCACCTGTCTGGCACTATGGTTCTGAAAGTGTGCCAGCCTTGCAACGTCTGGTTAACAAAGCCTGTTATGCAGGCACAGTTTAGAACCATGACGTCAAGTCCTTGACACATCACAGGTCCAGCTGAGAAATCAGGAATGTCTTTGCAGTCGGCACTGAAACAACTTAACCTGTCAGGCTGACATCACACTGCCTGGGTCCAGTGGGAACCCAGTTTCAGCGTCCTCCCAGAAGTGGTCACATCAGCCATGCCTTTGTTCTCAGCCAGCTCTAGGGAGCAGAGGTCTAGAAACTTGTCATCGCCTAGGCTTGGGGTGGAGTCATCACCTGTGGCTGCCTGCCCATATCCAGTTTCTATGAAGTCACATGTCAGAACAAGACCCCAAATCTTACATCTGTCTGGCAACTTTCATTTATGCCCTGCTCCTCAGCTGCCCACCTTGAGGGAGATTTGGAGACAAATAGCTCAGAGAAAGTTCTTGTTGGAAATGATTTGAGTGAGTACCTGACGTCAGTGTCTTTCCCTTTGTAAACTGTGTTTGCGGATGGCCCAGACACAGGTGGACACTGGCTCCAACTATGTCAGTCACTGTGGTCGGCTCCTGGGCACTGGTAGACTCTGATAGGGCCTTCCAGGGACGCTTGCAGCTAGGCCGTTAGGACCTGGATGTCATTTTCCCTTTGCCCCATCTCTTGGCATTGTGCCTTCCATTTGGGGAGTCTGTGCAGGGCCTGCTGGGTCACCCTTGGGCCCAGATGCAGATTAGACACCTTGCCTTGCCGTGGAAGCCCAGGTCCCTGGCCTGGCCAAAGGCAGATGGGAGGAAATTCCTGCACATTTGAGAAGAGGCCGTCCCCAGCTCTGTCTTTGCAGGCAGCTGGGCTGGCTGGTTGGGGCGGCCCACTGCAGGTGTCTGGAGGCCAGCCCCGGCCTCAGAATCCAGCCTGGGTATGACAGCCGGAGCCAGTGGCTGGCAGCGCCCAACATGCTGGGCAGGATCGTCTGGGCAGCTGGCCTCCTCACTTGCCTCTGCATCTCCTTCACAGAGGGTATCTGGGTGTGGGGCTGCTGGGACAGGCCTGGCACCCTCAGAGTCCCAGCACAGGTCCACAGCCACCACCCTGTATCTGGAAAGCTTGCAGTCCACGACACATCTGGGCCCAGAGGACGGCTACTTCTCAGCTTAAGATCATGGGGAGAGGTTGCACCTGCAGTGGGACAGGAGCCAGACCCAGGCCCCAGAGAAACCAGTGGGCTTATGGTTTCTGACGCAACAAACAATAACCACTGCTCATCTCTAGAATGGGCAAGTGTCCTGCATGGCCGTGCACTCCTGGGTGACGTTACAGCTGCTGGCTCTGAGTGAGATGAGCTCCTCCTGCATCTTCCCAAGGGTGAAGGCCCCCATAGCCATGCTGGTGGTAGCATGGGCCCTGGGCGGACCCGTGGCCAAAATGGACGAGGGAGAGGTGGGAGTGAGGATGACGCCCTGATTTCTGGCTTCTACAACAGATGGGTGCTGCAGCCTTGGTTGAAGATGTCCAGAGGGCCGGGTGCAGCGGCTCACACCTGTAATCCCAGAGGGCCGGGCGCAGCGGCTCACACCTGTAATCCCAGAGGGCCGGGCGCAGCGGCTCACACCTGTAGTCCCAGCACTTTGGGAGGCCAGGGTGGACGGATCACTTGAGCCCAGGAGTTCAAGACCAGCCTGGTCAACATGGCAAAACCCTACCTCTACAAAACTACAAAAATTAGCTGGGTGTGGTGGTGCACACCTGTAGTCCCAGCTACTTGGGAGGCTGAGGTGGGAAGATCACTTGAGCCCAGAAGGCAGAGGTTGCAGTGAGCCTAGATAGTGCCACTGCACTCCGGCCTGGGAGACAGAAGGAGACTGTGTCTCAAAAGAAAAAAAAAAATTGTGCAGGGCAACCCAGGTGTCAGATAAGGAGGAGTTCAGAGTTAGACAGGACACATGCCCGGTGGAGAAGGGGCCAGTCTGGGCTGGAGCCCCAGATTGAGGAATGTAGTTGGCTGAATGATGGCCACCCCAAAGATATCAGGTCCTAACCCCCAGAACCTGTAATCTTACTTTATAAGGAAAAAGCGTATTTGCAGGTGTGATAAAGATCTGGAAATGAGGAGAGTGTCCAGGATCATCCAAGTGGGCCCTAAATGCAATCACAAGGATCTTTATACAAAGGAGGCAGAGGGAGATTTGATTCAGACAGAGAAGAGAAGCTGCTCTGACCTCAGAGGTAGAGAGCAGTGATGCAGCCACAAGCCAAGGAAGCCCTGCAGCCTCCAGAGGCTGAGAAGAGGCAAGGAACGGCTGCTCCCCTTGAGCCTCCGTTAGGACCGCAGCCCTGCTGATACTTTGACTTCAGTCCAGTGATACTGATTTCTGACTTTGGGCTTCCATTTCTTATGAAAGAATAAATCCCTGTTGTTTTAAGCCATCAAGTTTGAGGCCATGTGTTAGAGCAGCCCCAGGACATGAACACAGGCAGTCTTCCAGGCACAGAGGTGTTTGGCATCACCCATGTGCAGGAAAGCTCCCAGGGAGCTGGTGTGCACATCCCAGGATGGGGGCCCCAGCCTCTGAGATAGCTGGTTGTATTAGTCCCTTCTAACACTGCTATAAAGACATACCAGAGACTGAGTAATTTATAAAAGAAAGAGGTTTAATTGACTCACAGCTCCACATGGCTAGGGAACCTCAGGAAACTTACAATCACGGTGGAAGGTGAAGGGAAAGCAAGGACCTTCTTCACATGGCAGCAGGAGAGAGAACTGCTAGCAAGAGCTGGGAAAACCACCTCATAAAACCATCAGATGTCTTGAGAATTCACTCACTATTATGAGAACAGCATGGGGGAAACCGCCTCCAAGGTCCAATCAGCTCCCACTGGGTCCCTCCCTCAACACATGGGGATTATGGGGATGACAATTCAAGGTGAGATTTGGGTGAGGACACAGTCAAACCATATCACTGGTCTACCAGGGAGGTGATACTAGGACACACTCAGAGGGGTGTGGGGAAGTCAGGCAGGAAAAGCTGGGAAGTCAGTGCAGGGCATGTGGATGTGCAGGTCACCAGAGTGGGGCACTGGGGCTCAGTCCTGCTGTGACATCATGGAGATTCATCCTACCTGCATGAGGATGTGGGTGTCCTCTGTCCCACGTGCAGGCCGAGTCGGTGCCTGTGGCCAGTGTCTTTCCAGGGAGAGGGCCTTGCAATGTGCAAGTGCCAGGGACATTAGTGGGCACAGAATGCACCTGCTCCAAGAGAGGGGGCGGTGGGGTCTCTGAGTGCAGTGGATGGTCCCTTTCAAAGACAGGGCAAGCTTGTGTGGAGGGCCCAGAAACAGCCAGTGGGGAGTGGGTGGAGGCTGAAGGGTGGAGAGGCTGAGGAGAGGGTGGAGGCTGAAAGAGGCACTTCTGGTGTCAGAATCCCAGGCTCAACACCACTAGCTGATGACCTTGGGAGAGCTGCCTGTCCATGCTGTAAAATTGGATGAAAGTAATACTCACTTAAAGGTGCCAACTGGCACCCAGCAGGTGCTCAGTAAGTCTTTCTTTCTTTCTTTCTTTCTTTCTTTCTTTCTTTCTTTCTTTCTTTCTTTTTCTTTCTTTCTTTCTTTCTCTTTCTTTCTTTCTTTCTTTCTTTCTTTCTTTCTTTTTCTTTCTTTCTCTTTCCCCTTCCTTCCTTCCTTCCTTCCTTCCTTCCTTCCTTCCTTCCTTCCTTCCTTCTCTCCCTCCCTCCCTTCCTTCTTTTCTTCCTTTCTCTCTTTCTTTTTTTAGGGAAGGGATCTCACTCTGTTGCCTAGGCTGGAGTGCAGTGGCACCATAATAGCTCACTGAAGCCTTGACCTCCTGGGCTCAAGTGATCTTCCTACCTCAGCCTCCCAGGTAGCTGGGATTACAGATGTGAGCCACCGTGCCTGGCAGTACTCTTTAATTCAATTTTTAAAATTTGAGATCACTGTAGGTTCACATACAGTTGTAGGAAATAATACAGAATACCTGTAGTCTTTATTCAGTATCCCTCAATGATAACATCTCATATGAGTACAGTACAATATCGGTGCACTCGTACAAGGTACTGTACAACAACTGGGAAGGCCATGTTGATAAAGTCAGGATGCAGAACGTTCCCTCACTACGAGGATCCCTCCTGCTGTCCTTTTACAGCTACACCTGCTTCTTCCCCATCTCCATCCTTCCTTAACCCCTGGAGAATCCTCTATACTGTGCTCACTTCAAGAATGGCAATAATATTGGAAGAAGTAGAATCATACAGTATATCACCATTTGGGATGTCGTTCCCCATTCAGTATAATTTTCTGGAGACTTATCCAGGTCACCGTGTGTATTGCCTGTTCCTTTGGGTTGCTTGGTGGTATCCATGGTATGGCCGTACCCATCTGTTTAACCATTTGCTGCCCACTAAAGGACATCTGGGTTGTTTTTTTGTCTTTGGCTATTCTAAATAAGGCTGCTTAAATATTTGGGTATAGGTTTTCGTGGAAACATAAGTTTTCATTTCCTTGGGATTAATGTCCAGACGTGCAATTGCTAGATCATATAGTAGTTACAAAATCAAAGTTTTTTTTTTTTTTTTTTTTTTTGCGAGAAGGTGCTCCAGTCTTTTCAGAAGGGCTGCACCATTTTCTAAATATTGATTTTCTGGCTGGGCACGGTTGCTCATGGATGTAATCCCAGCACTTTGGGAGGCTGGGGAGGGCTGATCACTTGAGGCCAGGAGTTACAGACCAGCCTGGCCAACGCAGGGAAACCCCATCTCTACTTAACAAAAAAATACAAAAAATCAGCAGGGCATGGTGGCACATGCCTGTAATCCCAGCTTCTTGGGAGGTTGAGGCACGAGAATCGCTTGAACCCTGGAAGGAGAGGTTGCAGTGAGCCAAAATTGTGCCACTACACTCCAGCCTGGGCAACAGAGCAAAACTTTGTCTCAAAATAAATAAATAAATAAATAAATAAATAAATAAATAAATATTGACTTTCTAAGTATTTAAAATTTTGTTTTTGCGGGTACATCGTAGATGTATATATTTATAGGGTACATGAGAAATTCTGACACAGGTATGCAGTGCATAATAATCATGTCAGGGTAAGTGGAGTCTCCAGCACCTCAAGCATTCATCTTTTCTTTGTGCTACAAACAATCCAATTGTACTCTTTTAGTTATTTTAAGAAGTACAATAAATTATTGTTGGTTGTAGTCCTGTTGTGCTATCAAATTCTAGATCTTATTCATTCTAACTATATTTTTGTACCCATTCACCATCTCCACTCCCCATCACCCACTATCCTTCCTAGCCCCTGGTAATTATCCTTCTACTCTCTATCTCCATAAGTTCAATTATTTTAATTTTTAGCTCCTACTAATAAGTAAAAACATGTGAAGTTTATCTTTCTGTGGCTGGCTTATTTCAATTAACATGATGTCCTCCAGTTCCACCCATGTTGTTGCAAATGACAGGATCTCATTCTTTTTTATGGCTAAATAGTACTCCATTGTGTATATGTACCACATTTTCTTTATCCACTCATCTGTTGATGGACACATAGGTTGCTTCCAAATCTTGGTTATTGTGAATAGTTCCGCAGTTAACATGAAAATGCAGATATCTCTTTGACATACTGATTTCCTTTCTTTTGAGTATATACCCAGCAATGGGATTGCTGGATCATATGGTAGCTCTATTTTTAGTTTTTGAGGACCTCCAAACTGTTCTCCATTGTGGTTGTACTAATTTACATTCTTCCAGCAGTGTACAGGGTTGCCTTTTCTCTGCAACCTCACCAGCATTTGTTATTGCCTGTCTCTTGGATAAAAGCTACTTTAACTGGGGTGAGATTATATCTCATTGTAGTTTTGATTTGCTTTTCTCAGATGATCAATGATGTTGAGGTATATGACCTTTTCATATACCTGTTTGCCATTTGTATGTCTTCTTTTGAGAAATGTCTACTCAGATCTTTCGCCCATTTTAAAATCAGATTACTAGATTTTTCCTATTGAGTTGTTTGAGCTCCTAATATATTCTGGTTATTAATCCCTTGTCAGATAGTTTGCAAATATTTCTCCCATTCTGTGGATTGTCTCTTAATTTGGTTGTTTCCTTTGCTGTGCAGAAGACTTTTAACTTGATCTGATCCCTTTTGTCCATTTTTGCTTTGATTGCCTGCGCTCGTAGGGTATTACTCAAGAAATCTTTGCTCAGACCAATGTCCTGGAGAGTTTCTGAAATATTTTCTTTTAGTAGTTTCATAGTCTGAGGTCTTAGAATTAATTCCTTAATCCATTTTGATTTCATTTTTGTAGACAGATAGAGAAAGGGGTCTAGCTTCATTCTTCTGCATATGGATGTCCAGTTTTCCCAGCACCATTTATTGAAGAGACTGTCCTTTCCCCAATGTATGTTCTTGGCACTTTTGTCAAAAATGAGTTCACTGTAGATGTATGGATTTATTTCTGGGTTTTCTATTCTGTTTCATTGGTCTGTGTGTCTGTTTTTATGCCAGTACCGTGTTGTTTTGGTTACTATAGCTTTGTGGTATAATTTGAAGTCAGGTAATGGGATTTTTCCAGTTTTGTTTTTTCAGTTTAGTTTTTTTTTTTCCCCTCAGGGTAGCTTTGGCTATTCTAGGTCTTTTGTGGTTTCATATAAATTTTCCAATTTTTTTTTCTATTTCTGTGAAAAATGTCATTGGCATTTTGATAGGGATTGCATTGAATCTGGAGATTGCTTTGGGTAGTATGGATATTTTAAAAATATTGATTCTCCCAATCCATGAATATGAAATATCTTTCTATTTTTTTGTGTGTTTCCTCTTCAATTTCTTGCATCAATGTTTTATAGTTTTCATTGTAGAGATCTTTCACTTCTTTCATTAAGTTTATTACTAGGTATTTTATTTTATTTGTAGCTATTGTAAATACGATTACTTTATTGATTTCTTTTTCAGGTTGCTCGCTTATAGCATATAGAAATGCTACTGATTTTTGTATGTTGATTTCATATCCTGAAACTTTACTGAATTTCTTTATCAGTTTTAATAGGTTTTTGGTGGAGCCTCTAGGTTTTTCCAAATATAAGATCATATCTGCAAACAAGGATAATTTGACTTCCTCCTTTCCAATTTGGATGCCCTTTACTTCTTTTTCTTGTCTGATACCTCTAGCTGGGACTTTCAGTACTATGTTGAATAACAGTGGTGAAAATGGGGATCTTTGTCTTGTTCCATATCTTAGAGGAAAGGCTTTCAGTTTTCCCCTATTCAGTATGATACTAGCCATGGGTCCTTTGTGTATGGCTTTTATTGTGTTGATGTATGTTCCTTTAATACCCAGTTTTTTAAGGGTTTTAATCATGAAGGGGTGTTGAATTTTATCAAATGTTTTTCAGCATCAATCAAAATAATCATACGGTTTTTGCCCTTCATTCCATTGATGTATGGAATGAAGGGCAAAAACCATATGATCATTTGGATATATGGAGATGGTATATCGCACTTAATGATTTGCATACGTTAAATCATTCTTGCATCCTTGGGTAAATCCCACTTAACCATGATGAATGACCTTTTTAATGCTTGGTTGAGTTCATTTTGCAAGTATTTTGTTGAGGATATTTGCATCAATGTTCCTCGGGGATATTGACCTGTAGTTTTCTTTTTTTGTTGTGTCTTTGGTTTTGATATCAGGGTAATACTGGCCTCATAGGATGAGTTTGGAAGTATTCCTTCTGCCTCTGTCTTTTGGAATACTTTGAGTAGGATTGGTTAAACTCTACAGTTTAACTTCATTGCCCTGCTTTTTAACTTGTTTTGTTTCTATTTATATCTTATTATACTGTCTATGTCTTGAAAAGTTGTTGTAGTTATTACTTTTGATAGGTTCATCTTTTAGCCTTTCTACTCAAAACTAACCAAGACCCAAAATTCAGCAGTGAAGCTTTTGGGTTTTGGGCTTTTCTTTGATGGAGACTTTTTATTATGGCTTCTATTTCATTACTTGTTATTGTTCTGTTCAGGTTTTAGATTTCTTCATGGCTCAATACTGGTAGGTTGTATGTGTCTAGGAACTTACCCATTTCTTCAAGGTTTCCAAATTTATTGGCATATAGTTGCTCATAGTAGCCTCTAATGATCCTTTGAATTTCTGTGGTATTTGGTTGCAATGTCTTTTTCATCTCTGATTTTATTTATTTGGGTCTTCTCTCTTTTTTTCTTAGTCTGAGTAAAGGTTTGTCAATTTTGTTTATCTTTTCAAAAAACCGATTTTTCATTTTGTTGATCTTTTGTATTGTTTTTTTATTTCAATTTTATTTATTTCTGCTCTGTTATTTATTATTTCTTTTCTACTAACTTTGAGTTTGGTTTGCTCTTGCTTTTCTAGATCTTTAAGGTTTATCATTAAGTTGTTTATTGGAAGTTTTTCTACTTTTCTGAAGTAGGCACTTATTGCTATAGATTTTCCTATTACTACTGCTTTTGCACAGGTTTTGGTGTGTTGTGTTTCCATTTTCATTTGTTGCAGTCAATTTTTAAATTTCCTTCTTAATTTCTTTGTTGACCCCCTGGTCATTCAGAATCATATTGTTTAATTTCCATGTGTTTGTATAGTTTCCAAAGTTCCTCTTGTTATTAACCAATAGTTTTATTCCATTGTGGCCAGAGAATATTCTTGATATAATTTCAATTTTTTTTAACTTTTAAAGACTTGTTTTGTGGTCTAACATATGGTCTATCCTTGAGAATGATTTATGTGTTGAGAAGAAAAATGTGTTTCTGAAGCTGTTGGATAAAATGTTCTGTAAACACCTATTAGGTCCATTTGGTCTGTAGTGTAGATTAAGTCCAATGTTTGCTCATTGATTTTCGGTCTGCATGATCTGTTCTATTCTGAAAGTGGGGTGTTGAAGTCTCTAGCTATTATTGCATTGGGATCTATCTCTTTCTTTAGCTCTAAAAATATTTGCTTTATATATCTGGGTGCTCCAGTATTGGGTGCATATATATTTACAATTGCTATACCCTCTTGCTGATGGACTCCTTTAGCATTGTATCATGACTTTCTTTGTCTCTTTTTATACCTTTTATCTTGAAATCTATTTTGTCTAAGTATAGTTACTTCTGCTCTTTCTTGTTTTCCATTTGTATGAAATATCTTTTTTTACCCCTTTATTTTCAGTCTACCTGTATCTTTACTTTGTAGGCAACAGATTATTGAGTCTTGTTTCTGAAAATCCATTCAGCCATTCTATATCTTTTGACTGGGGAGTGTAGTCAATTTATGTTCGATGTTACTATTGATAAGTCAGGACTTACTCCTGCATTTTGTTATTTGTTTTCTGATTGTTTTGTGGTCCTCCCTTCCTTCCTTCCTTCTTTCCTTCCTTTCTGTCCTCCTTTTAGTTAAGATGATTTTCTCTGGTGGCGTGTTTTAACTTCTTGCTTTTTATTTTTTGCATATCTGTTGTATGTTTCCTGATTTGAAGTTATCATGAGGCTTGCAAATAATATCTTATAATCCACGATTTTCAACTGGTGACAACCTAACACTGATTGCATAAACGAACTAACAAATAATCAAAGAGACAACTAATAGAAACTCTACAGTTTAACTTCATCACCCTGCTTTTTAACTTTTTGTTGTTTCTATTTATATTTTATTATACTATGTCTTGAAAAGTTGTTGTAGTTATTACTTTCAGTAGGTTCATCTTTTAGTCTTTCTACTCAAGATATGGGTAGTTTACACAACACAGTTACAGTGTTATAATAGGCTATGTTTTTCTGTGTACTGACTATTACCAGTGAGTTTTCTACCTTCAGATGATGTCTATTGCTCACTTAACATCCTTTTCCTTCAGATCGAAAAACTTGCTTTAGCATTTCTTGTAAGACACATCTGGTGTTCATGAAATCCCTGAGCTTTTGTTTGTAGGGGAAAGTATTTCTCCCTCATGTTTGAAGGATATTTTTGACGGATATACTAGGGTACATATAGTAGGGTATATACTGGGGTAAAAAATTCTTTTCTTTAGCACTTTAAATATGTCATGCCACTCTCTCCTGGCCTGTAAGGTTTCCACTGAGCGGTTTGTTGTCAGACATGGAGCTCCTTTGTGTGTTATTTGTTTCTTTTCTCTTGCTGCTTTTAGGATCCTTTCTTTATCACTGACTGTTAGGAGTTTGAATATTAAATGTCTTCAGGTAGTCTTATTTGGGTTAAATCTCTTTGGTGTTTTAAAACCTTCTTGTACTTGAATATTGATATCTTTCTTTAGTTTTGGGAAGTTCTGTGTTAACTAGACCTTTGAATAAACTTTCTGCTTCTCCCTCTCTCTACCTCCAGTCACTCTTACATTTGCCTTTGAGGCAGTTTTCTAGATCTCATAGGTATACATCATTCTGGGAATGTGCTGGGTCACACTTGAAGCCAGTGTGGTTCTGAGTCTTGCCCCAGTCCTGTGGTGAGTATTGCCTGGCTACCACTGCTGATTATTCAGAGGAAAAGAAGCTCTTTAGTCAGCAGATGATGAATCCTGCCAGGACAGGGTCCTTCCCTTCAAGGCAGTGAGTTCCCTTTTGGCCCACAGTGTGTCTAGAAATGTCATCCAGGAGCGAAAGCCTGGAATAGGAGCTTCAGGATTCTGCCTGGTGACCTATTTTAACTGCAGCTGAGCTGGTATCCAAGTTGCAAGACAAAATCCTCTTTACTCTGATGTCTCCTCTCCTCAAGCAGAAGGAAGAAGTCACTTTCATTGTGGCAACTGCACTGCCTGGGGTTGGGGGAGGGGTGGCACATGCACTCACTTGGCCACCCTGGCTGGTGTCTCACTAGGTCACATGTACCCCAAGTCCACTGGCTCTGAACCCAGCACAGCACCAGGATTTGCCCAGGAATTGCAGTCTTTGTAGCTTAGGTTGTCTCTCAAGTTTATTTAGGACTGCTGGGCAAGTTAGCCTGTGATGGTGGGGCTTACCATAACTCAGGTTCTGACCATTGGGATGGATGATTTGCCTCTGGCTAGGCCTGGTCTAAATGCTCCTTCTGTGGGTGACAGCCTACAGAAGGCTGTGACTGTCCCACGTTGCTTTCCACTGTGACTAAGCAGCACTGAGTTCCAATTCAAAGTCCCACAATCACCGTGCTTTCCTTCCCCCAAGTGCACAGATTCTCTCTCCAAGCCACACAGCTGCTGCTAGGGGATGGGAGAGGGGTGGTATAGTAAATGTAAATGATCTAAATACATCATTAAAAAGAGAGTGACTAAAAGAGTGGATTAAAAACATGATTCGGCTGGGCGCAGTGGCTCATACCTGTAATCCCAGCACTTTGGGAGGCCAAGGCAGGTGGATCACACGGTCAGGATATCGAGACCATCCTAACTAACACAGTGAAACCCTGTCTCTACTAAAAATACAAAAAATTAGCCGGGCGTGGTGGTGGGCGCCTGTAATCCCAAGCTGCTTGGGAGGCTGAGGCAGGAGAATGGCATGAACCCGGGAGGTGGAGCTTGCAGTGAGCCGAGATCACACTACTGCACTCCAGCCTGGGCAACAGAGTGAGACTCTGTCTCAAAAAACAAAACAAAACAAAAAAAACATGACTCGACTATATCCTGTCTGTAAGAAACTCACTTCAAATATAACGATATAGGCAGGTTGAAAGTAGAAGGATGAAAAAAGATATATTACATAGACATTAATCAAAGACAGCAAGAAGCTCCCCTTGTCTTTAGTGTTCAGACGTTTAATTGTGATGTGCCTTAGTGTAGATTTCTTTGAATTTATTTGTTTTGGGATTTTCCCAGCTTGCTTGCTTTCTTTCTTTGTTTCTTTCTTTCTTTTCTTTCTTTCTCCTTCCTTTCCCTCCCTCCCTCCCTCCCTCCCTCCCTCCCTCCCTCCCTCCCTCCCTCCCTCCCTTCTTTCTTTCTTTCTTTCTTTCTTTCTTTCTTTCTTTCTTTCTTTCTTTCTTTCTTTCTTTCTTTCTTTCTTTCTCTCTTTCTTTCTTTCCTTTTGAGGGGTGGAGGACAGAGTCTCTCTGTTTCCCAGGCTGGAGTGCAGTGGCATGATCTTGGCTTATGGCAACCTTGGCCTCCTGGGTTCAAGTGATTCTTGTGGCTCAGCCTCTCGAGTAGCTGGGACTACAGGCAGGCACCACCATGCCCGGCTAATTTTTTCTTTCTTTTTTTTTTTATTTTTTGTATTTTTAGTAGAGACAGGGTTTTGCCATGTTGGCCAGGCTGGTCTTGAACTCCTGACCCCAAGTGATCCACCTTCCTCGGCCTCCCAAACTGCTGGCATTACAGGAGTGAGACACTGTGCCCAACTTGCCCAGCTTCTTGAATCTATAGATTTATACCTTTTGCCAAATTTGAGACTTTTTCAGCTTTTATTTCTCTAAGTACTTTTTCAGCCCTGATATTATTTTCCTCTTGGGACTTCAATAAGATGATTGCTGAATCTTTTGTCATTCAAACTGTCTTTCCTTCCCTCTTCAGTGCCTCTTTCCTTAATATGTTGTCAATACCAGGTACTGTGACCACTCACCTGATTTTTGGTCCTTATAAGGGTGCTTTTTTTGTGTGGATAGTTGTTCAATTTGGTGTTCCTGCCGGGGGGACAATTGCTGGAGGCTTCTATTTGGCCATCTTCCTTCACCTCATGGCTGCATCATTTTACAGTCCCGCCAGCCATATATGAGTTATCCAGTTTCCCCACATCCTCACCGGAATTTCATGTTGTCATTATTTTGTATTTTAGCCATTCTGATAGGAATGTAGTGTTATTTCATTGTGATTTAAATTTGCATTTCTCTAATGACTAACAGTGTTTTAAATATGTTCAAGTGATTAATTTCCATCTGTGTCTTCTCCTTGGTGAAATGTCTCCATATCTTCTGCTCATCTTCTAGTTAGATTATTTGTTTTTTTACTGTTGAGATTTGAGAGTCCTATATATACTCTAGATACCTATTCTTTGTCAGATATATAATTTGCAAATATTTTCCACTAGTCTATAACTTATCTTTTGATCTTTTTATTGTGGGATCTTTTGCAGAACAAATATTTTTTCTTATTTTAATAAGACTAATTTATCAATTTTTCCTTATGCAGATTGTGGTTTTGTGTCAAGTCAAGAACTCTTTGACTAGCCCCAGGTACTCAAGATTTTCCCCTATTTTGAATTAGTTTTTGTATAAGGTGTTACACTTAGGTTAATGTTCATGTTTTTATCTATGAATGTCCATTTGATCTGGCATCTTTTCAAATGTATGCATTGCATTTAGTACTATAAATTTTCCTCTCCACACAGCTTTAGCTGTATCCTAGAAATTTTGATATGTCATATTTTCATCTTCATTCAGTTGAATGCATTTGTTTTTTATTTCCTTCAAGATCTCCTCTTTGACTCATGGACTTAGTAGAAATACCTTGTATAGCCAGGTGGGGTGGCTCATGCCTGTAATCCCAGCATTTTGGGAGGACAAGGCGGGCGGATCACCCGAGGTCAGGAGTTTGAGACCAGCCTGGCCAACATGGTGAAACTCCGTCTCTACTAAAAATACAAAAATTAGCTGGGCGTGGTGGTGGGCACCTATAATCCTAGATACTAGGGGGGCTGAGGCAGGAGAATTGCTTGAACCCAGGAGGCGGAGGTTGCAGTGAGCTGAGATTGCGCCACCGCACTCCAGCCTAGGTGACGGAGCAAGACCCCGTCTCGGAGGGAAAAAAAGTACCTTGTGTAGTTTCCAAGTATTTGAAGATTTTTCTGCCATTAAATATGATTTTGATTTTGTTGTGATCCTAGAAGACACTTTGTATGATTTTGATTCTTTTAAATTTGTTGAGGTCTGTTTTATGGCATAGGTTATTTGGTCTAGATTGATATATGTTCAATAGATATTTAAAAACAATATATAGAATGCTCTTGTTGAGTGAAATGTTTTATAAATGTCCTCTAGACTCTAACTGGATCAAATTCTGTTGATGGTGTGGTTGAATTCTTCTTTCTCTTAGCTGATTTTCTGTATAATCATTCCATCAATTGTTGAGAGTGGGGTGTCAAAATCTCCTAATATAACTGTAGATTTGTCTAATTATCTTTTTATTTCTATCGGTTTTTGCTTCACAATTTTCAGCTCTGTCTTTTAGTATAAACACATCTAGCATTGCTATTTCTTCCTTGTAGATTGACCCTTTTATCTTTATATAATGTCTCTCATCTCTGGTAATTTTCTTTGCTCTGAAGCCTACTTTTTCTGATATTAATATAACCAATTTTGCTTTCTGTTTTTAAATTATTATTATTTATTATTATTTTTTATTTCCATGGGTTTTTGGGGAACAGGTGGTGTTTGGTTACCTGAATAAGTTCTTTAGTGGTGATTTCTGAGATTTTGGTGCACCCATCATCTGAGCAATGTACACTGTAACAAACGTGTAGTCTTTTATCCCTCACCTGACTCCCACCATTTCCTCTGAGTCCCCAAAGTCCATTGTATTATTCTTACGCCTTTGTATCCTCATAGCTTAGCTCCCACCTATGAGTGAGAACATACAGTGTTTGGTTTTCCATTACTGAGTTACTTCACTTAGAAAAAATGGTCTCCAATTCTAT
Source organism: Homo sapiens (assembly GCF_000001405.40). NCBI lineage: Eukaryota > Metazoa > Chordata > Mammalia > Primates > Hominidae > Homo > Homo sapiens. The sequence continues at coordinate 129,989,681 of NC_000010.11, read as the reverse complement.
CCAGATTGCTGCAAATGCCATTATTGTGTTCCTTCTTATGGCTGAGTAGTATTCCATGGTGTGTGCGTGTGTGTGTGTGTGTGTGTGTGTGTGTATCACAATTTTTTATGCACTCATTGATTGGTGGGCCTTTGGGCTGGTTCCATATTTTTGCAATTGTGAATTGTGCTGCTATAAACATGCATGTGCAAGTATCTTTTTTGTATAATAACTTCTTTTCCTGTGGGTAGATACCCAGTAGTGGGATTGCTGATCAAATGGTAGTTCTACTTTTAGTTATTTAAGGCATCTCCACACTATTTTCCATAGTGGTTGTACTAGTTTACATTCCCACCAGGAGTGTAAAAGTGTTTCCTTTTCACCACATCCCCACCAATATCTATTTTATTTTATTTTATTTTTTTATTATGGTCATTCTTGCAGGAGTAAGGTGGTATCACATTGTGGTTTTGATTTGCATTTCCCTGATCATTAGTGATGTTGAGCATTTTTTCATATGCTTGTTGGCCATTTGTATATCTTCTTTTGAAAATTGTCTATTCATGTATTTAGCCCACTTTTTGATGGGACTGTTTGTTTTTCTTGCTAATTTGTTTGAGTTTCTTGAAGATTTTGGATATTAGTTATTTGTTGGATGTATAGATTGTGAAGATTTTCTCCCACTCTGTGGGTTGTCTGTTTACTCTGCTGATTTTTTTTTCTGTGCAGAAGCTTTATCTTTTAATTAAATACCATCTCTTATGTTTGTTTTTGTTGCACCTGCTTTTGGATTCTTGGTCAGGAAGTCTTTGCCCAAGTCAATGTCTAGAAGGGTTTTTCTGATGTTATTTTCTAGAATTTTTATGGTTTCAGAACTTAGATTTAAGTCTTTGATCCATCTTGAGCTGATTTTTGTATAAGGTGAGAGATGAGGATTCAGTTTCATTCTTCTACATGTGACTTGCCAATTATCCCAGCACCATTTGTTGAATAGAGTGTCCATTCCCCACTTTTGTTTTTGTTTGCTTTGTTGAAGATTAGCTGTAAATACTTGGCTTTATTTCTGGGTTCTCTATTCTGTTCCACTGGTCTATGTGACTATTTTTATACCAGTACCATGCTGTTTTGGTGACTATGGCCTTATAGTATAGTTTGAGGTCAGGTAATGTGATGCCTCTGGATTTGTTCTTTTTGCTTAGTCTTGCTTTGGGTATGTGGGCTCTTTTTTGGTTCCGTGTAGTTCTGTGAAGAATGATGGTGGTATTTTGATGGTAATTGTATTGAATCTATAGATTGCTTTTGGCTGTATGGTCATTTTCACAATATTGATTCTACCCATCCATGAACATGGGATGTGTTTCCATTTGTTTGTGTCATCCATGATTTCTTTCAGCAGTGTTTTGTAGTTTTTCTTGTAGAGGTCTTTCACCTCCTTGGTTAGGTGTATTCCTAAGTATTTTATTATTTTTGCAGCTATTGTAAAAGGGGTCGAGTTCTTGATTTGATTCTCAGCTTGGTCGCTGTTGGTGTATAACAGAGTTACTGATTTGTGTGCATTAATTTTATATCCTGAAGCTTTGCTGAAATCATTTATTAGTTGCAGGAGCTTTTTGGAGTAGTCTTTAGGGTTTTCTAGGTATATGATCATATCATCCACAAACAGTGACTTTACCAATTTGGATGCCCTTTATTTCTTTCTCTGGTCTGATTGCTCTGGCTAGGACTTCCAGCACTGTGTTGAATAGAAGTGGGGAGAGTGGGCATCCTTGTCTTTTTCCAGTTCTCGGAGGGAATGCTTTCAACTTTTTCCCATTCAGTATTATTTTGGCTGTGGGTTTGTCATAGATAGCTTTCATTACATTAAGGTATGTCGCTTCTATGCCAATTTTGCTGAGGGTTTTAATCATAAAGCGATGCTGGATTTTGTCAAATGCTTTTTCTGCATCTATTGAGATGGTTGTGTGATTTTTGTTAATTTTGTTTATGTGTGCTGTATCACCTTTATTGACTTGTGTATGTTAGGCCATCCCTGCATCCCTGGTATGAAACCCACTTGATCATGGTGGACTTTTTTTTTTTTTTTATATACTGTTGTATTTGGTTAGCTAGTATTTTGTTAAGGATTTTTGCATCTATATTCATCACGGATATTGGTCTGTAGTTTTCTTCCTTTGTTATGTCCTTTCCTGGTTTTGGTATTAGGGTGATACTGGCTTCATAGAATGATTTAGGGAGGATTCCTTCTTTCTCTATCTTGTGGAATAGTGTCAATAGGATAGGTACCAATTATTCTTTGAATGTCTGATAGAATGCAGCTGTGAATCCATTTAGTCCTGGACTTTTTTTGTGGGCAATTTTTAAATTACTATTTCAATCTCACTGCTTATTATTGGTCTGTTCAGAGTTTCTTTTTCTTTCTGGTTTAACCTTGGAGGGTTGTATATTTTCAGGAATTTATACATCTCCTCCAAGTTTTCTAGTTTATGTGTGTAAAGGTGTTCAAGTAGCCTTGAATGATCTTTTGTGTTTCTAGTGGTATCGGTTGTAGTATTAATATCTCCCATTTCATTTCTAATTGAGCTTATTTGGATCTTCTCTCTTCTTTTCTTGAGTAATATCACTAATGGCCTATCCATTTTATTTATATTGTCAAAGAACCAGCTTCTTGTTTCATTTATCTTTTGTATCGTTTTATGAATAGAATGTATATTCTGCAGTTGTTGGGTAGAATGTCCTGTAAATCTTAAAGATCTGTTAAGTCTATTTGTTCTAGGACGTAGTTTAAATCTATTGTTTCTTTGTTGACTTTCTGTCTTCATGACCTGTCTAGTGCTATCAGTGGAGTACTGAAGTTCCTCAATATTATTGTGTTGCTGTCTATCTCATTTCTTAGGTCTAGTTGTAATTGTTTTATAAATTTGGGACCTCCAGTATTAGGTGCATATATATTTAGGATTGTAATATTTTCCTGTTGGACAAGTCCTTTTATCATTATATAATGTCTCTCTTTGTCTTTTTTAACTGCTGTTGCTTTCAAGTTTGTTTTGTCTGATATAAGAATAGCTACTCCTACTCACTTTCAGTGTCCATTTGCATGGAATATCTTTTTCCACCCCTTTACCTGAAGTTTATGTGAGTTCTTATGTGTTAGGTGAGTCTCTTGAAGACAGCAGATACTTGGTTGGTGAATTCTTATCCATTCTGCCATTCCGTATCTTTTAAGTGCATTTAGGCCATTTACATTCAATGTTAGTATTGAGATGTGAGATAGTATTCTATTCATCATGGTATTTGTTGCCTGAATACCTTTTTTTAAGAAAACTGTTTGGCCAGGTGCAGTGGCTCATGCCTGTAATCCTAGCACTTTGGGAGGCTGAGGTGGGTGGATTGCCTGAGCTCAGGAGTTCAAGACCAACCTGGGCAACACGGTGAAACCCCATTTCTACTAAAATACAAAAAGAAATTAGCCAGGCATGGTGGCATGCACCTGTAGTCCCAGCTACTTGGGAGGCTGAGGCAGAAGAATTGCTTGAACCCAGGGGGTGGAGGCTGTGGTGAGCCAAGATTGCACCACTGCACTCCAGACTGGGTGACAGAGCGAGACTCTGTCTCAAAAAAAAAAAAAAAAGTTTTTATTTTATAGGTCCTGTGAGATTTGAGCCTCAAAGAGGTTTTATTTTGCTGTATTTCAAGGATTTGTTTCAAGATTTAGAGCTCCTTTTAGCAGTTCTTGTAGTGCTGGCTTGGTAGTGTTGAATTCTCTCAGTATTTGTTTGTCTGAAAAATCTTTCCCTCATTTATGAAGCTTAGTTTCACTAGATACAAAATTCTTGGCTGATAATTGTTTTGATTAAGGAGGCTGAAGATAGAGCCCCAATCCCATCTAGCTTATAGAGTTTCTGCTGAGAAGTCTGCTTTTAATCTGATAGGTTTTCTTTCATAGGTTACCTGGTGCTTTTGCCTCACAGCTCTTAAGATTCTTTCATTGTCTTGACTTTAGATAACCTGATAACTATGTGCCTAGGTGACGATCTTTTCGTGATAAATTTCCCAGGTATTATTTGAGCATGTGGATGTCTAGATCTCCAGCAAGGCCAGGGAAGGTTTCCTCAATGAGTCTCTCAAATATGTTTTCCAAACTTTTAGATTTCTCTTCTTCCTCAGGAACACCAATTATTCTTAGGTTTGGTCATTTAACATAATCCCAAACTTCTCAGAGGCTTTGTTCATTAAAACATTTTTTTTCTTTGTCTTTGTTACATTGGGTTAATTTGAAAACCTTGTCTTTGAGCTCTGAAGTTTTTTTTTTTGTTGTTGTTTTTTGAGAAAGAGTCTTGCTTTGTCATCAGACTGGAGTGCCATGGCGCAATCTCGGCTCACTGCAGCATCTGCCCCACTGGGTTCAAGCGATTCTCCCACTTCAGCCTCCTGATTAGCTGGAATTACAGGCATGTGCCATCATGCCTGGCTAAATTTTGTATTTTTAATAGAGATGAGGTTTCGCCATGTTGGCCAGGCTGGTCTGAACTCCTGATCTCAAGTGATCCACCTGCCTTGGCATCCCAAAGTGTTGGGATTACAGGCCTGAGCCGCTATGCCCAGCCTGAAGTTCTTTTTTCTGCTTGTTTGATTCTATTGCTGAGACTTTTTAGTACATTTTGCATTTCTCTAAGTGTGTCCTTTATTTCCTTTATTTTCTACTAGCTGGTGAACTAGTGTGATATTTTGGGGATGTTAAAGAACCTTGTTTTGTCATATTACCAGAATTGTTTTTGTGGTTCCTTCTCATTTGGGTAGACTATGTCAGAAGGAAGATTTGGAGCTCATGGGCTGCTGTTGAGATTCTTTTGTCCCATGGGGTGCTCCCTTGATGTAGTGCTCTCTCCGTTTTCCTAGGGATGTGGCTTCCTGAGAGCTGAACAGTTGTGATTATTATTTCTTTTCTGGACCTTGCCACCTAGCAGAGCTATTGGGCTCTGGGCTTGTCTGCACAGTTGTGTGATGTGAACTGTCTTCAGCTCTCTCAGCCATAGATAGCAGCACCTGCTCCAGTGGAGGTGGCAGGGGAGTGAAATGGACTCTGTGAGTGTACTGAGTTGTCGTTTTTTTGTTTGTCTTTTTTTTTTTTTTTTTTTGAGTGGCATCTTGCCTGGTCACCCAGGCTGGAGTGCAATGGCACAATCTCAGCCCACTGCAATCTCCACCTCCTGGGTTCAAAGGATTCTCCTGCCTCAGCCTCCCGAGTAGCTGGGATTACAGGCGTCTGCCACCATGCCCTAAGGATTTTTGTATTTTTAGTAGAGATGGGGTTTCACCATATTGACCAGGCTAGTTTCAAACTCCTGACCTCATGATCCACCCGCCTCGGCCTCCCAAAGTGCTGGGATTACAGGTGTGAGTCACCACGCCTTGCTGAGTTGTAGTTTTTTTAATTGCACTAGTTTTGTGCTGGCTGGTCTCCTGCCAGGAGGTGGTGCTTTCAAGACAGTGTCAGCTGTGGTATTATAGGGATGATCGGGTTGTGGGTGGGGCCCTAGAGCTCCCAAGAGAATATGTCATTTGTCTTTAGCTACCAGAATGGGTAGAGAAAAACCATCAGGTGGGGGCAGGATTAGGCATGTCTGAGCTCAGGGTCTCCTTGGGCAGGGCTTGCTGCAGCTGCTGTGGAAGACGGGTTATGGTTCTCAGGCCAATGGAGATATGTTCTCAGGGGTATTATGGCTGCCTCTACTGTGTCATGCAGCTCACCAGGGAAGTGGAGGAAAGCTGGCAGTTACAGGCCTCACCCAGCTCCCACACAGCCCAAAAGGCTGGTCTCACTCCCACAGTGCCCCTGCCCCCAACAGCACCGAGTTTATTTCCATGCAGCAGGTGAGCAGGGGTGAGAACTTGCCCCAGGCTACCTTTCAGGGCTGTGAAAGCAAGCAGGGCTTTTAGGTTTCACCCCTCCCTGCCTGCTGCAGCTTCTGGGCTATACCTGCACTCTGGATTCACCCGCTCCCCCAAGTTCTGTCCAGAAAACTTCACAGGGTTAAAATTGTTACAAAGTTCAGCTGGAGGTTTTCTTCTCCCTGTGATCTTTTCCCAGTTCCTCTGGCAGCCCTCCCCAAGGACGTCTGCAAGATAAAGTCAGAAACAGCTTCCCTTGGGACTGAGAGAGCCCACCGGTCTCCTCCCACTGCTTCTTCTACCCCTGTATTTCACTCAGCTCTCTAAAATTGTCTCAGCTCCAGGTAAGGTAAAATCCTTCTCTCGTGATCTGGACCTTCAGGTTCCCCAGTGAGAATGTGTGTTCGGGGGCAGACAATCCCCCTTTCACATTTTGGGCACTCACAGTTTTTGGGCTGTCTCCCAGGGCCTGCAGGAGCAATCTGCTTCCTTCAAAGAGTCTGTGGATTGTCTCCGCTTTCCTAGTATGTTCCTGTGGTAGTTCTTGAAGCAAACGTTTACTATGTAAGTCTCCACATGCTGCTGTGTCCATGTAAGTGGAAACTGCAATTTAGTCCTGCCTCCTATCAGCCATTTTCCTAACCTCTCCTCCAATCTTGCTTTATTTTGATTAAAGTCTATATATCTTTTTTCATCCTTTTACTTTCAATCTGCCTATATCATTATATTTAAAGTGAGTATCTTATAGACAGGATATAGTTGAGTCTTAATCCACTCTGCTAGTCTCTCTCTTTTATTGATGTATTTAGACCATTTACATTTAATGCAGTTTTTAATATGTCTGGGCTTCAGTCTGCCATTTTATTTTTTGTTCTCAGTTTATTTTCTCTGGTTTTTATTGATCTCTTTTATTTATTCCATCTTCTTGTGGGTTACTTGAAACCCTTTCTAGAATTTCACTGAGGTAACTGTTTGTTTCTCCATGAATCAGTCTATTTGTTCTAAAGTTCCTTCTTTTCTTTTTTCCTTGTTTAGGGAACTTCCTTTAGCCATTCTTTTGAGATGGGTGTTAAAGAATCAACTTATCTTAGTTGTCCATCTGAAAATGTATTTATTTTCTGTATATTTTTGCAGAACATTTTTTCAGGATACAGGGTTATGGGTTAACAGTTTCTTTTTTCCAACACTTGAACTATTTTCTGTCAGATCCTTCTGGCTTCTATGGTTTCTGATGAGAAATCCACTGCCTTTAAAATTGCCTTTTTCCTGTAGGTAAGGTGTCTTCACACTCTCACTGCTTTCATGATGCTTCCCTTTGTCTTTAGTTTTCAGAGGTCTAATTGTGATGTGCCTTAGTGTGGATTTATTTGAATTTATTTGGTTTGGGGTTTGTCTAACTTCTTGAATCTATAGATTAATGTCTTTTGCCAAATTTTGGAATTTTTCAGCCATTATTTCTCTGAGTACTTTTTCAACTCTGGCCTCATTCTTCTCTTCTTGGGACTTCAATAACATGATTACTGAATCTTTTATTATAATTTCACACGTTCCTGGGGCTCCATTCATTTTTAAAAACCTATTTTCTTTCTATTTTAGATTGGGTTATTTATTTATTTATTTTGAGACTGAGTCTCACTCTGACGCCCAGGCTGGAGTGCAGTGACATGATCTCGGCTCACTGCAACCTCCGCCTCGTGGGTTCAAGCGATTCTCCTGCCTCAGCCTCCTGCGTAGCTGGGATTATAGGTGCGTGCCACCACAACTGGCTAATTTTTGTATTTTTAGTAGAGACAGAGTTTCACCTGTTGGTCAGGCTGGTCTCAAACTCCTGACCTCGTGATCCACCCACCTCGGCCTCCCAAAGTGCTGGGATTATAGGCATGAGCCACCGCGCCCAGCCTAGATTGGGTAATTTTTATTGTTCTCTTTTCAAATTCACTGATTCTTTCCTCTGGCTTCTCTATTCTGCTGTTGAGCCCATACATTGAGTTTTTAATTTCAGTTATAGTATTTTTTTATCTCTAAAATTTACATTTGGTTCTTCCTTTGGATCCTCTATTTCTTTGCTGAATCTTCTATTTCTTTCCTGATACTTTCTATTTCTTCATTTGTTTCAATTGCATATTGAAGCATTCCTATGATGAATGCTTTCAAATCTCTGCCAGACAATTCAAACATCTCATCATCTTAGCGTTGGCATCTATTGGTTGTCTTTTTTTATTCCATTTATGATATTTCTGGGTCTTGGTATGACAAGTGATTTTTTTTAATTGAAATCTGGACATTTTGTTATTATGTTATAAGACTCTGCATCTTATTCCAACTTTCTGTTTGAGTTGGCATTCCCTCATGCTGTTCTGGCAGAGGAAGGGAAGGTATTATCTTGTTACTACCTGGTAGGGGTAGCAGTCCTGGCTCACCACTCACCTCCATTGACATCCAATAAGGAAGAGTCCTCTTTATTGCTGGGTGGGTGTGGGAGGTCTGGCTGCCCACCAAGCCTCCACTCATATCTGCCTGACTGGGAGTGGTAGGAGAGTTTCCTTACTGCTCCCCACAAGCCCTCGGCTGACACCATGGGGTAGGGCATGGCCTCATTATTGCTGGGTGGGAGTAAAAGTTCTGACTGTCCACTAGACCTTCCTGGATACCACCCTGTAGGGGCCTGGGATGCTGCCTTACAGCCTCTCAAGGGTGAAAGTCTAATTTCCCCAGTTTGTCCTTGTTGGTATGGATGGGGTGGGACCACAGTTTTTCAGTGGTGTTTGGCTGGAGTAGACCCATTATTATCTAAAAGTTTTCTATCTTACTAAACAGCTTCTCTTCCAGTCCTCTGGCCAAAGATAGCAGGGTTTTTTGTTTTTTATTTTTTGTTTTGTTTTGCTTTTGAATTTATGCCCTTGGCATTTCTGGGTTGCTGACTTCTTCATCTCTCTGTCTGGGATGTATGAGGCAAAAAGAAAAGCCAAGAAAATCGCCACTGTGTTGTTCACTGGGTTTCACGTTCCCTGGCTTGTCTTCCTTCTCCTTCCAACTTTTACTGTCTTCTCATGTTTGTTTCACACATAATGTCCAGGGCTTTTAACTGTACTTAGCAGTTAGAATAGGGAAAAGAACATCCACTCCATCTTTCTGGAAGTGGAAGTCTCTTATTGTTACTTTTTAAAAATTGTGGGTACATACAACACACACCGAATTATAAAAAAAAAAAAAGCATTTATCTACAAATGTCTTTTTTAAAAGGCTGGATGGGAATACACTAAAAAGTTAACAGTGACTTGGTTTTTATCTCCATTCTTTTTTGTAATTCCCAAAGTGCTTATTATTAACAGGTACTATTTATAATTAAAATAAAACAAAATTTTCTACTTTTTAAAATAAGCTGCTGCTCTTTGTGCTGTCACTCCAGCAAGACAGTGCATAGCAGGTTCCTCAGGGAGTCTTTTCCTTATGCAGGATGGACTGGGGCATCCAAAATGTTACTTTGAGGGTCCCATCCTTTGCACAGAGAGCTCATTCAAGTTTTCAAAGCAGAATTTTCTGGCCTAAGGGCCAAGGGCCTCTCCTCTCCTCTCCTCTCTTTCCTTCCTTCCTTCCTTCCTTCCTCTCCTCTCCTCTCCTCTCCTCTCCTCTCCTCTCCTCTCCTCTCCTCTCCTCTCCTCCCCTCCCCTCCCCTCCTCTCCTTCCTTCCTTCCTCTTTCTTTCTTTCCTTCTTTTTTTCTTTTTCTTCCTGTCTCACTCTGTTACCCAAGCTGGAGTCCAGTGGTGCAATCTTGGCTCACTGCAACCTCTACCTCCTGGGTTCAAGCCAATTCTCCTGCCTCAGCCTCCCGAGGAGCTGGGACTACAGGCACTCGCCACCACACCCAGATGATTTTTGTACTTTTAGTAAAGATGGGGTTACACCGTGTTGGCCAGGCTGATCTGTAACTCCTGACCTCAGGTGATCCACCTGCCTCGGCCTCCCAAAGTGTTGGGATTACAGGCGTGAGCCACCGCACCTGGTCTTCTTTAGGCCACTTAAACCGGGTCACCATGAGCATCTCATGAGTTGTTATAAACAAATAATCTGCAAAATTTCAGTGGCTAGAAACAGAAGTTTACTGCTCACTCACATAACAGTCCACTGACAGTCTGCTCATTGGGCAACATTCCTCCACGTAGTGACCAAGGGGTCCCAGTTTATTCCATCTGGGACTCTGATGTCCCCTGGGCATTGGGCTTTTGAGACCTCAGCTTCCAGCTAAGGGAAAGAGAAAGAGTGGGTGGAGAAGGCATGCCTTGTCTCAGAGCCCAACCCAGAGGGGACACATGGAACTTCCACTCACGCTCCGTGGAACTTCCACTCACGCTCCGTGGAGGGACCCGGGCACATTAGGATGCAAGGAGAGCATCTGTCCCACAAATACAACTAAAGAAACCCCTGTAGTGGCTGCTATAGCCATAATTAAATAATGAAATTTTAGCATTGATAGGAACCACATGACTCACTGAGGGGTGAAACCTTCCATTTTACAAATAAGAAAAGACACGCGGAGGGAGAACAGCTTTTCTAAGCCCCTCGGTGAGTTGCTGAGGTGGGTGCATCTCATTGCCCCACTTCCTTTCCTCTGGGGATCACTCCTCACCAGCCAGTCCAGGACAGATGCCGGCCTATCAAAGAAGCCCATCCTCCTGAGGCCGCCACACTTAGTTCCCGGATGGTCATGTGAGCCAATCACACCAAACTCTCCCTGGGACATTTATGGCAAGCAGGCATGCTGGATTGAAGGTATGTGAATGGAAGACTGTCAAGTGCTGGGAGTGGGAGGGAGTAAATACAAACAGGACACACAGGGCCTGTCCAGAGCTGCTCTCTATCCAGCAGGAGGGATGGATGAGGGATGAATTGCCATGAGCTCCTTCTTCCTGGCCACTGCCCTTCACCACCTCTGGAGATCAAGCCACATCTGGTGTGACTGGCCCCTCTGAAGGCCAGACTGGCTCTGAGGGTGCTGCGAGGGGTTTGCATGGTTCAGAAGAGTGTGGTTGGGGGACTTCTCAGAAGAGCTCAGGACTCAGGAGAACATGCCTCTCTTTCTCAGGGCTCCAGCACCAAGGGGTTTGGAGGCCCATGCAGCCTTCTCAGACTCTTCTGCCAGCTACTGGCTCAGCCACTCACCCTCCTATATCTATGCCCCTTGTCATGGACTTTAGCTTGGCCACCTGCCTTCTTGGGTCAATGGGATGTGAGTGGAGTCTTGAGTATACTTGCACGGTTGGTCTTATCCCCTGGACTATTGCCATTGCAGTGAGAGGCACCTACCCTGGGTAGCCAGCTGGTCTCAGAATATGTGAGACATGGAGCAGACCTCCACAGAGCCATGCCTGTCTGGACTCAACCAGCCCACCAAGATCAGCAGAGGCCAACTTGCATGGGCATGGGTGAGAGAGCATGGCTCTTGTTTAAGCCAGTGCATTTGAGGAAGGTCTTTTCACAGCATTACCATGACGACAACTGACTGACATAAGTGATGTCAAGATGACAACTGACTAATGTAAGTGATGCTCATCCACTGGCCGGCATCAAAGGTGGATGTATTCATTGTCTGTTTTTTCTGTAACAAATTACCACTCACTGCACAGCTTGAAGCAACACTCACTTACGCTCCCACAGTTCTGCAGATCGGAAGTGCAGCAAGTGTGGCTGGTGCCCTATTCAGGGTCTAGCAAGGCTGAAATCATGCTGTCAGCCTGGACGGTGTCTCATCTGGAGCTTGGGGTCCTTATGCAAGCTCATTCAAATTGCTGGCTAAATTCAGGTACTCGTGGTTGTAGGACCGAGGTCCTTGTCCACTGTCGGCTGGGACTGATCTTGGCTCCTAGAGGGTGCCTGAAGTCAGTCTCATGCTCTCCCTGTGGTCCGCTCCAGCCACGGCAGTCTGAGTGGCTGTCACACTTGGATCTCTCTGACTTCCTTTTCTCGTACACCTTGCTGACTCTTCTGTTCCCTTGCTGCTTTCAAGGGCTCGTGAAAGTACACTGGGCCCACCCAAATAATCCAGGATAATCTCCCTATTTTAAGGTCAGTTGATTATTAACTTTAATTCCAGCTATAAAGTCCCTTCCCAGCAGAACCTCTATTAGTGTTTGATCAAATAAGAGGGGACAGGAATCTTGGGGGCATCTTTTGAATTCTGTCCAACAGTGGTGCTGTCCCATCACCACTGGCTGAGCAATGGCCAAAACTACGTGGGCTTCTAGAGGTCAGCATCTGTGCCACCTCTCACCTGGAGCACTGGATCAGAGATGTGGCCCACAGGGCTGGAGAGAAGTCATTATGCATCTCTTCTGATCATTTCAAAATTAAATGCAAGGAATATATTATTGACATTTTATAAAAATGACTTCCTCCTGAGTAGTACAATTCATGGTACAAATATATACAATTTCAAGTTGAGGGAATACTCTTAATGGATATACAAAAACAGATTGAATGAATGCATCAGAAATATTTTTAACAGAACCACAGGGTTTCTGGTTGCTGTGCTCACATGGATCCTGTCTTCTATGGATAGGACTCCATGGCTGGTGAGTAAGTTCTGCAGCTTGGGCTTGCGAAGTTCCTGGGAGGGCAGCTGCCCCATTCTTTCTCAACTCTCTGTCACCTGATATGTGACCTCTCACCTCACAACCACATTTACATTGGCCTCAGAGCCGCAGGAGTCGGTGTTGGGGATCCAGGACAGCTGATGGGGGAGGTGACTACTGTTCTAGTAGAGTTCCTGTCTACCCTGACACCTTTCTCTGAAAAATCAACCTCCTCGCCAGAAGAACCGAAGTCGCTTTCGTTTGGTCATGGTGGTGACCTGTTCTCTCTCTTCATTCTTAGTGCCTCAGGGAGGAGGGCTGGGACACTAGCATCTCCACCTAGTCACTGCATAATTAATACTAGATAACCTGTTTGTTTCCTATCTTGAGAATCTCAGTGTCTTTACCAAGTAGATTCTGCAAAGTATTCTCAATCACAGAAGCAATATGAAGCTTCCTTCAGTGTGAGATATCTCTCTTGAATTATTTTTAGTTACAAACAACGCATATCAGTTGCACACAATTTTATTCTTAGAAAAAGGCATGTTTATGTCCTGTCCTGTCCACCATTATAGCACACACTTTTTGGATGGGCGGTCCCACCTTGGGGAACTTGGGGTTACGGTTGTGCTGTGCAGATTCCTCGGGCCCCTGTCCCATGCTGGGCTGTTCCGCCAGCTTTGATGTGTGCTTTTGCTTCCCAGGGTTAGCTCTGCACAGCTGGAACCACATTTCCACAGGCAGCTAGCACAGGAAGTGCCTGGGATGTCCTGTCTACCCGGGGCAGGCCTTTGGCCAGTGATTATGGTGTCAGGAAGTCCAGTCAAAATGGAAAGGGGCTTCCCTGGACTAAGGACCAAGGCTAGAGTTTCCAGAAGCCAAGGGAAGAGAGCCCAGCACTCATGCAGGCAGCAGGAAGCTGGTCACGGGGCCGGCAGGACCTGCCTGGACTAGTGTGGAATGTGCGAGTTAAGGTGGAAAAGAGAGTTTGGGGCCGAATGCTGGACTCGAGGAATGTGCATTTTCATCTACAGCTTTTGATCCTGTAAATATACAAATGTAGTTTCTAAGAAAACAGATGATGAGGAAAGAATGGTGGAAGGAATAAGACAGCAAAATGTTGAGAATGGTTGAAGGTGGAGGAGGGGTACATGGAGATTTGCGATCTATCAACTTTTGTGTGTGTTTGCAATTTTCCATAATACAAAGTTTTAAGAACTGAATTGCATATTTATCAGTTGCACACATCTTTACGGAGCCCCCACATTGTGCCTGGCTCTGTAACTGAGTAAACCAGATGAAGAGAGCAGGTGGGTCCTGACCTCCAGGTGTTCCATTCCTGCAGGGAAGATCCACGGTGGACACGTTTAACATCAGAACGAGAGGCACCATGCCGCCTGCAAGTAGAACAGATAATGACAGTTTCAGTATCTGTCCTCTGAAAGTACCCATGATTACGTTCTGACTTCTGGGGCAGGTGACTGCATTTCACCCTTGGCAAGTTTCTGTGCAGGGGTCCTCCAGGCCTCTGCCCCCTTGGATTGGTGTGCACTGTTGCTGGGCTCTGAGTCGCCACCTGGGCTCGTACTGAATATGCGAGCTGGTTAGTGGTGGCTACAAGACACCTTGCTTGCTATGAAAAAAAAGAGATAAAAGTAAATATTGAAACAGATTTGATTATTGATGTTTGTGAATGTACATTTCTAGGTACAGTGGCCAGTGACAAAGCATACATAGGTGGACAGCGACAGATGAAATGGACATCGATTTTTATATGCCTGAGAGAATTGAGCTTAACCTGTCAGATCTGTCTAAGCCTCTCCCAATGCAAACGTCACCAAAGCTGCTTCCTCTTCCTTTCACCTGTCTCACCTGTAAGGGGGATTTGTTCTTATGCCAAACAGTAAGCTCCATGAGGGCAGGGCCTTACTCAGGACTTGGGCTCCAAGGACCTGACTCAGCCTAAGTGAATATCCAATGGGGAAAGAAGGTGGGGAGGGGGATGTCTCCACTGCGTGGAAGGAGTAAGTGAGGGGCAGAGAAAGCCGTGATTTCTCGTTACATTCACAGCTACCTCTGTGCTGTTTCTTGTCTGTGAAGACAAGGCCTTGGGTCTCCTGTCAATAGGCCGAGGTTCCCTGCGATGCACCCATGTGACCAATGCCATTCCTCTCCAGACCCCTGAGATCAGGAGTCATTGTCTACCTGGCCAATGGCTCTCCATTCATTCCTCATTCCCGCAAAATTATGTCTTGAGGACCCACCTAGGGTAAGGCTTGGGCCACATTCTCTAGGAGCGGCTCCAGAAGAGAACTGAGTGGGCAACGCGGTGTGCCCAGGGGCCTGTTTAGAGGAAAGAGATCCTGAGACTGCAGCCTTGGAGAGAGGGGGCAAGGAGAGGAGCAGAAAGCAGGGTGGTGTGTGTGTTTGGTTGGTGGGGGGGGGCGGTGGTTGGGCTGGAGAAGGAAGGGAGTCACCAAGTCGTTATTAGAGGGATTGAACTGTTTTCTTGCCTCGTCCACAGCATTTTACCTCAACTGGTCAAACAGACTGAGCAAAGGCCACTTGTGAGTCTTTGTGTGTGGCACTGAATGGTGGCCCTCCCCAAACCCTTCCCTTTGCCTCTGAAGCCACAAGTGACAGAACCACATGACCAGAGCTCTGAAGTCCCACAATGGGGTTGGAGTCCCAGCTTCCTAGCAGTGTGACAAGAACATGCCCCTTAACTTTTCTGAGCTTGGGCCTGACACATAACATTCAATACATGTTAGTTGCTATTAAAAACATGGGTAATTTTATATCTTAAAATATTGCATATTGCTTAAATGGTTTCATGCTGGCTCACATTAAAAATGATTCCCAAGTGAAGATGACAAAGGGGAAATATTCGTTATTTAGTTCTTTTCTTACATTAAGTGATCATAATAAAGTACATTTCTGGGTTGCATTCTCTAGAGTGCCTTTTGCTAAATAAATGGCCAAAAATAACTTTCCCTTCCAGTAAGATTTCATGATTCGGCACACTCAACGTTCACTATAAAAGCTTAAAGTGAAGAGCACGAAACAAGCCTGGGAGCAAGAAACAGGCGAGAAAAAGCGATGGATACAGGAGGGTGAGGCCCACATTCCCACAAAAGTGCTTTCTGTTTCAGACAAATCTCGGCAATAAGAAAGTTGTCTTTATTCAGGTATCTACATCACACTTAGGTTTGGAAGAAGCAGATGGATAGGAATTAGTAGGATCTTCCAGGAGTCCCAGGTTCTCCCGGAAGAGGCAAATTAGAAAAAGCGCAGCAGCCCTGGGTAGGGGCCCAGGGCCCGGAGCCAGGGTCTGGGCTAATCAGCCCCTCCCAAGCCCAGGGCGGCCATCAGGTTGGGGATGCAGGTCACACCCCCGCCTGACCCCTTTTCTTTTCCAGAGCAGCAGCTCCAGATACTTATGAGAAAAGTTACACCTCTGGTCATTTGCTGGGTGACATCAAAAATGGGAGTGGAGTGGTCAGGCTTGCCTGGCCTCTGAAGGGCGGCCGAAGCCCTCCTTCACTGAGATTGCTCTAAACGCAAAGCTCATCTAGGAGCCATCCAGGCGTTTTTTTGTTTTTGTTTTTGTTTTTTCTTCCATAGCGTGGCTTTATTGGAGAACCCCGGGCTTTCTCTGTTTTCGTGGGCGATCTCTTGCCTCTTCCCATTTCATTTTAGCCGTCACGGGGCCCAGTAGAGTACTTTGCATTAAGTTATCCGTATCCAGGAAGATGTCCTCTCATCCACTTTACCAAAAAGGACCGGGAGAACCCCAGCCATCTCCTGCCCACGGGAGTGTGCGCTCATCCACACAGACGGCTTCAAGCCGCCCAGGGCCTGGGACCCGTTTCCAGATGCCCTGCGAAGTGGTGTCCACAGCAGCGGTGCCCCACTCCAGGCCTGGCGCACTCTTTTGGCCAAGGAGGCGCACGAATACCCTCGGGCCCCCGACGAAAGAGAGGGGCTCAGGTCCTTGCAAGGGGGCCTCCCCGCGGAGGAGCCCCGCGCGTGGCCCAGGAGGCCTCTCCTCCAGGTGGCTAGCGCTGGGCGCAGCTGCGGCCCCGGGGCACGGTGGCAGGCGGGCCGCTGGGCCGCCTACGGGCACCTCCACGCGCCCCCGCTCGGCCCTAGCCCGCCGCCCGCGGTGGAAGGCAGTGTGGCGCGTGCGCACTGGCGTGCTCGCGGCCGGGCCCGTGGGCTCTCCCGGGAGGGCGGGAGGTGGGAACGTGGGAAGGCGCGGGGCCGCCCACCTCCCGGCCCGCAGCCGGCGCCGCCGACACCTCGCGGCCGGGGCGCCCGCGATGTCCGTCGAGTGAGCGGCACAGGTAAGCGCGCTCTCGATCCCGTCGGGGGCTCCCCGCCCCAGCCCGCGGCCCCCAGGCGGCCGCGGCGCCAGCAAAGTTGAACTTCGCGCGTGGCGGGCCGGACACTGAACGCTGGGGGCCGGGTTGCCGGGGCCCCGGAGCCGGGTGCGCTCCTCTCGCCTACGGGAGCGCGGGCGGGGCTGCGGCGGAGGCGCGGGGTGGGACTGTGGAGGCAGGAGCCCCTGACCATGAGCTGCGCCCAGGCCTGGCCTCGCAGTGAACTTTTGCGCCGCGCCCTGGCAGCGTCTTGGTTCCTGGCGAGCACTGCCTGGGAGGCCTCCGTTGGCCTCTGCTCGCGGCCTTCCCGGCGGGCCTGCGGGGAGGCGATCGCGTGCCAGGGATTCTCGGCGCGGGGGAGGCGCGTACCGGCACGGGCGAAGATCCGGGGTTCCGAGGATTTAGCTGAAGGACCCCGCGTTTTTCACTCTCCGTCTTCCCCCAGTACAAACGCCAGACCCTTGGAGAGAGGGATGGGGAAGGTCGAAGCGCCTAGATGCCTGGACGACAACGCAGGAAGCAATTAAAACTCCTCCTTTCGGATTAACAACCAAAAATTGATCCATGTGTCAGGAATACCATTGATTTATGAAAGGTGCTTATTTCTCTGGTATGGAGAATTTTATGTTCTCCAGGTGAAACCGAGTTCACCCAGCTCCAGCGTAGATTGATGTTTTAATAAAAATAAATAAAGGGGAAAAGCTCGCCTGGTCTTTGGGGACATCAAGTCTCAAATCGCAGAGTTAGACTAACAAATCAAATTGCATTATCTTTACATTTCATATCTTTTAATCTTGTACCTAAAAATCGCAGGCAGGAGAGCGCCTTCATTTCGAAAGTTTTAATATAGTGCTTAAAAGTCCGCATAACTAGCAATCAGTGTTTCATAAGCAAAATGGCACGGGAGCGTCGGGTAATTGTGATAAGTGGCAGGCGGCGCGGGGCGAGGGCGGCGGCGGCGGGAGGAGGAGCGGGCTCTGGACGCTGAGAGGGAGGAGGCGGCGGCCGCCCGGAGCCGCGCGGCGCCCGTAGATGGCGCCCTGGCCCCACGCTAGGCCCGGGATCCGCGGCTCCGTCGGGCGGCGCGCGGGCGGGAGAGCCGGCGGGGGCGCGGCGCTCGGGGCTCCACGCTTGCGGTAGACTTGGACCGGGGCGGCGCGGCTAAGGAGGAAAAAAAAATTAAGCTTATTGTTGCCATTTTTAATTTAAGGCCTGGGCAGTCGTTTGGGGCGGATGGGGGTCCGCGAGTCCAAGGCGTCACTGGGAGCGGAGGGATTCCCGCCCCCCCCACAAAAGGCTGCAGCTCAGCCCGGGTGGCGCTAGCGCAGCGCCAGTCCCGGCCTCCGGGTGCGCAGCCCAGGCGGGGCCCTGGCGTGCAGATGCGCGCGTGTGCGGGCGAGGGTCGGCGGCACGGCGGCAAGGACACCGAGTTCAAAGCCGCCGGTGGATCGCCCCCGAGGGCGGCCCGGATGGCCGGAGGACCCCCCCCGCCCCCGCGCCGACGCACCCCCGGAGCCCGCGCCAGGCCCGCCGCCACGGCTGCCGGCGCCCTCCGCTTTGCAATGTAAATTTCAGCGGGACAAATTGCTTATTAATAGTCTAGAAGAGAAGCCGGTTTCTTTCTTTCTTCTTTTCTTTATCTGTTTTTATTTCTACATGGCCCCTAGCTATGCCCTGGGCCGCCTTGCCGCCCAGCAGTTTTCTCTTCATTTCAATGTCCTAAAGAAAATGCAAATTTCCACAGTGTGGCCTTTTTAAAAAGTTAAATTAGCAACAGCTTTAAGTGACTCCATTAGTATGGAAAACACACATGTTTAATGTGGGAATAGCTTCCTTTTAACGGGACTCATTCTGGTCTGTACATTCAGCAAACCCTTAGAGTTGGTAAAGAATCTCTTCGCGGCCGAATTTGTAGCCAGAGGTGCACCCTCCCCCTTCCAGCCCCGGCGTGCACCCGCCTTCCTGGGGGGAGAGGAGGGGTGCGTCCCGCCGCCGCGCGCTGCTGGACCCAGTCCGCTGGCTTGGATCCCTTAGAAGTCGCGCGAATGTGCGCGAAAGGGTTTATGCAGGCTGGAAGGGAGGAGAGCTTGACACATTTCTGTCCAAGAGCGGTATGCTCTTCCTTCCCTCCCGGCCTCATCGTCGCAGTCGCCGGAGCTGAGTTAATTACCCGGACGGACTCCCCGGCCCGGCCGCCGGCACCCATCGCCCCACTTTTGCGCACCAGAACGGGTGTATACACTCTGTTAAGGTGCTGTGAAGGAGTGAGATCGGGTAGCCGAGGAGGAGGACATTAGTACATCGGTGACCGTGGCCACCCTTTCCGTCCGTGCCCACTGTAGCTCTCCACCACCCCAACTTCCTTTACTCGTGTTGGCAAACCGCGGTTTCAAACTAGAATTTTATTGGCAAACTTTTGTGCGCGGTTAGCTTCCAGAAGAGGGTATTTAATTTTGTTATGAGGTCTGGCCGCCCCCTCCTTTCCCTTCAAGCCAGTGGCATCGCACTCCACACCCGTCCATGAAAGAGTTAAGATTTATGGTATGCTGGAGAGGTCTTGTTAGGATGTAATCTGCATTTTTAAACTACTGCGTAATAAAAAGTGAGAAGTTTTGAGACACCTTTCTTGATTATACCTTTGGCAATACTTTAGGTTTTACATTTAATTTGCATTTTGTTCTTGGTGAATATTGAAGTCTTGAGTGGAGGATTGAATTTTATTAGGACATCTGGACTGACAATATCAAATCAGACACCAGTGTCCCAAAGCATGCTAAAATTTCAGAGTTAATTAGAACGCAGTGTGTTTAATTAAAGCCAATTATAATATTTGAAATTATCTGATCGATCCGTGTTTGTACAGTTTGGGTCTGTTTAGGTGTTGATTGGCGCACTTTGCGCGTGGTTCGATCTCGGAACTTCTCTGGGGAAAGTTTGCTTTGTAAACTGGCGGGGGCGGGCCGGCGCGGAATCGGCGTCTCCCGCGCCCGCTCGGGCGCATCCAGCAGGACTGATTTTCCGGGCGCCGCCGAACGCAGCTCGAGAAATCCCAGCTCGTTGCTAAACCGATGGGCCTTTTAGGGTCCGAGGGACGTCGCCACGCACCAGCTGTCTTTTCCAGCTCGGCTGCTCCTCCGGAGTATCTTTACAGACAGGCAACCTTTCGGGTTGCCGGGTGCGTTGGGAGAAGCCCAAGTTCGCCAGTGTTTGATTTGGGGGTTTCGCTCAAGTAGAAGAGCCCCCAGAGCTGACTCGTGGGGTCGGCCAAAGTGACCGAAGGAATCCGAGAAAAGTTAGGAAAAGGAAACAATAATTAACTGTTTCCCTTATAATTTAGCACGCTGCAGGAGCCGAGGCACACCCCGGCGTTTTCGCCCCGCTTGGAGCGCCCATGGTTTTCCAGGGAGAAGGTTGAGCGAGTTCCAGGTCAGGTCCGTCGCCCCGCTGCGGGGCCGGGCACTTAGAGCGCAGGTTTCTCTCCAGCAAGGACGTTCGCATGGCGCTTGGTACCTAGGCCTTCTGCCCAGTGCCGGGCTTGGTCCGACCCTTGCTCACGCAGGTGGGCGGCAATTAGGACTAGGCGGCGTGTGGCGGTTTCCGCGCGCCCCTGGGGTCACGGCGTCAGCTAGGACTAGGTGCTCCGGTCGCGCAGGAGCCGGGGCCCAGCTGCTGGGGCCGGCAGGACCCGGGGCGGACACCTGCCCCGGGGTGGGTGGGAGCCCAGGCTGTTCTGCTCCCGGCTCCCGGCTGCGCAGCGGCACTCCACTCTCCCCACCCCAGGAGGCGCTGTTTGTCAAACTTGGCCGCCTTGGCAGGAGGCGCCTGCACGTTCTCACTTGGAAGCTGAGCCTTCCCTGGTACTGGGGGTCGGGCTTCAGCAATCTTAGCCGTACAGAATAAATATTAGAGGGAGGAGGCAATGCAGAGAACAGGGGTCTGGGACCCTTCAGTTTTTGCTTTTTACCCGTGAACCCAACAGGGCATCCTTCCTCCAGCGCAGGGAGGAGGCGCCCGTTGGTTTGCCCCATGTGCCAGGGGGAGTTGCCCAGTAACTTGCCTCAGAGGGCAGGCGGGGTGCGCGGCCTGTCTTGGGCTCTGCCGCCAGATGCCGCCTGAGGCCCCCGCGGCTAGCATCTCCGCGCCGAGAGGGCGAAGGCGCCCTCTCTGGTCCTGAGTAACCCACCCAAACCTGGCCGGGCTCCCTTTGTGCGCGACTGAGGTTGGGATGGCCCTTACTTCTCGGTTTTCCCCGGCCCACGGACGAGCGTGACCCCGTGGCGCAAGACGAACTTGGAGCGCTCTCAGAGGCCGCGTCACCACCCGTGGTGGGCAGGCTTTGCCAGTGCGTGCTGTTTCCACCCTATCCCGCAGTTCCCGGGATTTTCTAGGTGCGTCTCTCCTGGCCCCTCTGACCTCCTTCCCACTGGGGCCCAGGGTCAGTTTGGCTCTCTCTTTTCCTGTTCTTTCCCCGGCCCCTGCCTGTGCTTGGCGCCCGATTCTGACCCCAGGCTTGAGCAGGGCTAGAGGCCCGGAGGCCGGCACGGTCTGAGCGTGACCCCCGGGCGCGGAGGACGTTGGGGCGGGCCGCGCCTGCAGCTCAGCACTGGCGGCGGGCACACGAACTGGCGGCTTTTCGTGCATTGGCTTTCACCCTTTCCCGAAGGCTCCAAGTGACATGGCCAGGCAGCTTGGGCCTGTGGCCATGGGCCCTCCGATGGTGCGGCGTCGGGTCGAGCCCGCGCACCCCCTGATACTCCAGGGGACTTGGCCTCCAGGAACTCTCGGCCCAGGCTTCTCAACGCCGGAAATGCAGTTTATTACTCTTTGGAAGGATGTTAGGGAGGTAGGCGGGTGCCCTGGGCTAAGCCTCGATCAAGAAGGGGGCATTCGCCCGGTGCCCTGGGCGCTGGGCCCTGGGCCCGTGCAGACACCGCGGCAGGCCTCGCGCCCTGGGATTCCAACTTGGCCGAAGTTTCTGGGTGGGGGTGGCTTGGAGTCCGGTACCAGCCCAGGTCCCCGTCTCTGGGCCTTGCACCAGGCACCAGTGGAGGATCTGAGACTGAGGAGGGGTAAGGGGAAAGTTTCCTCTCTACGCGCGCCGAACAGCCCCCTTCACGGGTGGGTAGTGGGTACCGGCGGAGGACGCTGGCACGCGCGGTGGCTCGGGCACTGAGTGGCTGGGCAAGGAGGCCAGGGTGAGCCTAGGTGCGGCTCCTGGGAGGTTAGAGCCCCCGCTAGACTTCAGCCAGGTTTTTTGATGGTGCCACGGATCAGTGGCCCAAGCGCCGCCAGGGCCTTCTGCCCTGCGCCCGGCACGCCGCTCCCAGAGCCGGGCGCCAGGGGCGGCGGGCGCTGTCTCTTTAAGGTCACTGCCTGCTCCGGCACGACATGGGGAGGACAGCTGGGCACTGGCCATCTGACTGACTCCGGCTTGACATCTGGGAGCCCACTGGTGTGTGGCACGCGAAGCGCTTGATGCCGCTATTTAAATGCAAATGTGAGGGGGCTCATTGAAGCCTCTCCCCGTAAATCCGCACAAAAGGAATACTTCCCACCCTCCGAGGAGGAGGCGGCGGCGGCAGCTCGAGGGCCACCCGTGCAAATCGCGTTGGGCGCGGGGCCCTGAGCGGTCGCCGCAGCCGTCGCGGCCCGCGGGGTCCCCGGCAAAGGTCAGGCTCCGCCCAGTCCGGCCCCCGGACGCCGGTCTGGCCCCTGGGAGCGCTCTGTGCACCGAGGTTAGACCTGCGGCCGCCGTGGGCCTGCAAAACTTCCAAAGTAGCAGCCTGTTTCTCCTCGTCTCCCTTCTCCTGGGTACCCAGCGCCCCGCCTTCCCCAGAAAGGGCGAGGGGTGGGGGCAGGGCTCCCTCGGGAGGTGGCCAAGCGCCGGGACGCGCTCCCAGCGTTACTCAGGACACTTGGGATTTGGCCTGCAGCCCCCTTCCCCATCCCTGGCCTGGCTGCGGTGTCCCTTGCTCCCCTCTGCTGCTGCTCCTGCCCCATCAAGTCGAAAATCTGAGGGTGGGATGGGGTGGGGGACCAGGGGGTACCCTCCCAGGCCGCTCCGCAGCAGGCCGAGGTGGAGACCCTGCCCGGTAGGCGAGTCCTTGTGCCCACAGCTCGGAGCCAGCAGCGGAGTGACAAAAAAGATAAAGTTGGTGAATGATAAAGACCGTATTTTCCACGCTTTGGGTGCGGGACCAGATGATCTAGAAAATGAGCTGAAATGGATTCAGCCTCCGAGCCTGTTGTGAGAGCAGCTGATTCCCCCATTTCGGGCCAGATGGCTGCTGAACACAGATTTGCATTCATTTTCGCTTAATATCGTCCAAAATAGTGGGGCAGCTGCATTTGTTGTCAAAAAGGTTTAAAACCCCTTTTCTTTCTGGGGCAGGATCGTTACCTTATGTGATGGGCTTATAGAACTTTTTTTTCCTCTTTAGTCAACAGTATCAGATTTAGAAGGATTTGTTTTTAAACCTTCTAATTTGGTAATCAGATTTAAATCGCCTTGGCGCGTGTAATCTGAATTAAAGATACTGTAAATGATTTTAAGCATGATACTTTCGTTAGCGCAAGGAAGGGGCACCTCTAGCACAGGCTGGACATTTTAGGAAGTGTGCTATAAAGGAAGCATTGTTTCCTATTTCCAACTTCATCTTTCCCGAAAAGGCACTTTGCATATTCTGACAATAACGCTTGCCTGGCCGCTTGCCCTGCGTGAGCCCCCGAAGCAGCTAAACACGCAGAGACAAAGCGTTTCTCAACCCCACCCTCCCTCGATGGCCAACTTTATTTTGCGTTGTTTCTCCACGAAGAAAGTGTTCCCTCCTACACCAGTGTCTGCCGAGAGTGGAAAGCGCTGGGCTTATTAGGAATACAGAAATTTTCTTTTAATTTATCATGAACAGTTTCCATACACTTTGATTTAAGGTTATTAACATTCTATAGACAGTGGCATCTTTAATATGTGGCTATCGCTTCTAAAGACTAATCTCATTACCCTCAAATAGTCATAAAATATGATTTTATTATACTTACGTATTTAATTAGACGGCCGGCACCGTAATGGATTTTGAGATGGGACTGGCGCAACAGCTTTGATAATTCACTTATCTTTGGCAATAGTCATTAACCCCCAACACCAGCAAAATAGATCTCTTTCCAACACATCTTTTTTCTCACTCCTTCCAAGAGGCGTGGGGGTCCCCAGACAACGTGAATCGGACTTCGACTTTCCCGATTAATTAAAATATTAACGTACACACGCTGCCAATTCACGGGAAAAGGGAGTGCTGCCCCAGACCCGGCGGGAGGAGGCTGCCCTGCAACACACTTGCGCCCTGCAATCTTTTTTTTTTTTTTCTTTTAATCAAAAGGGCCTGATTTCTCTTGGCAGGGAAGTGCCTAGGACAGTTCCTGGTCGTCCCCTGGGTCTCTGCTCCGTGTCGCGCAGACGTCCTTTGGGCGGGCCGCGCTCCTGGGCGCGGAGTCCCGGCTACAGGAGCTGGGCCGCGGGGCCCACAGTCTGCCCGCGCCCGGCTGCCCTCCCGATTCCTAGAAACCAGGTCGGGAAGCCGCGCGCCGCGCGCTCACCCGGGTCCGGCGGCTCCGAGGGCCGGGCCACAGCGCCCGCGGCGTCCGCTTGGTTTTTGGAGCAGTTGGCTCCAGGGCGGTCTGGCCACCGCGCAGGTCGCGCAGCCAGACACCCGGCTCCGGGTCGCCGGAGAGGCCGGGCGCGCTTCCCGTCGGCCCGGAGAGACCGGAGCCTTCTTTGTCACTCGCTGTGCGTAAGAACAGGCCAGGGGCCGGGGTCTGCCGCGGCCACCGGGGGAGAGGGAGCATCTGGCAGACCCTGCCTCCGACGTGATTCCCTGCCCGGCACTCGGCGGCCTCCGCCGGGGTAGGAAGCTTGGGGTACCTGGCGGGGCTCAGACCGGGACCGGCCGGCCCTGCAGCAGCCTTAGGTCTGCTTAGAAATCAGGCTGAGCTGCGCGTCCAGCCTTGGCCGGGGAGCCCTGGGCACCCCTCCTCCCAGTCCGTTGCCCGCTCCTCCCTCCGGCGCCCTCCCTGCGGTCGACCTGCCTCTTCCCACTTCTCCTTCGGGCGGCCCCAGGACAAGCTGCAGCCCCTTGCATTTATTGCATGCATCTGGGCAACTTGGGGCGCCTCAGCATTTTACAGCCCCCCGCCCCGCCCATCGTGTTCGACTGTGTGGCAGGTTTTGCAGGGAGGTATTAAGGGGCCAAACTGCAATTGTGCAGTGGCTGCGTTTGTTTCTTTTCAAGATTTATTTGGGCGAGTAGTAACTTCCTTGGCCGCGGCTGGACGCGAGGAGCCGCGGTGCGTGGCGGGGGGCGGCGGCGGCGCTCGGTGGCGCTCGGCGGCGGCGGGGCTCGCGGGGCTCGCGGGGCTCGGGCCGGCTCGCGGCGCCGTCAGGCAGTCAGTCGGCGAGCGCGGCGGCGGCGGCGGCGAGGGGCGCGGCGAGGGGCGGCCGCTCCCATATATGGCGCAGGCACCGCCCCCCGACGTCACCCTCTGACAGCGCCGCTCCCGGGGGCTTCGAGTTTTGGCTCCCGGGAAAGGGTCCATTCCTCGGGGAGAGAGGGCTGAGTTTTGTGCGCCTCCGTCCGCTGCGCGCGCCGCTCCAGGCCCCGCCGCGCCCCGCCTGCGCCCGGGACTGCGCCGCAGCACTCACTGCCCCGTTTATTTGTCTTTGGAGCAGGCGGGCCGCGCCAGAAGCGGGCGATCCCGCAGTGTCCTGCAGCCGCGGACGCCGCCTGGCTAGGATGACACCACGTTGAGCGCGCCTGCAAACAACAACAACAACAAGCGCCGCCGCGGCCACCGCGTCCTGCTCCTTCGAAGCGCCGCCGCCGCCGGTGGAGCCGCCTCCGCGCCCCTGGCCGTCCGGAGCGCCCGGCCGCTGGTGTATGTCGCGCCTGCCCGGGACGGGCTGAAGCCGGCGGCGGGGCCGGACCGCAGGCGCCGAGCAGGGCGAGGGCGGCCAGGGCAGCCGCCTGCCGCCAAGCCCCGAGCGCCGCTGCTCGAGGAAACGCTTTCGGCCGGGAGCTGCGGCCGCCGCCAGCAGTTTTCATGTTTGGGATTCAGGAGAATATTCCGCGCGGGGGGACGACCATGAAGGAGGAGCCGCTGGGCAGCGGCATGAACCCGGTGCGCTCGTGGATGCACACGGCGGGCGTGGTGGACGCCAACACGGCCGCCCAGAGGTACGTACCGGCCGCCCCCGCGCGCCCTGGCCCCGGCCCCGGCCCGGCCCGGCCCCCTCCGCCGGCCGGCGCCGCGCTCCTCACCGGGCCGCTGTCTCTTTCCTCCCGCAGCGGCGTGGGGCTGGCGCGGGCGCACTTCGAGAAGCAGCCGCCTTCCAACCTCCGGAAATCCAATTTCTTCCACTTCGTGCTGGCGCTCTACGATAGGCAGGGGCAGCCGGTGGAGATTGAAAGGACCGCTTTTGTGGACTTTGTGGAGAAAGAGAAAGTAAGTGCAAACACACGATCACACCCTCTCTCTTTCTAGAAGCGGGAGGCAGGCGGTGCCGGTGCGCGGGGGTTCGAGTGCCCCCCTAGGCGGCGGGCTCGGCTCCGCCAGGCCACCCCGCCGCCGCCACGTGCGGCCGCCCGGGACCGCCGAGGGCTGGGCAACTTCTCTGCGCCCTCGGACTTACTCGGGGCGAGGAGAACGCTGGGCTTCCAGCAGGAAAGTGACATCACCGCGCTGCTTCGAGCTAGGAATCCTGCCATGTGTGAGGCCGAGAGCCTCGGTCGCGGAGGGGGACCGAGCGTGGTGGCCGCGCCTGACACCGATCGCACTAAATGCAATTATTTATCGTTACTTTCAGGAGCCAAACAACGAGAAAACCAACAACGGCATCCACTATAAACTCCAGTTATTGTACAGCAACGGTAAGTGCCTGCTGCGTGCTCGCCGCCCCTGCAGCGGCTGGCTCTCCTTTTCTGCGCTGGTGAAAGGACATAAAGATTTGAGATTAAAATGACATGGATGTAAACACGAAATCTTCTCATGGCATAGAAGGAAAACAAAACATAAACGATCAATAAGTCGATGGCACTTCACATGATTAACCGGTGGGGCTTGAAGTAGAAAGTAAGAAAAAGATCGATACGGGCTCCAGCAGAACATCACTTTTAAGTGACTTTTTTCAATTTTGCAAATTAATGTTAATTATTAGGATGGGGGTAACTCCATAAACGGAGCATAACTTACTTCCTGTGAACGAGTTTTTTTTTTTTAAATCCTCGAGAGACATTAGAAAGAGTTCAGCCTCTCACTCAGTTTCCATTTGGTGCTTTTTCTTTTCTAAAAATAAACGACCACATGGGCCCACCGCACACAGCTACCAGGCCTGCTCTCCACCAGGCAAGTTCCTTGCACCTTGAAATGCAAGCCCTAAGAGCCTTAAGGTTCTTAGTTAAGAAAAGAAAAAAAAAATTAAGCGAGAAGTGGTGGGGTTCTCTTTCTCCCTTTCAAAGGGATTGCCTAAGTTCTGCTGCATCACCGTGGCAGCAGTCCTGAGTTACAGACTTCCTGTGCTCCGTGTGCCCTCCCCGAGGTGCAGCACTCAAATCCTGATGAGAATTTGTCTCTGTTTTTTTGCAGGAGTCAGAACAGAGCAAGATCTGTATGTTCGCCTCATAGATTCAATGACCAAACAGGTGAGAAAGTTTATGCCTCTGCACGAGTTTTCACTGCTGGGCCTGGGTTGTCCTGGGCTTCAGAGGCAAGGGCACTGACAAATGGATCTCGTGTATTTGTTTTCCATTGAGTTTCCTTGACATGCTAATGAGAATTCCATATTTATTGGAATGAATGAAGCGATTGGTAAAATAGTTTATGTTGTCATTAGAACAGGACATATATGCTTTATTAAATGTCTTGTGATTGGAATCATATTCTGTCTTAATTAATTATGGTAATTAATATTTGACAAAAATTTCAAGATGTCCCCCCTCTTGTTTATTTTTAAATGCTTCTCTCTCTGCTAGGAATCAGTTCATTTGGATTTTTTTTCCTATAACAAAGGCAGCTAACTCCTAAGCCCATCGAGTTGGACTTGATTAGTTCATTTTTTTTCTCCTTTCCAGTGTGATGGTCTAGTAACACGAGACGTTTATTTGGATTTAAAAGTTAAATGTGTTGGGGTGAAAAGTCACCTTGTTCTCCTCTAGTCCATCTTCACCTCGCAGCCCCCCAGCTCCATAATTCAAACTCCAAGCTCCAGGGGTCACTCCAACCCGTCCACTGCTCTGCCCCCTCTCCCACCCTCTGTCATACCTTGTAAATAACATAATTACAAGCAGTTCCTTATTAAATTATTTAACCTGTCTTGGTCAACTTTTCCGATGATAACTATTGGCTATCAGTAATGTGATTAAGTGGAGAAAAGTGCGTCACTGCTTTTTGACATTGTGCAGTCTCTGGCTGCTGGTTTTGTGCTGGGTGGTGTGTTGTTGTTGATTTGGTTGTTTTAAAGATTTCCCCCCGCCCCCATTTTCTTAAAATAGAGTGTTGTGGTGGGGAGGGGGGCAGGTCCAGTTTGTAGATTAAATCCACTCGGCACAGATTGTTTTAAAATATACTTCCAAGCTGGACTTCACACTTAGAAATGAAAGTGGCTTCTTCGGTTTTGATGCTAACTTTAAGAATTGTGAGCCAAGTAAAGGAGAGCTCGTTGGGGCTTCCTGCAGCCCAGCACATATGCCTCCCACTCTCTGCATGCAATTAGTTTGCACATTTTATTTCCCCTTTAAAAAGTTTGTCCTTACCTAGGTAGCAAGGGTGTTAGATTTTAATGCCTGCAGTGGTAAACCAGTGTGCTTTTCTCTTAGAGTAAAACAGATCTGACAGGTAAACTAAGGTCTTTCTGACAAAGACAGAGGCGGTGTGCCCTTCTGTAATTATTTCACTCGATTCAGAGAAGCCTCTGGAACTCCGGCTGCTGGTTGACAGGGTGATTTTATTTCCTTTGTATATAATGGCTAAATGTTTTCGGAAATCGCTATAGTCTAATTAAGAGGTTTATGTAGGCAGCCCTAAGTTTCTCTGTTGTTGCACAGAGGAGGAGGAGGCTTCGTTTTAAGTACACTTTTATTGTTCATTTAGCCTTGTACCTTTGCAGTATAAACAGGGCTGAAAATAAAGGCATTTAATCTCCTCTCACTGACGGGCATGGAGGGGCAAAAAAAAAAAAAAAAAAAGGAAAGAAATAGCCCAGTAACTGATCAAAGAGTCAATGGCGCTGAACCGACAGTTTATGGATTTCTGTTTGTGCTACAAAATAAAAAATAAATCAAATATAAATACGGCGATCCATCGGAGGACAAGCCACTCTCTCAGAAGCGCTGGTGCCCGCCGCGGCCACGCGCCCTGCAGCGCCAGGCGACTCGTTGGCCTGCGGTGACACCCATCACTTCTGTGGTTCTGAGCCGGGTCCAGGCAGGAGGCTGGGTGAGCGGGGTTCGCGGGGAACCTTCCCTCTTCCCAGGAGGGCAGCCCCGGGCTTTCACCAGAAAGGGCTTTGTCCGCCTGGAAGTAGAGGAAAGTGTCAGAAGTGCCCGGGGAGGTTGGAAGGAATTTCCAGATAATTTTCAGGGGTGGGGGCGGGAACCGGAGAAGAGGACATCCCTCCCCCTTCCGTGGAATTTTATGCAGGGAACTTGGAGCTCCCGGCCCCAGCCTCCCGCCCCTCCCCCAGTAGACTTTTTTTTTTTTTCTTTTCTGTTTTTTCGCGAGGCCAGTGGTGGAGGCCCAGCCCGGGCGGGCGGCTCCCGATCCCCAGCTCGGGTTCCCAGCGGCGGAGCCGGGCTGAGCGCGGCCGTGAGCGCACCTAGGGCTTCGCACCATCTGGCGGAGCCTCTGCTCAAAACCCACCCGAGCGTGCGCGCAGAGACTGCCTTTTTACCCGAGAAAAATCACTGTTAGCAGTTTCAAAATAAACACCAGATTGGCCATTAGCACTTTCTTTCCAAATATCATCCGGCGAGGAGCACGTGGCCGCGCGGGCTCGGGCGCCCTGGGGCCCCGGCACTCCTGCGGGGCGCTGGCGACGCCGCGGCCCACGTGCGGTTGCTGCTCCTGGGCCTCCCGCCTGGGCTCCCAGGCCGCCCGCAGCGTGCAGAGGCCAGGTCGCTGCCCACCACTCAGGGAGGCCCCGGGAGCTCGGGACGGCGGCCGGTCCAGGGCGGCCTGCTCCCCGCGGGCGCCTGGGTTTGGAACGCGGGAAGCCGCGGGAAGCCGCGGGGCGCCAGACTTGCTAGAGCCGGGGGAGCGCGCAGGGCAGGGCGGGCGCGGCCCTCGGCCCTTGGCAAACTGCTCCTGCGCCGCGACCATCCTTCCCTGCTTCTTTAGCCTCGGGGCGTTCTGATCGGCCTCTCCCAACATGCAGATTGGAACTCGTTGTAGACAATGGCCTGAGGACGCGGCCTGGCGGCGGCGCGGAATGCCGAAGGGGCCCGGGAGCCCCGGGTTCCGGGGTCGGTGCCAGCGGGCTCTCGCTCCTTGCGCCCCGGCCCCGGCCTCCCTCGCCCTGCCCTCCCCGCGGCCCGAGCCCAGTCGGCGCCTTCCCTGCAGCCGAAGGCCCCTCGCAGGCCTGGCGGGCGCCCGGGGGAGGAGGCTGGGAGGCAGGGGAGGGAGAAGCCATCGCGGCCTAGCCCAGCTCCGAGGGTGACCCCATCGGGAGGGTGGCCGAGGGAGGGGGGCGCATCGCCTCCCCTCGAGCGTGGTGCACCTGCTGCCAGCCAGGCCTGCAGCGCCCGGGGCGATTTGGCGCCAAAGCCGCGGGCGCCGCGTAACCCCAGCCTCTGCTTGTCCCTCGCGCAGGCCATCGTCTACGAGGGCCAGGACAAGAACCCGGAGATGTGCCGTGTGCTGCTGACCCACGAGATCATGTGCAGGTGAGCGGCGGGCGGCGGGCGGCGGGGGCGCGGGCTGCCTCGGCGCCAGCTGCGTCTACAAAGGACGCCGCGTCCAGGCGCCGCCACCCCGCCCAGCTCCGGGAAGGGCATCGATTGAAATGTAATCGGCCCGAGGCCGCGCGCCGGGCCGCGGAGGAGCCCGCGCTCCTTCCCCCCAGCGCTGACGATCAACGCGACCCGCTGCTCAGCAGAGCGGATTAATATGTGGGCCGTGTCGTTGCAGTGTAGTCAAAAATGAAAACAGGTCTGGGTGATGCATCCGTCCGCGGTGCCGGAGGAGTCAGGGATCACTCGGAATCATTTTACTACTTCCTTCTCAGGCGCTCGCATCCTGAGATATACAATTGTCTGTTATTGATAAAAAGGAAACTCTTTTGTACTTACTATAGCGCGCGTGTATGTGAGAATTGGATTGTGATTCTGTCAGTTAACCTCTTCCCTAGAGCAGCGATGCAGCGTTCGTGTCGTTGTTAGATAGCGTGCCCGTTACTTGAGATCTCTGTCAGAAGAGCAATTTCCCACCTGTTTTTTCTAACTACCACAAGAGTTTCACCCCTACATGGCAAATAAAAATGCATCATTGACTTTGTATGTGTGGCATGTGAAATATAGTTGCAAGGAATAGCAAGGAAAGCGTTGCAGGCTTCCAGGCTACAGTAGCAGGCCGCATACTCTGAGGGGCATACTCCGCCTGGCTATGATGCCGGTTGCCTAAATGCCATTTCTGAGCAGACATATTGTTACAGCACTAATATACAAAAGCTGACTTTTTCTCATATCAGGTAATAAATATAAATTACAACCAATAAAGTGGAATTTCTTTATTATCCACTTCTGCATGTACTGCAATTAACATAGAAAGCGCACAGATGTGATTTAAGCTCTAAGTGGAAGACTGTAGACTTTCTTTAATCACTTTAGCTGTCAGCTTTAAAAGGCTTTATATACTTTGCCTACCATATGGTGTTAATTTAGCTAATTTAGACATGTAACCATTATACAAGTATGCTTTTTTAAAATGCAAGAAGCATAACATTTTTGTTTCATTTCTGCTTTAATTAAAGTTTCAATAACAGAGTTAAGGTAGGCTTAAAGAAGGAACAATAGAAGTTTGTGATAGATGGATGCATGCTTTTGTGGTTATAATTAATAAATGCCCCAAAGAAATATTGGTTGAAGGTGGCATCTTGCATCTTTTCCAGAAATAACAGCTTGACAATTAGAGGTAAACAAAAGCCGAAGCTGTGAAAAGTTATTCCCAAGCCTCCTGCCTTCCCTTCTCCTCAGTTCATTGCAAAGACAAACACCGACAACATGTTTTCCATATTTTAGCATCACAATCTATATAGTACTCTGGTTACCCTCCTGGTATTAACAGATAGGTTCAACTTTGCTCCTTCCGGTAGAAAGTTACATCGTAAGTTTAGCCGCAGAACACGTGAACTCACTGGGTTTAAATTCTCCAAACTGCCTTGGTAGTTGACTCCTACCGCTTCATTGTCAGACGTCAGAAAAAAAAAAAAATACAAGTCGGGCATAAAAGGGGGAAATGCATATTAAAACCACTGTTTACAATTGCTCCACAGCCGGTGCTGTGACAAGAAAAGTTGTGGCAATAGAAACGAAACGCCCTCAGACCCTGTAATCATTGACAGGTAAGGATGACTTCTTTATTTTTCAAAACAAAACCGCAGCAGCAACAAAACGTTTTGCCTTGCTTGGTTTCCAGTTGCTCCATATTTTTGAGGCTGGTGTCGAGCCCATCTTGTGCATTGCACCATTTGTTGTCCGCGTGTGTTATCATGCACAGGTGGGTTGACTTGGAAACCTGGTGGCTCGCTCTGTGGGGATTCAGTAATTGCTTGTGAGTTGTCAAGGGAAGCAGTTTCATCTGCCACTGCTCTCGCTGTGAGGAGCACTTTATGCCTAGAGAGTTTCTGGCTTTAAACCTAGAGATGTGTCATAAAATGCTTTTTGCTAATTTGTTAACAAGTATTTCATTTTTACATTATTTTTATCTCTGATGATAGTTGAAGTTGAGACTTGGGTGATGTTACTGTTGTAATTGTTGCCCAGCGTTAGAATGAATTTAATCTGCTCTCAATTAGTTGCAAAATGTGTCCTAATTTTTTTCCAATTGTAGCTGTCGTTTTATGTCAAGTAGCAAATATGTAACTAACAAACCAAACTTGTTATAATTGAAACTAATTACACATGCTGGTTACATGTTCCAACATTAATTTTCATAACTCGATTAGCTGTATGCATTCTTTACATTTGCTGCTCTTCATCTTGCTGTTTCTCATATTCCTTGGGCAATGCTGCATCCTTTTAAGATACCAATCAGTAGCCCTAATGGTGCTAATGTGCATTTGGCATAGCTTTAGTTGAAGCAACAAAAACACCACCACCCTCCTCGCCCAGCCCTCTCCCAACTCGCTGGGTTTCGGTGCCGTGCAGGAGAGGAGGATTTCTTTCTTTCCAACAATGGGTAGCAGCAAAAGGCCCAGCGTGTGATTGACTGCAGATTTTGAAATTGGTACCCAAATTGAATAAATGTTAGACGTGTACATATGACACCAGTTTTGCGAAGCAGAGGTTTAGACGGTTTTGAAGAGGGGTTGAATTTCCGCAGCTTTCATTACAAAGTTATCTTTTGATCATGAACTTTGCTGTCCAGTGTCTGAAAAATTAAACCCGGAAAACTCCATGAGTTAAGCCTAAAGAAATATGCGCCACCAGTGGAGAGCAATGCTAATGTTTAACTAGCTGGAATAGCTGTTTGCTTAGTGGAGAATGTTCGGTATCTGACAGAAGGGACAGCTCTCTTATTAGTAATCAAATAGGGTTGACCAGTTGTGGCTGTCACTCAGGCAATTGAGAACAAGTTCAACACTTTATAGAACTCGAACTATGAAAATCAATATAATTATATCTGTCTTTAGTGTTGTGGCCATGGAAATCATATAGCCTTAGATTATTGTCTTGTAACTGAATTTATTTTATTTTCTTGATTGGCTAGAAGTGTTTGAACTATTGGAGTCTTGTCTAAGTTGCTTGAAAAGGCAGTGCATGTTGGCTTTAAATGAAGGATTGCGAAAGTGTTTCATCTTTTGTGTGATACTTTAAATTTTAAAAGAGGACTTGTTTATAAAGTGTGAGACTTCTAGCATGCCACAATGATGAAGTAGCCATGTTGATTTGGCTCACATTTTGGATGCTGTGTTTTCCCTTCAAAATCACTTTGGATTTGTGCAACATTCAATCCTTTATTGACTATTGATGCTGAATAACTTTTAATACTCAGTGTTCATCATATGGTGGGAAATATTTTCCCCAGATATGCAGAAATATATTCCTTAATTCTCGTCTGAATGTTGTCTTATATTTGGTTAATTAAAATATGTGCTAAGATTACTCATATTTTTATAACCTAAGAGAAGTGTGTGATTATTTGATATTCTAGAAGCATGAGAGGAGGGGAAAAACGTAAAAACATTTGGTTAATGGGTTTACCATGTTTATTTGAATAAGGAGGATTGAAGCTCCATTTACGCCTGGCATAAATGCTTTGGAGGTCTTAATTATTGATGAAAAATCTGCTCTGCTCCTAAATTCAAAGATATGACAATTTTATAGAAATTTTAATCACCGTCTATTTTAGGGATTTTAAGGTGAGGGTAGTTTTATGAAATGACAAATACAATGTACATTTTTAGCATTCTTAAGAAAGCTGTCACTTAGAATGGCAAAGTACTATTAGCATTGTGTTGTCTGTTGTAAATCCCTGTGAAATGATTGCAGTATTGGCACTGTCTCCAGCTTACGGCATATTTCTACGTGAAAAAAATGAAGAATTTAGTGTTCACTAGGGCAAGTTAGATTAATCAGAGAAAGAGGAATACCTATAGGAGGGCAATCTCTTTAGACTGACACCGTCTTTTGCAACTGAGATGCGTTTCAGTTTCATAATGATAATCATTTCTGTGGGGTGTATGTTGCCTCTGAAAATTAGTTGCTTATGTTGAGTTTCTAGCCTGTCTTTTCTCTTGAGTATTGCAGAATAAAATGTCCCACCAGACTGGGGAGTCAGTTTCCAGGTCCCCATCAGCAGTGTCTCATTTGGTTAGTTGGCTTAAAAAAGAATTATATACAACGTGCTTTGCCGGCTCCTTGTGGCCTTTGGATACATTTAGCAGGTTCTGACCAGATAAGGCATATTTGTCCTGAGGATATAAACCAATAATTCCAACCTGAATTGAGATCAATGGGCCCACATTTGTTCCAACCCACACCGAGCCTCTCCCGGCACGTTGAGACTGCCTTTCTGTGTTATGAGAACAGAGAAGTAAGCTCCTCGCTCTGGCAGGGTAATCACATTCTATAGACTCTGATGCCTTAAATCAATTAATTACACAATTTAGTTCAGTTATCTTTCAGAAGCATTAAATACTTATGAATGGCATGAAGACCCTTCAGAGAAAAAAAAAGGGGGGGGGGAAGTGAGGCTGTTTCCCATTACAAAACCATTTCATGCACTGCAAAGGTTTCACTTATGTTAACTGTTTTCTTTCTCATAAAACATTGCTAGAGGAACAAGTTTTTAATAGCACCATGGTTATAACTATATGCAGTATATTTAAAATAATATAACAACTTACGGAGCAAAGAAGAAACATAACATTGTAAAGTAAAAAGCATGGTCAATAAAGAGATACTACAGGAAAAAAGTATCTATGGTAGATTGTGTGACCTGCAGAGAACCAAATGCAAGTAAAGGAAGAGTGCACACACACAAACACACATGTACACCTTCTGTACATACACACACAAATGATTTTTAATGGTATTGCTGAAAAGGATGGGAGTATCATTTTCCTCGTGGAATAATGTTTTCTGGGAAAACACAAAAGCAGATGGTCTTCATTAGGAACACCCATTGTCCACATATCCCAACTATGAACAGATAAATCTCTCCTGTTTCACCCGTGCATTCCAAGGGCTGCAAATGATTCCAGGATGTCGGTGTAGCTGCTAAGCCAACACCACACTCTGGCTCCCATCACTTGCTCGTGCCATCCCGGTCTGTTTCCCAAGGAGCTCTGGAAATGCCCAGGAAGGTGTATACTCCTTTTCTCCCCCTCCTTGCTTGGGCTGGGTGGATGGAAGGTGCAAGGTCCAACTGTTGCAAAGTGGGGAGGCCAACTGTAGGGGTGGTGGGAGCAGGGGCTGTGGCTGCCCAGGCAGGCCGGGCACACGCAGGGGCTCCATGCAGCGCTGGGAGCGGGCTCGGCGGGGCGGTTCCAGATGGCACCGTCTCCGGCGTCCCACTCGCTGGCATCTCTGCGGCAGGCGGTGCCCCCTCCCCAATCAATCTGGCATTAGTCTATAGAGTTGGGAGACTTATCATTCCAAGTCTGTCCTACTTTCCTGTCTGGAAGCCAGACATCTGTTTATCCCATTTTCTTTCATACAGAGTTTGGAATTGCTTTAGTTTTGGTGGGGGTTGAAGAGGGGGGAGGATGAAGTTTTGTCATATTTAACAGCTGTTATAAAATTTCAATCCTGTGGGCTCTGAAAATACTTTTCAGCTGACCTCAGATTTTTATGCGTAATTGACGTTGTGTCATAGGGAAATATTATTTGCTTAACCTTCCATTGTCTGTGATTTCACATTGTCTTTAGTCAGATGACCTGACTACCCCCATTTCAGCTCTGCGCCCCCCCTACCCTGCACAGCCATACTTTGATTCATATGTGCGTTTTAAGTTTACACCTTTAAAGTGACTGTGGAACGGTAGCCCAACGATTGGAGATTTTTTTTTCTGTCTTTCTTCTTTCTTTTCTTTCTTTCTTCTTCTTCTTCTTTTTTTTTTTTTTTAGTCAACAGTGTTTCCTTTCACTTCCTGTCACAAAGGTCAAAGAGAGCCGACCTTTGCTGGCAGTCCTGCTCACTGAATTATTCATGGGATTGACTTTTTGTCAGCACACACAGTTGTGCTCTGGGACATTTTATTCATTTACCTCATTTAAAGCGCCTTTCTGCACCTGTTCAAGTATTAATATCGTGTAATTTGGGCCTAATGCCGATTTTGCTGAACACTCATTATATTTTTTATTAGCTATATTTCCAAACGATTATGTATGATTATTACCAAGCCTTACAAACAGCACCGGGTTATTCCCTAGCCCTTTACATCTTCTTGTCAGGTTGTTTTCAGAAGCGGGGAGGATAAACATTTGACCAGTCCCAATGTTTTTATTCCTACTCCATCTCCAAGCAGAGAACTTAAAGCTTCCTCCCTCATGGCTTTGCACGAGCGTGATTAAATCCAACTCTGCTGAAGCTGTACAAATGCCAGCATTTATAAGGTCAACGCTTTTGTTAAAAATGCTATGTAAATGAGGATCTGCAAAAAGGGACATTAAATAAAATTAAATTCATTGTCTTCTTTAATGTCATTTACATTTTGGCTAAGCCCCGGCCTGTCAAGGAGGATTTTAAAAATAATATTAATTACACATCATTTAGGGATCCAAGGTTTTCTATTCAGTAGCATTTGGATAACCTGCAAAACGGAGACTGTTTATTAACTTCTTAAATGACAACTTGTCATTTCATCTGCATAATGCAATGAAAACAGTATAGTTTGGTGTTAATTTTTCCTTCTCAGTTTTCTTAAAGATGTGAATATAATTATCATTGGATAGGCCTTGGGGTCCTGGAGATCCTCTCTTGGCGGAGGCTGTGCATTGGAGATGCTCTTTGGTTCAGGGTCTGTTTTAATACATTGGGCCTTCAGTGAAGGGAAAGTATTGGCTAGAAATTTGGCAATATTAAAACACCTTTTGGATGAATGGATGTGGCTACAAAGAATCTGATTCTGGCTGGCACCGGCCCCATTTGGCTTCGCCGGGCTCAGGTGTGAATGGCTGTTTTATTCCCTGGCAGCGCCAGTAGGGAGAGGCAAAAAGTTCACTGCATTCATTCATCCTTTCAATTTTTCCCCCTAAACTTCTGAAAATAAACAGAAAAGGAAGAGCTGCATTATGGAGGCACAATGGCATGCTTTCATTTAAAGAGGGAGGCGCCAGGAACAGTGCCCACTTTGTAGGTTTGCCCTGCCCATAAGCTTGAGATGCGGGTGTGCACCACGCCGGCTGCACGGTTAGCCTCCGCTGTGTGTCACAGCTTGCGTGGTCGCCTGCCGCGGTGGGTCAGGGCCACCACCAGGCCCAGGCCTGCATCTCTGGCCTAGGCCTAGGAGGCCTGCGAGATTTATGGCTGCCTGAGCTGGGTAAAGACTCCACCGCCAGGCCAGTCAAGGGCTGGGTTTGAAAACAAGCTACACACCCACAATGACTTCCGCATCACTCTCCACCAACTCGGATTCCCGTCTGCCTGTGCAAGGGTGAAAACCTCGTGGTGTTGCCTTCCCCAGGCCCTGCAGCAGCATGCAGCCGGGTATGAACGTGCAGGGGTGGAGGCAAGGGCTGGAAGCAGGGCTGTCAGAAGCTATACTCTGGGAGGCATGTTGACGGAAAGCATCCTGCACCGCTGCGGCAGCCTTATCAGGTGAGGAGCGAAGATATTGCAGTGCCTGTAATTGTGTTAGGATGGCATGGGTGAATTGGATTACTTTATGGAAAGCCGTCCAAACTCGAGGTTCTGTTACGCATGCTTACAGGAAGCAAATAATTACTCTGTGCACCAGAAGATAATTGGGGCTGGCCAGAGGCCTTCTCGTGATGCCGAAGAAAGCAGGAGAAGCTGGCCTCGTCAAAGCCTTTAGGAGACAGACCAGGAGGACGGTGATCTTTGCTAGGCATAGGTGGCTCACTGTGATGCTGTAATTGTTGGTTACTTTTTAAAGATGGTGAATAATTTATCAGAATTCAAACAGTGGCAAAGGGAGACACGTTGAAGAAGATAAAAATTCCAAGCTCTAATGATGGAAATTGTCATTGCAGACAGGAAGTGATTGACAAGTGGGGGTACAGGAAGTGAAAACTCAAGGAGCTTAACCTGCAGTTGGCAAAGCTTCTGCAGCCTACACTTGGAGAAAATGAAAACCATTCCCTCCGTCAGCTTGCCAGAACACAAGCTCCTCTTGTTTGTTTATCTTAATAGCAAATCTCCCAAAAATGTTTGTGGTCCAAACTCTATATAATGAGACATTATGCTGGCATTATTCATGCTTTAATAAAAATATGGCTATCATTTAGAAAAATTAGTGCAGTAATTTCATGGGTTAAGGGGTTTTTTTTTGTTGTTGTTCTTGTTGAATTTTATAAGCTTCTTAGACTTTGGGGTAACCAGCGTTCATTAAATTGTAGAAGCTTGAGAAAACTGTTTTCAAAACGATGTTTTCAGAAAAAGGTCAGACATATCTGTCAAAAGAGTAAATGCTATAAATTTGCCAACAATTCGATAGAGAGCACTGCAGGGAGGGGTATAGGGAAACTCTTATTTTAGTTGTTTTTGAATCACTCATTTCCCCTTCCCCTTAAAAACAACACAAATGAAAACGATCCCTCTCCAATTCCTTCGCTGGAAGTTGCTCAGCTAGAAAATACTCAAAATTCATGCAGGGCTGTGGTGCCCGAGTGGATGGGGCGCATCCTCTGCAAACGGTGGTGGGGGCAGCAGCCGCGCCTTCCCAGTAATTCACTAGGAAATGAGTTTAACATGTGCGGAAAGGAAGGGGCTCGCGGTTGTGTTGTTGTAGGACATGGAGCCCAGGCCCCGCGAACGGAAGGAGTCGGCTCCAGCGTGTCTCTGCTGGAAGACGGAGCTGCCTGCACATCTGGAGAGGAGGCCGTGCATTTGCCCAGACAGGCAGCTCCAGCCGCCGCCCCTGCCTCCGCCCCCCTCCCCTCCCTCCTCCCTCCTCCCTCCTCCCTCCACCCTCCACCCTCCTGCCTATATTTTCCTCTGTCCCTCTCAGCAGAAAGCAGTTGGGGGCAGGGTGCCATGTTAAAGCACAGAAGGAGACAAAACTTTGGCAGTGTTTAAGGCCCTAAAAGCATTTGCCCTTGTGATGATGAATTTACAAAGGGAGAAAGACCAACCCTGACCATTGAGGCCTGCCAGCTGAGTCCAGGTTTCCACAATGGTTTGGTAAGGAACTGCACCCCCTCCCGCTTTCTCTAAGTTTTCATTGAATCAGAAAGCTTGCACAGAGATGGCCAATCTGGATGTTAGGGAGCTGCTGAAGAACAGGTCTGGAGGCCTGTGCCTGGGCTGGGGCCATCCGAGGGTGACATATGTGCAGTACAAGCCCGGGATTTGATTATGGGCATGGGCAGGCAGCGTGCGCCTTCCCCAGGCGTGCATGTGGGGATCCCTAGCAGGGTCACCCCAACTCTGGGCAGTGATGGGGCCTGCATCAAAGGTCACGTTCCCCCACGAGTCCCATCACTTGGAACAGGGTCATTTAGGCCCCATGGGGGAGTGTCCCTTTTATTTGAGGTAACACCCAGGAAAGCCGGCTTAGTCTTCTTGGCACTGGAGCCTGGGATGCTGCTCACTGGTTTAGGGAGGGGCTCCTCCCTGAGTGCCCCCTAAGTTTTCTTTTTCTCTTTTCTTTTCTTTTCTGTGTGTGTTTTTGAGACGGAGTTTTGCTCTTGTTGCCCCAAGCTGGAGTACAATGGCACGATCTCGGCTCACCGCAACCTCCGCTTCCCGGGTTCAAGTGATTCTCCTGCCTCAGCCTACCGAGTAGCTGGGATTACAGGCATGTGCCACCATGCCCAGCTAATTTTGTATTTTTTTTAGTAGAGACAGGGTTTCTCCATGTTGGTCAGGCTGGTCTTGAACTCCCGACCTCAGGTGATCCTCGGGCCTTGGCCTCCCAAAGTGCTGGGATTACAGGCATGAGCCACTGCACGAGTGCCTCTTAAGTTTTGTAAGAACTTCAGCACCAGGGGATATGGCTGGCAGGGGCCTAAATGCTCTTCTGACAGATTAATGCAGGTGTCCTTTCCAAGTTTTCATTGTCAAGAACCACACGTCCGGCTCTGCAGAATGACATCCCATAGTCAGGAGGAAGGACTGGGAGATGCAAACAGCCTGGGGGGCAGGGCATGAAGCAGGGACATTGAAGCCACACCAGCAACAGGCACCCCTAACCTGGCCTTGTCTTCCTCTGCATCTGATGCAGATTTAAAGGTGTTCTCATAACGCTTTAAAAACACTGAATAGACTATTTTTTAGAGCAGTGTTAGGTTTACAGAAAAATGACCAGAGAGTACTGAGTTCCCATATCCCCCCACCTCCCCCCACCCCCCAGTTTCCCCCAGTGTTAACGTCTTGCTTTGGTGTGGTATCCTCATTACACCTGAGCCAATGCTGATACACGAATATGAACTAAAGTCTGCAGTTGACATTGGGTTCACTCTTGGTGTGGCACATCTGGTGGGTTTTGGCAAACGCATCGTGGCACGTACCTGCCATCGCAGTGCCGTGCAGAATAGTTTCACATGTGCTCCACCTAGCCACCCCTCCCCCTTTCCTGAACCCCTGGCACCCCTGGATCCTTTTACTGTGTCTCTAGTTTTGCTTTTTCAGAATGTTGTAGAGTTGGTAGCATACATTATGTAGTCTTTCCAGGCTAGCTGCTGCTGCTTTTTTTTTTTTTTTTTTTTTTTTTTGAGACGGAGTTTTTGCTCTTGTTGCCCAGGCTGGAGTGCAATGGTGCAATCTTGGCTCACTGCAACCTCCTTCTCCCAGGTTCAAGTGATTCTTCTGCCTCAGTTTCCCAAGTAGCTGTGATTACAGGCATGCGCCACCACACCTGGCTAATTTTTTGTATTTGTAGTAGAGACGGGGTTTCACCATGTTGGTCAGGCTGGTCTCGAACTCCTGACCTCAGGTCATCCACCTGCCTCGGCCTCCCAAAGTGCTAGGATTACAGATGTGAGCCACCGTGCCTCACCCAGACTGGCTTCTTTCACTGAGCAGTAGGCATTTAAGTTTCCTGCATGTCTTCTTGTGACTTTTTAGCTCACCGATAATACTCTCTTTGAATATAATTTTTTTTTTCTTCTTAAAGGTTACTGGGCACTCTGCTTCCTTCCTTTCAGTGTCTTGGTGTTTTAGAAGTGAAATCCTTCACTCCTGAGCTTGTCAAGGTAGCAGGTCATGTTTCGGTGTTTGGATGTCATCAGTGGGGTTCACCAGGCTTTCAGAAGTTTGCCCGTCCTGCCCTTCTTTTTTTTTTTTTTTCAAAGCATTTGGTTCCTTTGCAAAGAAAGAAATGAAAACATTTTAACTTTATATTCAGAATTTAAGTGGCATTGCTCAATTTCACTTATTATAAGGGGTTTATTTCCTCAATAATACTATTTTGGAATATGTAAATAGTATAGGCCATAAAAGGAAAATGATTAAATTATTGGGAAGGCAAATATACTGCACCGTGGCATAAGAACAGAATGAATTCAGCATTCAGTGCAGTTGTTGGCTTTTTTGGTTTAATAAATTAAAGTACAAATTTTCCTAATTGCCAAACAAAATGTTAGGCCAGCTTTAGCCATTGCTGACAGTAAAACACAACATAAAACCTGCTGAGAGTTATATGTGGTATTTAATACGAGACAGAGTAATGCAAGGGTTTTTATGGTTAAGTATGAATTCACACCCACAGCATTTGTTTCCCATTAGGAAAGGTTTGTAAATCAGATCAGTGTGCCGGGATGGGGTGGTCCCCCGGCGGCCCCTCTTCCTTGATATTTGGTTATTGGAAATGCTGCCAAAGGGAGCTCCCTGTCCATTTCCATTTTCTCAATGAAGCGGCTCGTCCCCTGACACGAGGAAGATTGGGTCAGGAAACAAGTGGGGGATTGGATTGGACGTGCTGCTGGTCCCCACTGTCCGAGGTCATCGGCCCGATCCAGCCACTGGGCAGCCGCCATCAGTTACCAAGACATGGGCTGCCAGGTCCCCGGCCAGCGAGGCCCCAGGGAAAGGTGGAAGGACCTGGGAAAGTGCTTGCAGAGGGGGAGGCCAGCGATCACTATCATTTATTAAATTTGACAAGCAGGTTCTAAATATAACAGCCCTTTCCCCAAAGATCATTACCTTGAACAAATAAATGAGTTATGCAAGTTAATAAATGGTGAGGTTC
This sequence comes from Homo sapiens, assembly GCF_000001405.40. NCBI lineage: Eukaryota > Metazoa > Chordata > Mammalia > Primates > Hominidae > Homo > Homo sapiens. The sequence continues at coordinate 129,946,784 of NC_000010.11, read as the reverse complement.
CCCATCCAGAGGTGCACCTTTGTGTGGCTCAAAAATAGACTCTGCCCTTTCCTGCTCCCCACAATGTGGGGGCACTGATCCTCTCCCTCTTCTGTTGGTCACCGGAGCTCTTGCCTGGGACGCATGGCCTCGTCTGCAGTGTGGCACGCCAACAACAATCCAAGAGAAAGCTCAGAAACAAAAATAAACTTGTCTTGGTTCAGAATATTATGACACATAGATGTGCCTTAGAGTTTTAAAAATACTTCTTTCATACGTGATTGTGAATAAAGCGAGGCTTATGAGACATTTAACTTTAAGGAAAAATGTTATTTGGCTGCTCCGAGTCCTGCGGTCAGCAGCATATTTACCGGGTTCGGGACATTTGTCATGACAAGTAACTGCCGCTCATGTTTCCTCAGACCCCATTCTAATTATTTTCAGCAATTACAGCATCCAGAACCCCATTCCAGCCCCAAACACATTTGTTCCCATTTATTAGACTGTGAGCAGTAACTAATTTACATTGTTTCAGAGTTGTGTGTTATGGTAATTTATTGCGTGTGCTGGGGGTCAAACAGAGTTGACCAGTCGCCAGGGCGGGTCCGCGCGAGGCCAGGACCGAGGGCCCAGCAGTGAGAAGCAGGGAATCCGCGGGCATGTGATTTTAAAACGGCTACGGTCTTTTTAATCATGTTTTGATTTATTCCCTGTGACGTTACTTGCTCTGCTCTTACTCCCTGTCTGTGTTTAACAAATCAGAGCCAGGAACAGGATTTTTTTTTTTTTTTGGAAGGAAATAGTAGCGATATCTTCTAACGAGTGGAAACTTTTACTAATGCCCTGAATAAAATATTTGTCAGCGGCCTCCACTAAACGTAAAAGCACTCCACAGAGAAACAATGTCTTAACTGTTCCCTTCTCCTTGTAGCAGGTTTTGTTATCAAGTTGAGGAAAAAGGCTTGTTTAGGCGAAAATAATGATCATAAATAGAGCTGTATGGTGAGGCTCGAAGGGAGCGGTGACAGGGGCTGCTATCATACCTGCAATTCCAAGGAAATATGAGTGTTCTGATCCAGGGAAGCAGTAATTATCTTTTTGTGAAGAATGTACAATGGTGTCGGATGATGAATTGATCGCAGATTGGACGCATGGTTTAACTGTCATGTTACAGAGATAAGAGAGAGCTCCGGGATCCTGCACCGCTTCTGCTAGTTCACAGCCAGCCAGTTTATTAGCACAAATCCCAAATGTTTAGTAAACTCATTAGGTTCCATCTAATGCTAATTTATCATCATAGATGGAACCCTAGCAGTGGAGGCCGGAGGACTGTACGGAATCCGTGTGATTTACAGAGCCCTCTGATCAATCACCTTCTTTGCACTGGCCATTTTTCTTCAAATGCTTTAAACGGGCCTGAATGATCCATAGGATTAGACCATCGCAATCGGTTAGGGTTCTCCCGAGTTATCTTCGAGGGATGGTTATCTGAAAGGTTAGGAAATCCTATACAGACTGATGTGGGGAGAGCTTTGGTTTTGGAGTGCTTTGCCATTGCTCCCCCTCCCTCCCTCTGCTTCCTTTCTCGCTTCTGCCTCCAGATCCCCCCAGGCCTCCCTCCCCTCCTCTTCACTCCTCTCCCCTCCCCTCTTCTCCCCTCCCCTCCCCTCCCTGCCCCTCCCTTCACCTCCCCCCCCTTCCCCTCCCCTCCCTTCTCCTCTCTTCCCCTCCCCTCCCCTCCCCTCCCCGCCCATCTTCCCTTTTCCTTTTACAATCTGGTCACAGAGTCGAATTCAAAGAATTTCCTTGCAAAATCAGTTTACCAAGAAATGCATCATGGTACATAAATGTCAAGTACAGTTTATTCTAAACTTCAGACAGTGTTTTTCTTTTAAAAAATCAAGCTTTAAATGCCCAGTTCTCCTGACATTTTCGTACATATTCTATAGTGTTTTCGAAGAGGATAATAACCTTTGCTTGATCCTAGGCAACAGCTGCAAAGATAATGAAATTCTTATGATATTTCACCAGGTAAAATGTGAATTGCAGAAGAAAAGCTATTGAATTTTTATGGATCTTAATCGCATAAAATGAGATTCATGGGGCATACGTATAACTATACTCGGTGGACCAGCAGGCTCAGTTGCAGCAAGGATTCACCGTGTGGTGTGAGGGGCGCTCCAGCTTCCACTAAGAAAATGCTCCCCAAACGCTGCCTTCAGCCTACCCTAAGAGTGATAATGAAATATGACAGAAATTTCCTTCTGCTGGATCAGTGGCAAGAGAGGTCCTACACCGCCTATATTAATTCATCTGACTTATGTTCCAGGTCTTGATTTACCTTATGATTAAAAACTTCTGCAGGTTTGCTCACCAATTGAAATCAGATCTCATCTGCAGCCCAGCGGTATTGATCCCTATTTAACATCAAGGCTCAGAATTGATTGGCATTGATTAACAATAAAAATGTTCCCTGCATGTCCAGCCACCAAGCCAATATTCTGAAGGCAGTGCACTCTGGTGTTCCCCTCATTGACCAATCTGAAAGGAGAAATGACCCCACCCGCAAATAAACAATATATTTTAATGTTATTGTAACTGGATGCCGGACCGGCCTTGCAAATTGATTTTATTCTTGTTGTATAAGATAAATATCTTTAATAAAATTCTCATTTTATTTAGGATTTTACAGGAATAACTTGATTACTAGAACGGTGATATTTTTCTTTTCCCACGGTGTAAAAAATGGATTAAAACATAAAGGCGATAATAACATAACACTAGAGATGAAATGTTAATCAACTCAGAAATCACGCATAGGGTGGGAAGGTCTGGGGAGATATTTTACCCATGGACACACGCGCTGCACCCTCAGAGCGACTGGTTTTACCGAGCATTTTACGGTTTCAGCTGGGTCTGCGCCGAAGGCCAGCGCCCTCCATAACGTTGCTGAACATATGGTTCCAGAGAGCTCAGCACAGAAAAAAACTGCTCAAAAGGATCAAGCCCAAAAACCTTAAAGAGACTGAATCTTTGTTTCTGTGTTGTTTTCATTGGCTAGCATAGATGCAGCCTGTGAAAAGAATTCCTAGCAATTCTTTTAATTCATAGCAGAGGTAAAAAAAAAATGTCTGAAGGAAAATAAATGAGGAAAAGTCTCACACACTCAAACTTTGGATGTGCACGCCGGGGACCTGTCTTGTTCCCAAGCCCGGCTGGCGACTCCTGGCAACCACTTGAGGCTCATCCCTAGCATCCAAGTGCGCTGGAGGCCAGGTCCAGCTGAAAGAAATTATCCAATCTCTAACCTCCAGAAGTTTACAGTTATATAATGATGGAGAAAACCACAAATCCCAAGGGACATCAAATTTTAGCGATACTTTTAAAATGAAATTATCCAGCCAAGCCTATAAGACAACCTTCTTGTGCTTAAGACAATAACTACAATCTGGAATTAATTTTTTTTGTGATAGGGCAAATCCAATTTGCTTCTTTAACTGTTGATTAAGGAATCAGTTCTACAAGGCTGTCTCCTGTAAGTATTTGCTGTTTATTTGTTTGTGGAGAGCCGCTGAAATCCCCTCCAACTGGGAAGGCCGGGTCAGGCCTGGCCCCAATGAAGAGCTGCCTGGCAGCTCTCTGGCTCTGGCGGGCCTTGTTTATGTGGAGGAAGTTGTTGGCTTCTTGAGCAGCCGGTGGAGTGATCCAGTCATTCCCATCGTGCAGGCAAAGTGGTTTAGAATGGAGGACAGGAATCGGTTGTATCTGCTACCTTCCTCTTAGAATCCAGAGAAAAACACCCATTAGAAAGCAGTACATAAGTGCATGCTGTAAATTAGAATGTATCTTGCTCCTAGGTCTGCTGAATTAATGTCAACGCGTGATCTGGCAACTGGCTTCAAAACAAACGCCTGTACCTGAGCGTTCTGCACAGAAAATTTCTGTCCCTCCCACCCCAATTTAGATTTGTATGGGAGGAGAGTCTGTCCTGGTTTTTAAAAGTCAGTTGTAAGTATTTAATACAATTTTTTATTGATTTCATTTAAAAGTAAGATCTTACTGATGGTACATTCCAATGCAGTCACCACGCTGGCAGACAGGCAGGCGTTATTTAGAAGAAATAAATGTGATCGTGGCATGCGTAAAAGAGCAGAGAGGCCATCTCTGGAATGCACCCTGTGTGGACGTGGTAGTCCCCAATTTTCCCCAGTGCCCCGGGGCCCGAGTTGTCTGCTTTGCTGTTTGGGTTTGACCTGACTGTCCCTGAGCTCATGAAGGCTGCACAGCTGTCCCTACAGCGTGTGGGACGCTCTTGCAGGACCACTGGGGCTGGTGCTCTGGGTAGGTGAACACAGTGGTGACACTGATTTGCTTTTGTTTTGTTTGGCATTTACCTAACTGTAGGCCTTTCCCCCAGCGTCAGTATTCAGCACCCTTCTTGTTTTTGTGATTTTGGGGGTTTATTTTTGTCAATGCATCTTATATTACTGTCTTGGGAAGCAGGTCCACAGGGCTAAAGAAGGGTCCTGGACCACCCTAGAAAGATGTTTTCTTGTTGGGGAAATGTCCTAAAATCACTCAAAAGCTGCGATGATCTTTCAAAACTTAAGCACAATTTTTATCTTCCTAAAAGCTCTTGTAAATGAAAATCAGTTAGTGCTAAGAACCTGCAGGGAGCCGTCCATGCTGAGAGAGGCCTGGTGCCCTGAGTGGGTGAGGCGGGGCTCCCTGAGGATAGGAGGTGTTTCTCCTGGCTGCGGGGACACAGGGGTCAACAGCTTGGGCCACTGCTTTTAAATGGGGTGGGGGGGCTCCATTCCCAAGGAACTGCCAAGTCCTCGTGTGTCTGTCCTGTGAGCTCACTTTGCTCCCTGTGTCATCCCTTGTGGGTCTGGATTGGGATCTCACCCAGCACCTGGCCCTGGGATGACCCCGCAAATGGCTGCTGTCTGCCCTTGGCAGTTTTGGCCTCTGCAGAGCCCTTCTTTGGTAGCTCCACCCAGGCCTGGCACTGCATTACTCAGGAAGCCTTCTGGAAGGCCAGCCTGGTCCTGTCCCCAAGCTCTGCCTCCTTGAGGGGTTCCTGCCTCTGCCTTGCCCCTTTCTCTGGCCTCCAGGCCCTGGGGATGGAGCGCTGCTCACTGCCCTGGCCATCTCCTCACTGCCACCTCTGCCTGCTCACCTCCACCGCCGCCAGAGTGCCCAGCGCTTTGGGCCTGGAGGGCTCCCCCCTGACCCTTTGGCCTGCCCGGAGTCTGTGGCCGAGTCTCCTCTCTCCCAGTGCCCAGTGCTCACCCAGCACCTCTCCTCTGTGGCCTAGTCTTGGCACTGTCCCCGGGTGGTGGGTTTCCTAGAAGCAAGGCCTCAAGAAGGGCTGCTGGGCCACCTCCAGGCGTTCAGTGCCTGGCACACCTTTTGTGATGACCGGGGCAGAACAGACATTTGTGTTGTCCCTGTCACGTGTCCACCTGCTTTGAGGCCTTGTGTTTCTGAGCAAGGGTGCGGAGCTCCAGCCCGGCTCATCTGACACCCCTTGCTGCCCTGTAAGCTGATATCCTTGCTAAGTCTCGCTAAGCCCATCATGGGTTTCTTTCGTCCCTTGAACTTGATGCCTGCCAACAGGCTGAATTTAGTGGTTATTTATCTCAATCTACTATGGAGGTAGGATGTTTTACTTTCCTAATTTAAAATAAACGCATTTTCCCACATGTTGTCACTGAGTTTCCAAGAGAGATTCAGGGAGTGGGCGGGCTCTCCCTCACGTGTTCCTGGGACCTGGGAAGCTCTAAGAGCAGGTCTTGCTCACTGCTGGGGTGGGTCCCATTGTAGACATGGGACTGCTCCACGGCCAGGCAGTCCGAGGCTGGGGGACCGGGGACCTACCTGGTTTTACGCTGCAGTCCTGTTTGCTGTGGCCCAACATGGGAGGATCGAGTGTGGGATGTTTATGGCAGCCCTGGTGACAGGTTTCCGGGGTGGGCGGTGCCCTCTGCCTTCCCATGCCCAGACTCCCCCGCGGTTCCCCTGGCATCCTGGGCCACCCCTGGGTGGGGAGGGGGCCTGGAGAACTCCTGAGGCCACCTCTGCTCTTCCTCTGCCAGCCCCCTACTTCCTAGCAGGTGTGAGGAGGAGGGCAGGGGCAGATGCCATCATTCCTCACCCGCCCACAGTAGAGATAACAGCAGCTCATGGTTTTAAGTGCTACTAAGCATGGGGCTCTTTACAAGGTATGCCTCTCACAGCCCTCTTATTATAATGACTGTCATTTCCTCAGATTTGGGGACATTGAGAAGCTTGTTTGAGGTCACTCAGCTGGGAAGGGGTATAGCTGGGATTTGAAACCAGGCTGTCGGGTCCTTTATTCTTTCCCCTTCTGTGCCTGGGGCTGGGCAGGTGGTGAAGACCCCATCCTGGACTAGCCCAGGAGGCCCAGGGGGCTCACATTGAGAGGGCTAGGGGGCTCTGCCTTTGAGCTTTGAGGGCTGAGCTGGATGAGCCCCTTCTCTCATGGCTTTCTTGAAATGCGTGGGGTTTTGTGAGGACAGGTCAGAGGGTAGGGCCTGCAAGGTGAGGAGGAGGAGGGGAAGGCTGCTCCTGACCTACAGCTGTGGGCACGCACAGAGCCCAGGATGCCTGTGCAGGGAAGCAGCTGGTTTGTGTGTGTGACATGGCAGTGCAGATGTGTGCCTGGGCAGGGGCTTGAGTCTGACCCACAGGTGAGCTCACGCCATTGTGCCCTGTTTGCCTGTTGGACACCAGTGGGCCCTCGGGGTTGTGTACTCGGAAAAGAGGCTGATACATCCCCGTCAGAGGGGAAGCTGCCAGGAATGGTACCTCTAGAGGGGGACGTGGGCCACAGGGGCATGGGGGACCCTCTAGCACTAGAGGCTCTCACAGGTCTTAGCATAACTCCTCGTAAGTCCTCAGGACGTGGTATCTAGAAAGATTTTGCTCCTAAGTGCAACCGTAAGGTCGGTTCCATTTTCCTGGGCTATAAATAACTTAAGACGAAGTCCGGTATTAGCTTGCGTGTGACAGAAGTTTGCCATTGACTCTGGGATCTCTGGTTCCACGTGGGAATTCTAACTCCATTGATCGCTGAGAAGCATGGGAAGAGTGTCCAGTCTGACGAAGTCTGCATAGCAGAGGAGCAGAATGATGGCCCCGGGGTGGCATTAGGAGGAGACGCAGACGTTGTGGCAGAGTGGGCAGCTGTCGTTTGAATTTCCCTTGAACTGTTTCCTCACCACGCTTGGCAAAACAAAGAAAACAGAACCAAAACAAAAAACAAAAACAAAAACCCCAAGTCTTTAAATGAGATCTGCATAGTCAGAACATTGCCCAGAGGAACGGTCACGTGTTTCAGCTGATGGCAGTGGGAACTTTTAATGTGATTGTTGGTTGGTTTGATTTTTGATGAAGTCTGGAGTTTCTTATGTAGACTGGCATGATCATGCTGTTTTCAGATTTCACCCTGTCCTTCGTATTTGTCAGTCCCTTGAGAAGTGGCAGGATACTTTTGACCTGGGAGAGGGGAGGGTGGAGGGCAGGAAGGAGGGCCAGGGCTGCCAGCCAGCACTGACACCACTGCCCCCAGAGTGTGCTCGAACACAGTTTGGCTGCCACTGCTCTGCTCTCCAGGCAGGTCTTAGAAGTTGAAGGCTGTGTGTGCCACTGACGCACAGGACACACAGGGGCACCTTCTGGGTGGGTGGGATTGTTTGCTTCTGAAATGTAATGAACTTGAGATTCAGATTATTTTGTGCAGTGGAGTGGTTTGGTGTTTCCTCTGAAAAAGAAAGACATCAAGAGCCCTCATTTATTTGTTTGGGACAGGTCAGAGGTTCTAGGAGCTGTTTAAAGGATGGAGTTGGGATAATTGAGTCATCAGATGCCAACTGGTCACTTTGGCCTTGGCAGTCTGACTGGATCCAGAAGGCCTGCAGTGGGTTCTTCCTGGTTCTGCCCCAAAGTTCTGTTCTCTTTCCCCAGGTTGGTTTTATGGGCCACGAAGACCCCCATGTAACATCTTGCCCCTATTGACTCAATGGCCTTGACTTGCTTGGAGCACAGGCCAGGTCCCAGGACACAAGGCAGTGCTCGTCGGTTGCAGCCGCACCTTTCTCGTGGACAACAGCCAAGGAGGAGGAGCGTTCTGCTCGTGCCTGCCTGGGCTGCCCATCAAAAATGCTAAATTGTTTTCTTCTTTTCCCTCATGAACTTCTATTTTTTTACTTTTATTTATTTTATTTTCGAGACAGGGTCTCACTCTGCCACCCAGGCTGGGTACAGTGGCACAATCACAGCTCCCTGCAGCCTGGACCTCCTGGGCTCAAGCAATGTTCCCACCTCAGCCTCCTGGTAGCAGGGACTACAGGTGTGCACCACCATGCCTGGCTAATTTTTGTCTTTTTTTTTTTTTTTTTTAAATAGAGATGGGGTTTTGCCATGTTGCCCAGGCTGGTGTTGAACTCCTGAGCTCAAGTGATCTGCCTCCCTTGGCCTTCCAAAGTGCTGGGACTATAGATGAGAGCCATTGCACCCGGCCCCGCCATGAACTTTAAAAAAACCCACTAATTTCCGTTCTAGAACAGAGCAGTCTGTGTACCAGAGGGGCTCACTGATGAAGCCTCATGCGGGGGGCTAGCCTCGCACAAAAACTCAGCAGGAGCAGAAGAGAGTCTCCTGCCAGGTGCTGCTGAAGGACATGGTGGTCTCTTTACAGTTTGCGTGGTTGTGGAGTATGATTGTGTATGTGATGTCAATGAACATGCCAGAAAATAGCTTGTACCATTTCGAAGTATTTTGACTAATGCATTTTGTGAAAGTGTACCCATGTGCCTACTTAAAAGAAAATACCATTATTTAGAAAAAATGTGAGTTTTCATCATGCTTCACCTTTTAGGGGGATGGAATATTATAAGATGCTGGGATGGAATGTTTCCCCGGGAATTCCTCAGCAGTTGTCAAGCACAGTGACGTCTTGGGGAAAGTGTGGCTCGGAGAGGACTTGAACTCCTTTAGAGCTGCTCCCCTTGGCTGCCAGGGACAGCCCGGGACAGGTTGGCCTGGGGGTGGGCCATGGTGAGGAGATGAGGTATCAGTGAGGAACACAGATGTGACCTGCAGTCCCCAGCGGTGTCTCTGGTGCTGCGTGGGCACGGGGCGGGGACTGGACAGTGGTTCTCTTTCCCATGGCCTCAGTTGTGGGCAGGCTGAGCTCGTAAGCCCTTGTGATCAGGCGTAGCTGCCTGAATGGGAATGTGCGGATGGACAGGTGGGCTTGCAGACCCCCACAGGTTGTGTGGGCTTGGGGCAGCGCTGGTGTGTCTTGAGGGCAGGAGCATGTGACAAAGCCTGCTCCTTTTTCTTGCTGTCACCACTAGCCTTTCCCACCTGAGGTCCCTGGGGCCTCTCTGTTCTCAAGGATCGTATTCCCACTCAGGGTCACCCAGGGAAGGCTTGTCTAGATTTGGGGTGTCCTGAGCCTCTGTCCTTTAGCTGGGCAGTGCTGTCTAAATCATCCTGCCCTCTGCTCAAACTAGGGGTCTCTGTGCGCCCCGGAACCCCAGGCTCTTTCCCTTGTCGACCCGGCCCCCTACGGCCTGTGGTTGTCCCACCCATCTGATCCCAGTTGTAGACTCAGGGATCTTGTTCCCGGCACGATTGCTGTCCCACTTTCAGACAGCCAGTCCAGCTTTTGGGGATTCTCTGGGCTCCTCCTCACTGCAGCCCTTGGGGCCCGAATGAAGCTGGCTGGCGCCTGGCACTCGGCATGCATCACGTAGGAGATGCACTGTCGCGGGAGGGGTGACTGAGGGTTGTTCTCACACGTCCGATCCGTGGAGCCCAGGTCATCAAGGAGGCAAAAGCTTCTGTTGAATTAGGAACTCTCTTGGCCAAAGCATGGCCCTCCTGCCTTGATTTGTTCGTGTCTGAGGTTCCCTGTGGGGGACTTGGTTGTAGCAGTGCTTCCCTGCCTTGGAGCCCCCACAGTCCCCTGGGTCCCCACACAGCTGAGGGTCCCCCCACAGCCCCCTGGGTCCCCACACAGCTGAGGGTCCCCCCATAGCCCCCTGGGTCCCCACACAGCTGAGGGTCCCCCCACAGCTCCTAGTTCCCCACACAGGCTGCAGGTCCCCTACACAGCCTCTGGTCCCCCCACAGCTGAGGGTCCCCTGCCATAACCCCTGGTTCCCCACACAGACCGAGGGTCCCCCATAGCCCCTGGTTCCCCACATAGCTGAGGGTCCCCCCACAGCCCCTGGTTCCCCACACAGCTGAGGGTCCCCTGCATAGCCCTTGGGTCCTCACACAGGCCGAGGGTCCCCTGACAGGCCAGCCCTACTTCCCGTGGGCCTCTCCCATCCCTCAGCAAGCCGGGGCCTGGGCAGCCTGTCTCCTGTGCTCTGTCCTCTCAGCCTTTGGCATCATCCCCAGAGAGAGATGCACTGGCCTTCCTGCCCCTCAGGATGACTCTGAGCCAGAGACAGGAGGGGGTGGTGGGCTGGGCAGGGGTTATGTCCTGGTTCCACCTGGTAGAAGCCAGGGGACCTCAAACCAGTCCTCACCTTCCCTGGGCCTGACTTTTAGAGGACTGAGACCTTGCAGGTGAAGGGAGGGGACTTTATAACTGTCAGGTGGGTGTGAGAGTCAGTCGCAATGTTTTCTATCATTCCATAAATGGAATTCTATATAATTCTATAATTTAATAATTGCAGCAATTGTAATTGATGTGGCTGCTCTGCACAGTCCCCCAGAACCATCTGCACCTGCCGCCGTTGACTCGCAGCCCTGGGCACCAGCTGCATTGTTGGGCGGGGGGGGCAGCTTCAGGAAGCCCCCCGATGGATGATGGTGGAGGAGGGGCCCTGGTGCTCCAGGGCTGCTTGGGCTCTGCCTTCCCCGGCCATTCCTTTGTCCATGCCTGCCTGTGGCTGATCGTGGCCGCTCTTGGTGTCTTGGCCTCTCCTGTCCCCAGCCCACATTCTATGCCCTTGGCTTTGCCTGAGGCCCCGGTGTGGCAGGGCCAAGCTCTGCTCCAGATGGGCTTAGTCTTTGTTTCTGTGCAGCAGTGACTGCGGGGTTGGCCTCTGGACTCCCCAGTGCTGACGTAGGAGGAATGGTGGCTGAGAGCTGTCTGTGCCCTGGACGCCCAGGCTCTGGGCTCTGGATGAGCAGCCCTGATCAGGAGGCACCGCCTGCTGCCCGCCAGCCTTGTGGGGTGCATGTATCTAACCCCATGCCTTACATATGGGTGCTTGGTGCTCCGCAGTTGGCGCTGAGTTGGGAGGCTTGTTCTTAGGGTTGGGGTCACACAGGAATTGGCAGCTGCTCTGTCCTCAAGGAGGTCCCGTTGGTGGGAGTTTGCAGCACAGAAGGAAGGTCAGAATGATGGCACTGGGTCCTTCTGCTGGAGCCAGGCAGGACAGGATCCCACCTTCCCCACCGGAGAGCTGGGAAGGCAGGGCCACCCTGGTCCCAGGCCGCCAGTCACTGGGCAGATCCAAGCCTGGTTCCCAACTCCACTCTGGGTGCTGGGACAGCCATGGGCCACAGTGGCTGCTGTGACAGGTGCGAGTGGGACCTTCAAGAATCTCCCCTGTGAGAAGCAGCTCACAATGTGGCTACATTTGGCTGGAGTGGAGACAGGAAAATGCATCCACATCATGATCCACTAGAGGGTCCGGTTCTTAGGGAACCGGACCACCAGCTACAGCTAATGTGTTAGGATGAGTACATCCCATGAGATATTTGGGATGTACTTATCTTAAACATTACTTGTTATTGATCTAGTTAGATCACCACCAGGTACACAGTAGGCCCTTGTTCAAGGTGAGCTCACCATCTTCCTGATCCAGACCTCATCCTGACAACCCAGAATGCTTTGGGTTCTAGAGTGTGCCAGAGGGCTCTAGAAGGTTCTAGAAGTTTCCCGAGGGCCCAGCTCTGCACAGAGAATGAATTTGGGCTTCTTTGAGCACTGACCTTTGTCTGTGACTGCAGGCCTGACTGTGGGTGGAGCAGCTCAGATCCAAATGTGGAAATCGTGCCTGTCACCTGGCAGCTAATTTGGCGCCCATGGAGTTGCTGGCCTTTGTTCAGTCTCCTCTTCCCAACTGGAGCAGGAGCTTGTGAGGGAATGGGCTGGAAATTGGAGGGAAATGAGGGGGAGTGAACTTAGAAACTCCCAGCCCCACCGCTAAGCATGCCACTTAATAGTATGCAAATGAGCTAATAGTCAAACAATTACCCAGAGCGACTCATTTACATGGGCCCTGAGATGAGGAAGCAGGAGGGGGACCTGGGGGAGCCACCCGGGAAGGAGCACCTGCAGGTCCCTGTGTGCGGCGAGGTGCCTTAGTTAGAGCCACTGGTATTTATTGGGCACCTACTATGTGCAAGGGACAGATGACGCCTGACCCCAAGTTGCTAGTGAAGATGGAGCCCAGGATCTCCTCAGTACCCGCTGGACCCACAGTGAATGTGGATGGGGTGGGGGGCCTTGCTCTGAGTGTCTGGGGAGCGTGATGTCGCTGCCTGGAAGTGGGGAGGGTCTCTGGGGTCTTCAAGGGTGGAGGGAGGGGCATGTCTTCAGGCAATGGATCAAGGACTAAGAGGAGGCTGGAGAGGGGGGATATTAATACTAGGCCCTGAGGTGCCATGTTCAGTCAGGGTTAAGCTTGCCTGGCAAAATACAAGATGCTCAGCTAAATGTGAATTTTGGAGAAGCAGGGACATTGCTTCTCCGAAATTCACATTTAACTGGGTGCCCTGTATTTTTATTTGCTAAATCTGGCAAGCCCAGCCTGGACAGGGCGCAGGAGCAGAGGGCCTTGGTCTGTGTCCCGGATGGTTCTCTCTGGGACCGTGAAGCTGCTGGAGGGGGAGTTGAGAGAGAGTGGGGCTGAGCAGAGAGGAGGGGAGAGGCAGGTGCTGGCGCCCAGCGTGGCCAGGCTGAGGCCCAGTGTTTGGCACTGGGGGCAGTACTGGGAGGAGGTAGGTTGGGGGTGCCTGGCCTGCCCTGCAGGGCCTTACTCACTCTGGGTGGGCTCTGACCCTGCTGTAGATCACAGAGGAGCCCCCCTGTGGTCTGGCTGATGAAAGGAATAGAGGACATCGAGTGAAGGTTGGTATGGGGCCTTAGGAAACATTCAGCCACGCTTGTGCCTCTTGCACGGGCACCCGCCTGCAGAGGCTGCTGGGCTGGGAGCGGGATTCCCTTCCAGCTCAAGGGACCACTTGAGCCTCAGCGGCTTCCGAGGGCTTCAAGATCCTTTTTCCTTCTTTTGTGTTTCAAGGAATCACTTTAGCTCTAATCGAATGCCATCTATACTGCTGTGCAGGCTGGTTTGAGCCCTTGAAATCTTTCTAAATGCACACTGCCAGTCTGAGTTTTCAACAAATGTTTCTATTCGGCACTGGTCCTCCCCATACTCGGGGCGTCCCAGCTCGTCTGGTGCCAAATTAGCTCCCCTTACCCCTTGCCAGGCATAATTCGCAGCAGTTATTATTCAAAGCCTGTTTTTCGAGAGGCCGCATCCCCTGCGGTTTGCTGTTTGTGGATCTACTTGGTGCCCGTATGTGTGTGTGTGGGTGCACGTGTGTGCGTGTGTGCTCCGAAGTGGCTGCAGAGAGGCAGATATGATCACCGTGGCGGAATCAGGACTGACCCTCCTCCACGTCCATCAATCAGGCTGATTCCAAGCGAATGAGATTTTAATCACCTGTCACTGCCGCCCGCACTTTCTCTATATTTATGATAATTTTTGGGTCTTTTTATTGAAATCAGTGTTGACTGAATCAAGTAATCCTGATTAGCAATCTCACTGTACCCAGTCAAGAGTGAAATGCATCCCAGCCCCGCTGCTACACTGAGCATTCTGAAATTGAAAAAAAAAAAAAAAAAAGGAAAAAAAAGAAATGGTTGAAGTTTGTTTGCCTTGGTTATAGGTGAAGGCTGGGTTGTTTGAGGATGACGGCTGGTTTTAATTGTTCCGAAGCTCGGCCTCCTGCCTGGTCACATGCCGGCTCTGTCAGCGAGTTGTGCACCTTCTGTAACTTCGTGGTGTTGAACAAGTGATGGTTTCCCACATTTTAGTTTGTTTCTGTGGTTTGAAATGCAAAATGTGCAGGAAAAAAAATTGCGTGGCAAGAAGTATTTTTCCAGGGATGGCATCACAGGCACGTGGAGCTACATACACCATGTGCCCCCTGCCCTGCTCACCATCCTGATCACTGTCTGTCCTGCCCTTGGAAATGGTGATGTATTGATCTTTTAGGCAATGGGAATCAACTTTGAAGGTGACAAATAAATATAAGCTTTGAGAGCACTCCTTTCACCTTTCTGAGAGGGAGCCATTGGTCACAGAGTGGCACTCTCAGATCGGCGGCCGCTCTGCCATGTACAGGGGCACCCTTTGCCACATGCCAAGCAAGTGGCCCTTGTCGCCTTGTTGCAGGGGTGAGGGCTGGCTGCCAGGGATTGCCTCCCAGGCTAGGCAGCTTGAGGAATGAATGCCCCAATGTGAGAAGTGGGTTATCCACGAAGGCCTCTGTCTTAGCATTTTATCCGTTACAGTTATGAAAGCAACAATAATACCTTCTTCCCAAGAGGTTGCTTAGAAAGTCAAATGACTTCCAGGTGTGGAGGGGGTGCTTCTACCCTGGCCGTGTGTGTAACTGCCTGCCAGAGTGGCCCGCTTTGTCCTTCATTGCCCTCACCTCTGCTCCTCTGGGAGAGATAAGGAGAGAGCGGACCAAGCCCTCTCTTCTTCCTCTGGCTGGCCTAGCTCTCCAGGGTGGCTGGACATAGCCTGTGGCCACAGAGAACCGCCAGGTTCAGAGGCTTGGTCACCTCTGAAAACATCTGCACATCTTGGGCCAGGAGTGTGTATGGAGACATTTGGGTACCAGGACCCCAGGGCACTCCAGATACCCAGCTAGGCCCTGTAGGGTCCCTCCTGCCTGGTCTACTGGGTTGGGAAGAATAGGACACAGGGTCGCTCAGGGAGCTTGAGGTCAGCAGGCATTGCTTCATGATAGCAACAGTTTAAGTTGAAATAACCAGTGGGCTCAAATTGGTGCTGTTACCAAGACCAATAGAGAAAGAATGAGAAGACTTCGTTTTATAAAATTCAGAGCATACTTCTGATTGTTGGCCTGTGTCAGGCATCAGGGCAGACATCAAGAGCAAGTTAGAATCAGACCATGGCCTTGCCCTCAGGGCGCTCACAGTCGCGGCCCCAGACAGGGAAGTCAACTGTTGGGGCTACTTGCTATATGTCATTTAAGGGCCCAGTTCTCAGAGATGACCTGAGTGCATTCATCACTTCTGGGGCATATTGTGTGTAATTCTGGAGTCCACTTTGGCCATCAGGATCCTCAGCGTGCATGGCAGAGTCTTGTTGCCACACTCAGGCTCTCTTCTTGATCTTGAGGGGATGGTACCAAGATGCACTTGGATCCCAGAAAAATGTTAGACCCCTTAAAGGGCTGTGTCTACAATGCACTTACACCAAAAAGTATCCCCAAGACATTGGGTTCTCAATTGCTTTTCTGCTTCTCTTTAAGTGCTATCCTGTCCAGGGCAAAAAAACCACAAACCCATAGGTATTAGTCAGAGTTTTCCAGAAAGACAGAACCAATAGGAGATATAGAGATAGATATAGACAGATACAGATATAGGTATATGAGAGGGGGATTTGTTAATATAGAGATAGATATAGACAGATATAGATACAGATATATGGGGGGATTTGTTAATATAGAGATAGATATAGACAGATATAGGTATATGAGAGGGGGATTTGTTAATGTAGAGATATAGATATATGAGAGGGGGATTTGTTAATATAAAGATAGATATAGATATATGAGAGGGGGATTTGTTAATATAGAGATAGATATAGACAGATATAGGTATATGAGAGGGGGATTTGTTAATATAGAGATAGATATAGACAGATACAGATATAGATATATGAGAGGGGGATTTGTTAATATAGAGATAGATATAGACAGGTATAGATATAGGTATATGAGAGGGGGATTTGTTAATATAGAGATAGATATAGACAGATACAGATATATGAGAGGGGGATTTGTTAATATAGAGATAGATATAGACAGGTATAGATATAGATATATGAGAGGGGGATTTGTTAATATAGAGATAGATATAGACAGATATAGATATAGATATATGAGAGGGGGATTTGTTAATATAGAGATAGATATAGACAGGTATAGATATAGGTATATGAGAGGGGGATTTGTTAATATAGAGATAGATATAGACAGATATAGATATATGAGAGGGGGATTTGTTAATATAGAGATAGACATAGACAGATATAGATACAGATATATGAGAGGGGGATTTGTTAGTATAGAGATAGATATAGACAGGTATAGATATAGGTATATGAGAGGGGGATTTGTTAATATAGAGATAGATATAGACAGATATAGATATAGATATATGAGAGGGGGATTTGTTAAGGGAATTGGCTCACAGGATTATGAGGCTGAGAAGTCCCATGACAGATTGCCTGCAAGCTGGAGACCCTGGGATGCTGGTATCACGGCTCAGGCCAAGTCTGAAGGCCTCAGAACTGTAGAAGTTGATGGTGTAATCCTCAATCTGAGGGCGAAGGCCTGAGCACCTACGGGACTGCTGGTGTGAATCCCAGAGTGCAAAGGCCTGGAGCCTGAAGTTCTGATGTCCAGGGACAGGGGAGGAAGAGTCCCAGCTCCGGCAGACAGAGGGAGACACTCACCTTTCCTCTGTTTTTGTTCTCTCCGGGCCCCTAACCAATGATGGCACCCACCCACATTGAGGGTGGACCTTCCCTACCCAGTGTGCTCCGACTCACACCCCAAGCTCCTCTGGAAACACCCTCACAGACACACCCAGAAATGATGTTTGACCAGTTCTCTAAGTATTCCTTAATCTAGTCATGTTGACACCTAAAACAAACATCACACCATAGTTCTGTGGTCTCTAATTTCTGTGGCAACTTAGTAACTCTCAGAGTTGGGTGCAGAACAATCACTTGTGTGTGCATTTTGAGGATGCCACCTTGATGGCACCATGGTGCTCTGTGGCCCTCTCTCGTGGACAAAGCATGGGGCTCCACGTCTGACATGGGGGCCTCCTTGGACTGGGTCTAGGGTCTGCCCATCCAGACGCATTACTGATTTGAATGTCCTTGCTCCAAATTCTATTTCCATCTTAATATCTATCAGCAGTGTGTCAACAAGGCTTTCCAAGGCATTATTAAGAAGGCCATCCTCCTGGCCGGGCATGGTGGCTCACGTCTGTAATTCTAGCACTTTGGGAGGCTGAGGTGGGCGGATTGCTTGAGCTCAGGAGTTTGAAACCAACCTGGGCAACATGGTGAAACCCTGTATCTATAAAAATTACAAAAATTACCTGGGTGTGGGTGGCAGGTGCCTGTAGTTCCAGCTACTTGGGAGGCTGAGGTTGGAGGATGGCTTGAGCCCGGGAGGTGCAGGTTGCAGTGAACTGAGATCGCACCACTGTACTCCAGCCTGGGTGACAAAGCCAGACCCTGTCTCAAAATAAATAAATAAATAAAAATAAAGATAAAAAATAAAGAAGACCATCCTCCTACAAATGTTGACATAGCATCGGATATGTCCAGATTACTTCCCACTCTACTCTGGCTGAGTTTATGCTACATCGAGTCCTATCAAGGAATGAAACTCCATCATTCTGAAATGTCTGAGCACAGCCCGAGGGTCTCCTTGTTTGTAACCTCATGGGGATCACCTGCAAGGACTCCCCACACTCCAGACCACTCTGGCCGTTTTACTAATATTGCCACAAATGTGACAAAATCTAACTGCTAATGGATTATCAAATGAATGAAAGATATGGAAAAGTTCACAGAACAGACTGGCATGGCCGTGTCAGCAGCGTTCTCCTGATAGCACATCACAGGATTTGCCAGTGGAGACAGTGATTATTGCAGTGCTCATCTCAATGGTCAGCCGTAAACTGACTCTCAGAACAGAAAACATGCAATGGCCTGGCCTTCTCTGACCTAGTGGAGTAAGCGAAGATGGGCCTCCCAGGAAGCAATTGCCAAAATGTCCTGTGGGAGGTTTCTGGTAGCAGACGGTGAGGGCCTTAGTTTGCACACAGAATCCACATTCTCTGTCTAGGAATATCTCCTAAGCACCTAGAAATGCAGATAATTTATGAATGAAGACTGCATTGTGGTGTTTTCACAATAAAGTTTAGGAAGCTTTCTGCCCCACAACAGGGAGCTGTGAAATAAATTATGGAAGGTCCCTGTACTAGAATCCTGGAGAAGGCGGATTAGTGCATACAATGGAAACGTTCTTACCACGTAAAATTAGGCAAAAATGATATAAAAATGTGTGTACTGGATGATCCCAGTTTTGTTTAAATATGCAGAAATGGGATTGTGAGGAAATAATCAGACTAATAATTGTGGTTAGCTCTGGCTGGCGAGTTTATAATTAATTTTTATATTTTTTGTATACTTTTAGGTATTTTCAAAAGTTTCTACAATGGGCATCAGTTATTTTTATGATCGTAAACGTGCTTTTAAAGCTTACAATGCTTCACACGTCTGTTCACACGTCTGTCAGGTTTCTGCCTGAGTCGTTTTCGCATGAGGCTGACCGAACTGTTCTTTACTCGGCTGGACGTCTTGAGTTTGCAGGGCAAGTGGCATTGCTCGGAATAGTAACGGTTCCTGTTAGATCTCATTTCTGCCAGTCTTCTCCCCATTTCTGGTAGCAGACAGTGGGGGCCTGGAGAAGCCAGCACCAGTCCTGGGCTGGGAATCTCAAGCTCTCCACCGAGCACTTGACAACATGCAGACGGTGGGGTGGAAATAGAGTTTGCCTGTGGAGACTCCACCTCCCCATCCCTGTGTCCTAACTGAGCAGGGCAGAGGAGGGGAGCATCGTGCACAGACGTGGGATGGCCAGGAGAGCTGCTTACATAGCAGACTCTCCTCAAATAACTGAGCAGGGAGGAGCCCTAACCCAGTGGATAAGGGACCCAACTGTCCTCAGGGGACATCTCAGGGCAGGTAGACTCAAAGGGCAGAGGGAGGGCCGAAAGGAAGAAGACGACTATGAAGAAATGCAAGATCCTCACATTCCAGAGGCATGGGTTCAGGGTGGGAGATGTCAGCATAGGAGGCATGGCTGCCCGAGAAGGGGTGAGCTCCCCGTCGTTGCCAGGGTGTGTTTGCAGGCTAAGCAGCCACCTGCAGGCGCTGTTGGAGTCTCTCTGGTGGGGCCACGTGTTGGCTTAGTAGATGGAACCACGTGTCCTGGGCCCCAAGGCTTTCTGTGCCTTTTGTAAGGGGAGATTATGGTTGAATTGATTACAATTGCATGAAGATGGTATATAGATCTTGTTGCTCTCTGAGGGTATTTATGGGAAATTAACTTTTTATGTATTTAATTGAATTTAGAAATATGTTGCATCCACTTTTCACTTAAAAATATGTGAAACCAGAATGGCCACCACGGGGACCAAGCCCACGTCATGCTGGTGCTGGTTCCTCCTGGCCATGTGCTGGTTTGTGCAGCTGAGAACAGAATGGGAACGGGCATTTTTATTTGTCCCCATCGCCCGGGAGCCTGGTCGGTTGTGTCGCTTCTCAGGCAATAAGCAACTGAATGGACTGGCAGTGGCTCTTCAGGCTTTTAGGTTTGCTAAAAACAAAACAAGCCAAAAAAGATGCGCCTGACTTCCTCTCGTGGCCAATGGCACTGCCCAAGGGAGCAGCGGTTCCTGGGGCCACGGTGGAGGATGCCCACCTGTTCAGAGTCCCAAGAAGCCCTGAATCGGCACCTTGCCCACCTTGCAGCCTGTCCCCCGGGAGCAGGCTCTGGAGCCCCGTTTCGGGGAACGCTGAGCACACCTGAAGCCTCCACGTGGGGTGGGCAGTGCTGGCCGTGGCTCCTGCTGGTTCCACACTCTGACATGCAGGGCCTTGGCTATGTGTGTCCTCCAGTGAGGCACACCCCCTCCAGCGGAGGGGCATCCTCGTTTCCTGGAGCACCCTCTTTCCATTCTCCCATGTTTGTTTTTCTTTTGTTTATTCCACACCTTTTTTGGGTAGTGAGTAAGCCTGTCCCAGCCGCCCTTGAAGGTGCCAGTGGGTGCTCCAGTCTGCCCAGCCCCCTCCCTGGCCACTTGGCCACAGGCTGTCTCCACCCCCCAAGCCCTGAGATGCTTCCCTGTGGAGCTTTGGGGTGACACGAGGTTTCACTGCTTTGGGCTGAGTGGTCCATGCACCGCGGATTGTCCTAAGAGTTTCAGCCCAGGGTCTGTGTGTGTGGTGCCAGCTCCACCTGTCCAAATCCCAGCCACACCTTGAAGCCTCCCCTGTTCTCCCTGCACCCCCACCTTCACACCAGCCAGGCCGTGTGCATCACTCTCTAGGCCTTGCACAGTCCCTCCACAGGGTCTCAGGAAGGGGGACTCCCTTCCCCACTGGAGTCCATGCTCTTGCGGGCTGGCGCCAAGGTGTGCGTTCCGCCATTCTCGTCCTGCCTGGCACGGGACTGGCACCCGTCAGATGCTCTCGGTATTCATTATGAATGAATGAATGAATGAATGAATGGCTGCGACACAGCACCTCGGGAAGCAGTGAAGGTGTCTTCATAAGGAACTGAAATCCTTCTCAGTTAAAAACAGTGCAGTTTTGCCAGTCACGCCCCCTGTCCTCAGATGTCTCTCAGCATTTCAGTGTGACACTTTGCCCACTTTGTGTTTCTTGTTCAAGATGCTCTAAAGGTATCAGGGCTATTAATGCACAAATTCCAGTTTAGGGATTCCACAGATCTTCACTGGCCCCCAGTGGCAGTGAGGCACAGGCTGCTTTCCTAACTGTCCTGGATTCTTCATGGTGGGCTTTTGAGAATTCTCGTGCACTAGACCAGCGGAAGGAGCTACGTGGTGCGTGGGCTTTGTGTTGGATGTTTACCTCCTGGAAACATCAGTTCAGCGTGATTGGAACATGTTTTTTGTTTTTATTTTTTTTTCCAATTTTCTTAGTGTGGTAAATATATATAACATAAAATTTATCATTGTAACCATTTTCAAGTATATAGTTCAGTGCATTAAGTACATTCAGAATGTTGTGTAAGCATCACACCATTACTTTCTTTCTTTCTTTCTTTTTTTTTTTTTTTTGAGATGGAGTCTTGCTCTGCCACCCAGGCTGGAGTGCAGTGGTACGATCTTGGCTCACTGTAACCTCTGCCTCCCGGGTCCAAGTGATTCTCCTGCCTCAGCCTCTTCAGTAGCTGGGATTACAGGCATGCACCACCACGCCTTGCTAATTTTTTGTATTTTTAGTAGAAACGGGGGTCTCACTATGTTGGCCAGCCTGGTCTCGAACTCCTGAGTGGTCTGTGTACCGCACATTGTCCTAAGAGTTTCAGCCCAGGGTCTGTGGTGCCAGCTCCACTTGCCCAAATCCCAGCCACGCCTTGAAGCCCCCCACCCCATTCTCCTTGCACCCCCACCCTCACACCAGCCAGGCTCTGTGCATCATTCTCAGGTGATCTGCCCGCCTCAGCCTCCCAAAGTGCTGGGATTACAGGTGTGAGCCACTGCGCCTGGCCCATTACTTTCAATGGCAAAAACTGCAATTACTTTTGCACCAACCGTACACACGCACACACACACACACACACGCGTGCACACACACACCACATTTTGCTTATCCATTCACCCATTGATGGATACTTGGGTGGCTTCCACATTTTAGCAGTTGTGAGTAATGCTGCTGTGAACACGGACGTGCAAGGACTCTTCAGGCCGGGTGCCGTAGCTCATGCCTGTCATCTCGGCGCTTCGGGAGGTAGGAGGATCACTTGAGCCGTGGAGTTTGAGACCAGCCTAAGCAACATAGTGAGACCTCCATCTTCACAAATTTTTTTTTTAAATTAGCCAGGCGTGGTGGCACATGCCTGTGGTCACAGCTACTCAAGAGGCTGAGGCAGGAGGATTGCTTGAGGCCAGGCAGTCGAGGCTACAGTGAGCCATGATCATGCTACGGCACTCTAGCTCGGGCAACAGAGCAGAACCTATGTCTCAAGAAAAAAGAAAGAAACACAGATACCTCTTTAAAACCTGGCTTGCAATTCTCTTGTGTATACACGGAGATGTGGGATTGCTGAATCATAGGGTAGTTCTATTTTTAATTATTTCAGGAGCTGCCATACTATTTTCCACAGGGCCCGCACTGTTTCTCATCCACACCCACAGTGGGGTGCTCAAGGGTTCCAGTTTCTCCATCCTCACCAGTACCTATTTTCTGTTTTTTGTTTTTTGTTTTTTTTTTTTTTTGTTGTTGTTGTTGTTTGAGACGGAGTCTCACTCTGTTGCCCAGGCTGGAGTGAAGTGGCTTGAGCTTGGCTCCCTGCAACCTCCACTTCCCGGGTTCAAGTGATTCTCCTGCCTCAGTCTCCTGAATAGCTGGGATTACAGGTACGTACCATCACGCCTGGCTAATGTTTGTATTTTTAGCAGAGATGGGGTTTCACCATGTTGGCCAGGCTGTTCTCGATCTCTTGACCTCAGGTGATCCACCTGCCTTGGCCTCCCGAAGTGCTGAGATTACAGGCATGAGCCTCTGCGCCTGGCCTGTTTTCTGTTTTCTGATAGCAGCCATCCTAATGGGTGAGGAGCTCTATCTCAGTGTGGCTTGGATTTGCATTTCCCTCTTTGAGAGGGGCTGAGCATCTTCCCAAGAAGACATACATCGGCCATTTGTATGTCTTCTTTGGGCAAACGGCTATTCCAGGTCCTTTGTCCATTTTTGAATCATTTCGTTGGTGTTGAGGTTTAGGAGTTCTCTCTATATTCTGGATAAAATCCCTTATAGATACTTGGTTTGCAAGTAGTTTATTCCATTCTGTGACTTGCCATTTCACTTGGTTGATGGAATCTTTTGATGTACAAAACTTTTGAATTTTCATGAAGTCCAAATTGTCTATTTTTTTTCTTTTGCTGACTTTGTCTTTGGTGCCGTAGCCAAGAAATCAAATCCAATGTTGCGACATCTTTGCCCTCTGTTTTCTTTTAAGAGTTTTATGGTTTTGGGTCTCACTTTTAGGTCTTTGATCCATTTGGAGTTAATTTTTGTATATGTTGTTATATATGTGTAAGGGTCCAATTTTACTCTTTTGCATGTCGGAGTCCAGCTTTCCCAGCACCATTTATTGAAAAGACCACCCACTCCCTGTTCAGTGGCCTTAGCACCTTTGTTGAAATCTCTTCACCATATGTGTGAGGGTTTACTCCTGGGCTCTCCATTCTGTCCCATTGGTCTGTATGTCTGTCTTTATGCCAGCACCACACTGTTTTGGTTACTGTAGCTTTGTAGTAAGGTTTGAAATCAGGCAGTGTGAGTTCCAGCTTTGTTCTTCTTTTTAAGATTGTCTGAGGCTGCAGTATGTTTTACTGAGTGTCTACATCATCCCCGCTTACAGTAATTAGACCTGAGGAGGGCATCACACTTTTTCTATTGCAAAATGATTCTACTGTTGAGCAGCTTCTGTCACCGAGTGCTTCATGAAGTCACTATGGAAGGCACGTGGCTTGTGGACTGTGGCCTGCTGCTGCGGTTCAAAATAATAACAACAGTAACACATGATTGTTGCTGCCGTTATCAACAGGATGTTCTTATGCCATTCTGACAGTTTGGCGCAAGAGTGGAGATATTCGGGTTACCCCTCACCCAGCCCATTCTATAGAGAGAGAAGCCGAGACCCGGAGAGGGGCAGGCACACAGCTGACTCCAGGGCCTGAAAGAGGAGATGGGGAAGGTCTGGGTGCTGACCAGCTCCGACTGGTCACATGGTCGGGGGGGCCTCACCCTGAGCCCATCTGGAACCCTCCTTCCATGCCTCTGGTCTGCAGAGAGGAGCCCCAACCACCTTCCTTTCTTCAGCCCCCTGGCTGTGTGCTGGGTTGTGTAAGATGTGGGCAGCTCTGGGTGGTCCCGTCAGCCCCCAGCCCCACATCAGGGTCAGGAGGGCTGCAGTCGGGGTTCACAGTCCGTGACGCAGGGGTTCGTTTGCCTAGGGAAGGGTCCTTGTGGCTGGCATCATGCAGGGCATCGCTGTAGGTACGCAGACCACAGCCTGCCGTGCAAGGACGGCGAGAGCCGGGAAGAGAGCAGAGTGTGGTGCACGCCTTTCTGTCCCCATGAAGTTCAGTTTCACCCCATGAAATGTTTACAAAGCTCCCCTAAACCCAGACCTGCCCTCCAGGGGCTATGGGGTATAGGGAGGACCAAGGCACCCCCCACCCTACAGAGTTTGTATTTATGCACAAACAGTAGGTGCTGAGGGCCGGGGGGCACGGGTGGGGTGTGGCTTCCCACACAGTGGGCACTGGGGCCTGTGTGGCCTGGCTTGGCCCCTGGCCCTGCTGCTGACCTGCTATGCTGTCTTGGGACACTATCTCCATCCTCTGTTCCTTGGCTGGGGGGATGCATCCCACTCTGGGCAGGGCCTCGTTGTGAGTGGGAATCAGCCCACTTCGGATAATTGAGGAGGGCTCGGGGGCCATGGCTGGAGGGAGAGAGAGGACTCTGCTCTTGTTGGGCAAAGAATGGAGCATCCAGAACTTATGTCTACAGCAGGGGAATTCGAGGCAGGGCTGGCATGAGCCTGGTCACCCCTCAAGGCCTCCCAATGGATTCAGGGAGCTTTGGCTCAGCCCTCATGAGCCTATGCTACTCTGGGACGTGGGGCCACCCCCATAACAAGCTGACCGGTTCTGCCCTCATGTCCGTCTGCAGGGGACAGCGGGTCAATGGCATGTGACACACAGGGATGAGCAAGAGACAGGGGGCGGGCCAGGCTTGGGCGGATGTGGCTGGCTAGTGAGCTGGGATGGGACGGCAGGTGTGGGGCTCAGGAGGACAGGGCGGCCTTCGTGTTTGAGGCCTCAGCATTTGAGGGTGCTGATGCCCATATCCCCAGATGCCAGCCACATCCCAGTTCTTTAATGGGTCTCAGTCTGTGGCTGTCACCTTCTGTGCTGGGACAACCCCCAGGGGTCCTCTCTTCAGGCCAGGTGCTCAGGACGGGCAGCAGTTCTTCACGCAGACATCCTCCTCTGTTGAGGTAGCCAGGCCTGTCACTCAGGCTGCCGTGGGCTGGCTGCAAAGGTGGCATGGACACAGAGACCTTTGAAACAGGAGCCGGTGGCCTAGTGGAGGCTGCTGCCCTTTCTTGTGGTCCTTGGGCCTGGGGCCAAACCTCCACAGGGATCGGTGAGGCCCCATGGTCGGGGGTATCCTCTGCCCAGGGGACGCCGGCAGCTTGGTGATTGTCTGCAGGGGTTCTTGGCCTGGGGTGACTTTTCCCCCAGGTGACATCTGACAACATCCAGAGGCCTTTTTGGTTGTGACCAATGCGGGGAGGGTTTATTCCAGGCAAAGTGAGTTGAGACTGAGGATGCTGCTAACACCCTGCGGTGCCCAGGATGGCCCCACTGCAGTGACCACCCCCGCCGTCAGTCGTGCCCAGCTGGAGAAAGCTGCTTCAGGGACCCCTTGCCCACTGCGATCCAGCACATTCTTCCTGACCATCGAAAGTGATTTCTTTTTCCAGAACGTGATTCCCAGTTGGTTCCCGCTCAAACTCGCTGTTTTCTCTTGTTTGCTTTGTGTACTTTTAGCCGATGAGGCTGACTCTGTCTATGCTGGAGCTTCTTTGGTCCTGCCCAGAGATCACAAGGCAGCTTCTTCCAGGCTACCCCTCCCTGTCCCCAGACCACCGAGGGCACCTCAGGCTCACAACAGCCTTCTGGTGGGCACTGGGATCCCCATTTTGAGGATGAGGAAACCAAACCTCAGGCAGGAGAGCTAGGACTGCCAGCTGCTGACTCTAGGCCCAGAGACCTCTGCACCCACCCTGGTGCCCCCTTCTGCCCCAGACAATAGTGATCACTCCACTGGGCACCACCAGCCATCATGGTCCTTCATGGTTACTGGGCCCTTCTCATCTGGCAGCGCACCTGCTGCCACACACAGAGTGCGGGGCCACAACTTTCATGTGAGATGTCCTGGGCTGGGTGCTTTCAAAAGCGTGGCTTTCCAAGATTCTTCGGGGTTTTACCACTGGAGTCATGTCTTCCTTTCTATTCGTTCCTTTTTCTTCTATAAAATGAGTCAGGTTCCAGAAAGGCTGGTTGAAATTCTATCCCATCAGTGGTGTCCATGCTAGCGCCCCAGCTGGGTCAGGAGGAGCTCTTAATGCTCCACCCATTAACCCAGAGTCGCTCCAGGTATGCTGTGCCGCCCCCGCCCTTGGTGCAGGAGACAGCCCCTTCCTGCAGATATTCGCCCTAGATCACACAGCGGGGTGGGTTTGTGGCCCTCCTGCAGATATTCGCCCTAGACCGCACAGCGGGGCGGGTTTGTGGCCCTCCTGGAGATACTGGCCCTAGACCGCACAGCGGGGCGGGTTTGTGGCCCTCCTGGAGATACTCGCCCTAGACTGCACAGCGGGGCGGGTTTGTGGCCCTCCTGGAGATACTGGCCCTAGACCGCACAGTGGGGCGGGTTTGTGGCCCTCCTGGAGATACTCGCCCTAGACTGCACAGCGGGGCGGGTTTGTGGCCCTCCTGGAGATACTGGCCCTAGACCGCACAGTGGGGCGGGTTTGTGGCCCTCCTGGAGATACTCGCCCTAGACCGCACAGCGGGGCGGGTTTGTGGCCCTCCTGGAGATACTGGCCCTAGACCGCACAGTGGGGCGGGTTTATGGCCCTCCTGGAGATACTCGCCCTAGACTGCACAGCGGGGTGGGCTTGTGGGCGGGCGGCTTTCTCTCTTGTGCTGTTCTGTCTGATTGATTAAGCGGCATCTCTGGGGCATCTACAGGTGCCCGGCACTGGGCAGACTCCTGGCTCATGGTGGCGAACCCAAACAGAGCTCCCCCTGCCCTCAGGGAGCAGAGACATGGGGGCCACCAGGAAGGAGACTCTTGGTTTACATATAGTGAGACCTGCTCATCTGCTTAGCCATCAAACCCCAGTCCAGTGTTATTTTTAAATCCCTGAAACCTGGCACTTAGCAGAGTCCTTGCCCCCTGCAGCAGTCAATAAACACTTGAGCTGTGCTCTGGAGGAGGCTGGAGAGGACTTCCCCAGTCAGGCTTACCAAGGGCAACGCCTGGGGCAGGGCTGTGCTTTCTAAGTCTGCTCCTAAGCTGGCCCCTGGGGTGCCCTTGGTCAGAGCACAGTGAAAGTTGTTGGCCCCTTTCAGCACAGGTGGCCTGTGCTACTAGAATGTACCCCAGGCTCCGTGAGTGGGTCTCTTGGATGAAGAGAGAAGCTCGCTATCTCTGGCCTCGTCACCTTCCCCAGCCTTATTCCCTGTGGCTGTTATCACACTCCACTGCCTGCTGGGCCAGACCCCTCCCAGCCTCCGCCTCCACTGTTCCCTCCACCTGGACAGCCTTCCCTCCGTATCTGCTTGTCAGAATCTGGAACCCCAACTTCCAGGCTCAGCTCCAATGTTGCTTTTCCAGTGATATGTTCCGAGTCACAGAGACCCTGCTGCCCATGTGGTTTAATTGCCATCTTGGATTTCAAGCAGCCCTTCTCCCAGAACTCATGGCTTGGTCTGCGTTGTGTTTGGTCACCTGCGTACTCGCCCTCCCCACTGTCCCCAAGCACCTCGGGGACAGAGAGAGTCTCAGTCATGGCTGGGTCCCCTTCCCACTGTGCCCAGGCTGGGCTTCCATGGGCGGGTGCCTGATGTACCCTTGCCCTTGGTAAGCCCGGCTGGGGAAGTCCTCTCTAGCCTCCTCCAGAGCACAGCTCAAGTGTTTATTGACTGCTGCAGGGGGCAAGGACTCTGCTACATGCCACGTTTCAGGGATTAAAAAATAACACTGGACTGGAGTTTGAGGGCTAAGCAGATGAGCAGATCTCACTATGAGTAAACCAAGAGTCTCCCCTGATTCCACCCCTGCCGTTGTAGCCTCAGGTCCCAGATTCCAGCAAGGACAGACATGAAATCACACCTGCATGTGCACACAGATGTGTAGGCGCATCTGGGCTTCACTCCTGATGGCTCTGACCTGTAGGCCCCTGGGGCAGGGAGCTGGGGAGGGGGGTAGGGCAGGGCCCTGATCATCGTTAAACAACCATGCGAACACACAGGGTTCCGTCTGGCCTAAACCGCAGGTTGGTGGTGCGGAGGAGGGCAGGCCTGGTGATGCTGAGGGAAGCAGAAATGGCAGCTCCAAGCTCCATTACTTTCTCAACGCTCCCCGATCCTCTTTAGTCTGGTGGTCCACTTTGATTTCTGATCTTCCTCCAGATCTAATTTTTTTCTTAGCTTTTCTCCTAAGTTACATTAAACATGAGGCCTTGTGAAAACTTGACTTCTTGACTTCTCCCCTCAGTTTCTTCTTCAGTGAAATGTGTGGGGCATGGAGAATGAGACAGAAGTGGGGTCTTGGCCCCTGGACCCAGCTGGACACCTCTGCCCGCTTAGGTCATTGAGGAACTAAGCTGTGACATGAGTACGCAAAGAACCTATGCCTGAGCTCTTCTCAAAAATGCCAGGCTGGGAGCCCTCGGCCTCAGGAATGCTGGGTGGGAGAGTGAATCCCACATCCCCCAATTTTGTGGGTGCAGTGAGGGGCTGGAAGGCCACCTGGGCCCCTTCCTAACTGTGTGACCAGGGGCAGGCTTTTCCAGCTTCCAGGTCTCAGGTTCCTCATCTACAAAGCAGAGCTGATGGGGGTTGAAGGAAGTCAATACCAAGTGGTTGGCCTGGCACCTGCCCCATTCTGGGTCCTCTGGTAGGACAGTTCATGATTGTTATTAGCAGTAGGATTATCATTTTACTAATTACACCTTATCTGCTACTGTTAGTAGCTTCCTTACCTAATTTTAAAGATGAGGAGCTTGAGGCTAGAGGGTAAACCTAGACCACTAAAGGGGTATCTCACAGAAGTCAAATTATATTTAAATATCACCAGGGAGCAAGCCTGATACTTTTGCTTTACTGAAATAAATCTTTTGGTAAAATCCCATTTGTAATTCAAATAATCTCAGCTTGGTTTTAGTTTTTTTTTTTTTTTTTTTTTTTTTTTTGAGGCAGGGTCTTGCTGTGGTGCCCAAGCTGGAATGCAGTGGCCATTCAGAGGCACAGTCATAGCTCA
Organism: Homo sapiens; assembly: GCF_000001405.40. Taxonomy (NCBI): domain Eukaryota; kingdom Metazoa; phylum Chordata; class Mammalia; order Primates; family Hominidae; genus Homo; species Homo sapiens. The sequence continues at coordinate 129,917,583 of NC_000010.11, read as the reverse complement.
CTGCAGCCTCAAACTCCTGGCTTCAAGCCTCATGAGGAGCTGGGACTTCAGGTGCACATTATTGTGTCTGGCTTTCTTGTCTTTATTTTAAACTTAGTTGTTTTTTATTTTCCTAGTGGGGTTTTCCTGAAGTAAAAACCTATCATTGTAATAATTAAATGCCGAGGTGGAATATGCATATGATATGTGCCCCACTTTTTTTGTTTTTTTTCCTTGAGACGGAGTCTCGCCCTGTCGCTCAGGCTGGAGTGCAGTGGTGTGAATTTGGCTCACTGCAACTGCGATGTCCCAGGTTCAAGTGGTTCTTCTGCCTCAGCCTTCCAAGTAGCTGGGACTACAGGCGTGTGCCACCACGCCCAGCTAATTTTTGTATTTTTAGTAGAGATGGGGTTTCGCCATGTTGGCCAAGCTGGTCTTTGAACTCCTGACCTCAGGTGATCCACCTGCCTCGGCCTCCCAAGTGCTGGAATTACAGGCGTGAACTGCTGCACCTGGCCTGTGTCCCACTTTTAATACATGACAAGTAACCGGTTTTGTTTATGGGTTTAGTCTTTACAAATCTATTGTACTTATTATTAATGGATCTCTTTTTCTTCTGGGAATTCTAGATTTCTTTTCCTGCTGATGTTTTAGAAACTCAGGCCTGGATGTGGCTTTGGGGGTCACTAGCCCTCATTCCCACCCCTGCAGGAATGCCCTCCTCTGCTATGGCAGGAACTCCTCCCCATTTCCCAGGGAGCACCTTCGTCCTGCTCACTGTGCCTCCCTTGGGCTGTGCTGGCCTCTGTCCCTGGTGTGGCCCATGAGGCTGAGCGTGAGCCGGAGCCCTGAGAGGTCAGGGAATGGCCTCAGCGAAGGGTCCATTATTGGGGGCCCTGGTGGCCAGGCCCTGAGCTTTGCTGGAGATTTGGGGTCACACTCCCTGCATCCAGCCTCTCGCTGGCCCTGCTGGCTCCTGAGCTGTGGAGACCTGGGCCACTGCAACAAGCCTGGCCTTCATGCTCCTCTGAGCCTCCTGGAGTGCCTTCAACTCCACTGCTCTCAAACGCTTCTCTAGGCTGTGCCTAATTTCGGAAACAACACGAGATGCCCCGCACGGATAATCATTCTTGGTGTCGTTTTCTGCACCCGTCCTGAATCCAGTCCACATGCCAGGGCAGATCAGGGGCTGGTCAAGCATTTCCTAGGCATTGTCTCATTTAATTCTTGCTGAGCATGAGGTGGTGGACAGAGAGAGACTGTCATTCCCATTTTGAAGTTGCGGAGCCTGAGGCTCACGAGGAACCGTGGCTTGTCCAGGGTCACAGAGCTGGTGGGCATGTGGTGCACCTGGGCCTGGTGGTCTCACCCCTGCCAGGGAGGCTTTGAGTGCACCCGCCCGTCTCTCCCCCAGGCTCTCACATGCCTGTGTTTTCCAAAGTGGAGATGTGGCTTTTCACTGTTAGAGAGCAGTGAGGGCCGGCCCTGCCCATCCTGTTCCATGATGGCTGGAGGGGCATGTCCCAGGCCCTCTCCTTCCCCCTCGGAGCCCCTGTGGGACCCCATTGAATTTCCTGAGTGTGGCCAGCTCCACGTGAATCATGGTGACAATGCTTTTTCCTTATTCTGCAGAGAAAATTCTGATTTCTCAACTAGAAGCTGGTGGTTTGGGCATGAGGCAGTGCACCCTCCCCGTCTCCCCAGGGGCCATCTCTCCCTGCCACCCGGGAAGGAGCCAGGTTCTCAGAGAGCTGGAGCCACCCCCTCTGCCAGCCCCTTCTCATCTTCATTCAGCTGAGAATTTAGTGCAACCCAAATTTCTAGACAAAACGGAAAAAGCACAAGCCGGCATCGGGCGTGTTCAGGCGGCTGTTGGTGCCATGCGGGAATGTGTTCGTATTTGGATATTTAAATAAAATATTGTGCTCTCCTCCACATGCTTGGCCATCTGTGGGCACAGCTTTCCCGCACTCTCGGCGGCTGTGCTCGCCCAGCATTGATGTCTGGGCTGTCGCTCGTTACAACAAACTTCATGGGACGTCACACCCCGCAAGAATGGGCTCCCCGACTCACTTCGTAGCAACACCCAACTTGTCTTGGCTTTTTTGTGTGTGTGTGTGTGTGTGTGTGTGTGTGTGTGTGCATGTGTGCGCGCATGCATGGGTGAGTGTTTTAAATCATAACTCTTCTGGAGAAAGTGTTTTTGTGTTTACTTTTGAGTAATAGTAACTTTGGGAGTTGAGGTTTCTCACTGCTCCCCCTTTCCTGTCCCAGATGCCAACAAGAGGAACCCCCAGCCATCCTTTGGGGGGTCCTGCTCCGGGCTGGGCCCTGGGTCTTGGGCCCTTGTATTGAAATGAGGCCTCACATCACAGAGCCTTTTGCTGAGTTCCCAGCGCCCCATTGCAGCATCTGAGAACCATTTGTTGTCTAGATAAGTGAATGTCCAGTTTCTTCTCCCTCATCCCTCCCTCTGCCCCAGTGCTGTCCATGAGGCTGAAACTGCCCCAGTGGATGGGCATCCTTGACCTCTTCACACAGTGAGGAGCAGCAAACTCTTGAAGGGCCCAAGGGTTTGCCAAGCACATTTGTGTCTTGGCTCAGGGGCTCTGTCCCACAGCCATGCAAAGCATGTTCTCTTTTCACAGATGCATAGATACAGTCCCTGCCCCTCATGTTCTCTCAGCCTCTGGCCACTGGCTTTCCCAGACTTGATGTGATGCCCTAGGGGACCCTGAGGGTCTTTTATTGCTCACTGAGCCTCCCTTCTCATGACACCCGTTGGGTGCAGGGAGAAGGTGGGGGGCCTGACACCTGGTGAGTAGTGGCCGGGGCAGCTGAAGCCTCTGCAGGAGCCTCCCAGGGTCTCCCATGCAGGTGGCTCTACCATGGCAAAGGTGGAGCATGGGCCCGCCCTGCCCCGTGCTTTCAGATGGACCGGCCGCACAGTGGGTCTTCTGTGCCCGTGGCCCCTGCTGCCCAGGGCTCAGGTGAAGGGGTAGCCTTCTCCTTTCCTACCCTCAGAGGAGGAACCAGCCCCGTTCCAAGCCCTGCATGCCCAGCAGGGGATTCACTTTGTTTTCGGCCATTTTGCTTGCTCTCCTGCCATTCTCACTGCTGGAGTGGCTTCCCCACCCTGCGGTTCCGAGTGGCCAACGGTATTTTCGAAAGCACCTTGCATGCGCCTCTGGGCTCCAGTGAACCAGCCTGTGCCCCACCTTCCCCAGGCCAGTCCTTAGGATGCAGGCCTGGGAGTCTCCCTCTCCCAAGGCTGCCCAGAGCACTGATGCCCAACGCCGTGCCCCTGCCAAGGGAAAATCACAGATGCTCTTTGTCTGAAATGTGCAAGATTGCCCTCCTCAGCCGCCTCGGTCTTCAAAGCTGGATGTGGGTGCAGGGCTGGAGGGAGGTGGGTAGGGGAGAGGTCAGCCCCTCTGCCCGTCATGTCCCCTGGAGTCCTCTTTGGTTCCTGGCCCCAGCCTGGCCTCAGGTCCTTCGAGGAACCCCTCACCCCAACAGATTTTTACATTGGGATCTCATACTTCCAAATTGCATGAGTGGGTTTTGTGAATGGGATGGGTGTTCTTGAACCACCAGGCCTTGCTCTTGCATCCACAGGTAGGACGAGAGACCATGGTCATCCATGCAGAGTTTTCAGGTGGAGTTCCATTCGGATGAGAAGCGAGATGAGTGAATGAAGGATATGGCTGGATACACTCAGCTTAGCTTTTGGGGAAGAGAGTCTGGGATTTAGATGAGAAGATGAGAAGATGGCACCTGGCCTGGCCGAGTCCTGCCTGTGTGCAGGGTTGGCACGGGGCCTTCCATTTGCTCTGAAGGGTGGGTGCCACCCCCTCCCACAGAGGGGGAAACTGAGGCTCACAGCCAGACCCCTGGGCCCCTCACCGGTGGTGATCTAGCATTCGTAGCACCTCCCAGGTTTCTCCTCTGGCTTGTATCTTGTTATTTATTTTTTACAAGGAATACATTTCAGGGAACCATAGCTCTGGGGGTGCTCGAGGTTGCAGCCTCAGGACCGTCAGGCTGGGCTTGGAGGAGGCGGCTCTGCCGGCCGTTCCCCGGAAAATACAGGCCATTCATCATACTGCTCAGGCCCACATATGGTTTCAGCAATAAACTATCCATGTTTATTCATCCAAGAAAAGAAGAGGATGCTGCTGGAGTTGCATGCTCCTGCCAGTCCATCAGCTCTGTGAGTGCAGAAAGTCCCTCATTTAGGGACCTCTGGAGCAAGCCTTGGGCCCTGCCCAGTGCATGCAACTGTGTGGGGGCCACCAGGAGAAAATGTGTGCAAGTGTTAAAGGCACACAGAGTCACCGGAGATGGTAATGACAATGTTTTGTTATCTTTATGCTGTTTTCTTTGCATGCTTGTTAAAACGTGGAGTCAGAGTGTCTGAGACGGACCCTAACAAGGCCCTTCTAATCAGGCCCGGAATGCTTCTGTCAGGCAAGAGAAAAATGCCTAGCTCGAACAAAGCTGCGTTTTCCCTCCAAGAAACACATTTGTTTAAAGATCGGGCTGTCAATTTGTGAATCAACATTTCGGTTTTTTGCTCAGACACCAGAGTTGTGCTGCTCTTCCCCCAAGAAGGGGGAATGATACAAAGCTGCTATTTGTTGTTGGAAGGAAGTAAACTTCATCAGGTCGACTTAGATGTGTTTCAAATGTCACTCAGTACTGCTTTCTTGTAATGAAACGCTGCATACAGATTTCTTCCTGAGGCTCAGGGGGATTAGACCCAGTAAAAGAAGAATTCAGTCTTCCTTGCTGTGGCGCATCAGAGTGAGAAGTTTAAAATCCACAATTTATTCAAATATTGATATTTCTACTTGTCAGAAGAGAGGGGCCTTGAAATTTCCACTGAGCACTGTTGTCAGAAGAATTGCAAGAAATGTGTCAGATAATTCATAAACGGAGTTCACTACTGTGAAATCAGTTGGGAACAGGGAAAAAATATATTCTTGTCGATGTAGAATAGGGGCAATATAACAGAAAATAGCACTCACTTTGCCATCATGTCAAGCAAATGCTCAATTTGGGCCAGGTATTTTTTTAAACAGCCTGCTGCTCCTAGAGAAGCCGAGAATGCATGAAAAATGTTTTGAGTTCTGCTTTGTAGACAAGAGATCTGTTTGTTGTTTTTTCCCCTCTGAGACCTCTATTTCCCATCCTGCAGGAGCCAATCAGGAGGCAGCTGCTGGAGGCCTTGGTGAGCAGGCAGCTCTGCATATGGTTTGCATTAAGGCCTTAAAAAGCTGTGAAGCGCCTGGTAAGGATGTAAAGGCCCGGTGTAAATTCCACACTGTTGATAGTGGGGAGAGGAGCCGCAGGGCCCTTCCTAGGGTTCCGGGGTCCAGCTTGCCTCTCCCTCTACCTTGGAGGCCAGGAGTGGAGGGCGATATTCCATGCGCAGGAAAGAGCCAGTTTAGGTGAAATTCTTGGTGCGCGAGGACCTCCCCCAACTTTTGTACTTGGTGGTGGGGCAGTTGCTCCTGTGGGTCCTAGCGGGAGCCCTCTTCATTCAGTGGCATTCCTTCACGGGGAGTCCCACGCAGGTGGACGTGCACACCCGGGCGTTGAGTTTGTGTGCACATCTGACTGAGGTCACGTGTTCTTGCTGGGCCGTGCGTTGCTCTGGGGAGGAAGCAGCCATGCATTTCCTCCATGAGGCCTCGCGGAGACCCCTTTGCCCACTCTAGTTGTTCCTTTGTTGGCAAAGCTCCCTTCGGCTGCCGAACCGGCCTCCCTGTGGGTGAGAGGGCACTTGGGAGTCCACCTGGGCTTGGGCTTCCCAGCTTGGAGTAGGAGTGAGGGGTCACCATTTCCCCCATATCAACTATGAGATCTCATTCATGCTGTTTTCCATAGCAGTGCTTTGGCATACACGGTTCTGAATGACAGGTCGGCTAACTGTCCCTGCCCCGTGAGCCCAGCAGCAGCCCCCAGCCCCTCCTCACCCCTCTTCCCATCCCGTGCCCACCAAGGAGGCTGGAGCAGCTGAGGCAGGTGGATGCCTTTTCTTGGCGGCCTTTTGGACACTATTCCAAGCTTCAGGGGCCTGGGTGGGGATGGGGGTTTCTGAAATGGGATGGAAGAGGGAAGTGATTGGAGAATGGATAGGGGAGGGCGAATGGGGCAGAGCAGAGGGAGGTGGAGCAGGAGTGAGAGAGGAGCCAGGACAGGGTCTAGAGAGAAAGGGCCTGTTGGGTAAACTGAGGACGGTCCTCTAAGCCAAGGCTTGGGCTGTGGCTCTGCAATGCTTCTATCCAGCTGGCTGTGGGATGAGAAGGCCTGTGGGTCTCTGCACCTGTCAGGCCAGGAGAAGTATCCCTGTGACCTTACCCTGTGCTCCGGGACCATGGCTCCTGGTCTGGCCCTGGCCCACCCGTGGGCTGGAGGTCCCTCACAGCTGTGGGGCTTGGTCACTGCCATGTGCCGTGTGGGGGCAGAGGCATGCTTTGCTCTGTTATAAAGGAATGACCCCGTTCTCCATGGGCCCTGCAGTTACCTGGAAGGCAGGTGTGGGGGTTTGGAGTGGGCAGTGGGCGGTGGTACCCATCATGATGTGCTGGTGGTTGGTGCTGGATCCGGAGCCTCCGCGCTGAGCTCTGTGTGGGTAAATCGTTTCATTAGCAGCTTCGGCCATGGCCCTGCTGGCACCTGTGCCCCAGGAGTGGATATGCCAGGCTGTGGCAGCAGTAAAGCTGCTTGGAACCCTCCCCTTGGACCACGTGACCATGCAGAGGCCAGGTTTGCGGACAGAAACTGCTGCTGAACAGGGAGGCTGGGGGTCTAGGAAGGATTTTAGGGTGCTGTCTCAGTGTGGGCTAGAGCGTGCTGAAGGTCTGTGCCCTGGACAACTTTGTAACTTTAATTTTTAATCCTATACCTGGGGCTCTGGGGGAGGTGATGGGGAAAAGAAGGGGGGACCCACAGCAGGGAGCGTAGGAGCTGGGTGGACAATCCGTACACCTGGCATCTCGGATAAGAAAAATAGGGACTTGAATTGATGTATTGAGATATTTTTCATGGAGATTTGGTGTATATCTGCCAAACTGTGGTGGGGGATGGCTCTTCGGACCCTTCCAATTTGGATTTTAGGATCATCAGTGTAGTTACTTCTGACTTGGTTTGTGAATATATATACAGGTATATTTGTATGTATTTGTGTGTGTGTGTGCATACACATAGCTGTTTCTTGGTTTTTAATTTTGTAAGTGTTAGGGTTGGGCAGGGAAGGAGAAGCAGTCTCTTTTGTTAAAGACAACAGATGCGGTTAACTCTTCTTTCAGGCCCCGTACTGGCCAAGGGACTTGAGTATGTGTACAGTCTGTGCTTACAGGACACATGTCAAGTAATTGAAGGCTCCGATTCCCTTCACAGAGGGGACTCAGGCCTCATTTGGGCAGAGCTCTGGGGTGTCTGCCCCACATGGCCCCTGGCCCGGCGGTCCGAGTGGGCTCCAGCCCCGGGCGGGCTCGTTAGCGCGGCACTGCTGACGGCCTCCACGCCTGCCTGCAGTGCCAGCCTCCTCTCCACGCGTTGCTTACTGTCTGCTGGTGTCGGCGGATCTGTCATCGGCGCTGAGCAGAGCCCGAGCCCCTGACAGTGAGGAGGTAAACGCTCCCTGCCTGAATCCCCCATTAACTTTGTGAGGCGTATTGATTTCTTGTAAAAATAATGATATTGACAGGCCTTCCAGGAGTAATTGTTTCCAGAGCGCAGAGGTCAGAGCGGCGAGGAAAGGGTTGGGAGAAGGGCTCTTAGAGTCTGTGAGCCCAGGGGTGGGCGCTGCTGTTCTGGGGGGACCCCAGGGCCTTGGCGGCTGACGGTGTGCCACAGAGGGTCCCTGGCCAGCATGGGGGTTCGCAGGCTTGGATGGGGTACAAGCAGGCACCCAGCATGCACAGTGCTGCCCGGACACCAGCCTCACTGGGCCACCTTCCCAGGTATGTTTTCCAGGCTTGACTTCCAGAGTTTGTCACAGTTGCTCTCAGGCTGATTTTTAAGGCTTAGCTGCTGCTCCAAAGATGGCAGCCCAGGCCAGGTGAGTGAGAACCCATGACCTCCCTCTGAGAGCCAGGGTGACCAAACGTGTGCCCTGTCCAGTGGCTGCTGTTCCGAGGGAGTGTCACCTCCCAGGGCCATCTACTTTTCCAGCAGCATAACTGGAGGCCAGAGAGGTTGTGAACAAAGTTGCTTTCAAGAGTCTGTAGTGTCTGCACAGGAAGGGCGTCCAGGAAGGAGCTGCTGGTGTGAATTGCCTGTGGTTTGGTGGGAGGCTGGGGATCCCCGTGTTCATGGCCATGGGATTTGCTTTCTTGCAAGAGAGACCCATGCAGAGGGCCTATCCCTCCATGTCTGGCCTCTTCCATCCAGGGCAGCCATGGGGAGATCATGGGTTCTGGGCAGTGGCATTTCCTAGTCATGGGGAAGTTAAAGGATAAAAGAGCCACCCTCTGGGAAGAGTAATCCCAGTCCATTCACTTTCAAGTTCCAAATGCCAGCCAAGGGGCAGAGTAACTTCTAATTCAGAAGGAAAGCCTTCAGCAGCTGTGCTTAAAATCAGAGTGGGCAGGTAAAGTCCACATTGTTAACTCTGACTACGGTTTGCTTATTAAAAGAATACTTTTAGTATATCTTTAAGAAGCAGAGTTACTTAAAGAGGCAGTTGCATTGTGTTTAGAATTTGCAAAGAGTCGACTTATGGGCCATACTTATTGGTGTAAACTGGATCACTCGCATCCTAAAAAAATGGTGGCCTTGCACCTCTCGATGTTTGTTCCAGGCCAGACAGTGGAAAGGAGGCGGAAATTGAACTCAGACAGGCAGCCACATGTGTGCATAGCTGGCCTGTGTCCATGATGTCTCCTCTATGCTTCCCCCAAACAAGGGAAATCCGATCAACGCCACTAACGAACTGCAACGCGGCTTATCAATTAGCTGGGCCAGCGGCGGTGGCTGCGCCGACACTGGCTTTGTCTGAGTTTTCTTGGAGGAGTTGGTTTGTGTCACTCAAGGAAGCCACCCTATTCAGGTATATCCCGTCTCCTCTAGCCCGTGTCCCCTTCCAGCGCTATTTGGAATGAGATTTGTATTCGCCCTAATCCAATAACCATTGCCCAGGACGGCCCATGTAGTTCTGCTGGGAAATGGTGTCCAGGCTTGTAGCAACATCTAATGGGTATTTAGGTGCAAACTAGCTGTGAAGTGTTAAATATTTACATGCGGAATGCCAATAGTAATTGTCCACTTTATCTGAGCTAGCCTAGGGAAATGTCTTATTTGTTTCCACGTTACTTCAATAAACAGAAAGCTGGAAAATCCTCCCGCTATTTCTTGGGGGCTTAGAATTAATAAAGCCAGGCGGTATAAAATATGTGCTTTGGGTTTTTGAATGATCACTTCTGCACCAGGTCATATAATATGGCTTTAACTCCATGTGGCCTGTCTATTAAGCAAGACGGGATGAGCCTCACAAATAATAAAAAATATTTATGCTTTTCTTAGTGATACTAACAAGGTAACATATCAGAGGAGAAATGGCAGGAGAAGAATGAGGTAGCTGTGTCTTATGGATCCATGGCTCAGTGGGGTCCCGGCCAGCTCCCATAAACACCCTAGGATTCTCTGTTCAGTGCTGCTATTATTCCACAAATTGTATTTTTTGCTTTTTGTTTGTGATATCTGAAGTGTCATAAATGCCTCCGTCTCATCTATATTTGATAGTTAATATTAGTCTCAACCAGGAGAGTGCACTTTACATGCGACAACGTACGATTACCTGAGAGTGTTATTGCAAAGGAAAAAATCAATACCAATTTATAATTCACGATCGCAGTCTATCAGTTTTTATGGCTCTCTATCCAGTCTCATTAATTTTTTATTATGATTGACTGAAACTGAAAGATTTTTAACATGTTTCGCTGTTATTTATTCAACCTTAATAATTAAATAAACCTTAATTGGCTGTATTTCGAGGCATCTTGGTGCTGCGGCCAGGAAGGGTTGGGGTGACTATCCATTATTAATGCCACAGCACCTCACATTTCCTTCTGAGGCAGCTCTGGGAAAGGATCCACCACGTACCATCACCAGAGTGAGAGAAATAGATTTTGTCGTCACCTAATCAAATTCTGTTTAAGAGGAGACCATTTGTTTTAATTCAAAATATAAATTATCAATAGCATCTCAAGAAACCTAATAAAATATTCCTGGAGCATTCCAAGTCAGTGCAGGATACCTGTGCAAAACTTTGATCAGCAGTGAATATCTTGATTAATGAGGCCAAGGGGCCTTTGGCGTGGAGAGCTGCAAACAGGGGCGCCCTCGCCCAGGGTCTCCCGATTGGTGGTTAACGGGTCCCTTTGAAAGGTGATTGACAGATGGAAAATTGCACTTTCAAATTTCATCCGTATTCATTTCAGTTGTTCTTCTACATGTCAGCCGCTTCCCCCTTCTCTGGCAGGCCGAGGCTGTATACATTAGCTGTTTCCACAGTGAAAAAAGAAGGGAGACAATCCTGTGTTTGAGCACTCTGAAGGAAAATCAATCATGTCATAAGTGAGAAGTATGGAGAAGTTTGAACTGTGGCAACTTTCATCATTTCATTTCTGGCCATGCTGGTGGGTTTTCGAGTGTGCAGGGCTGCGGAGAGGCAACCCCAGCTGGTGGGAGAGAATAAGGAGTATAATAGAGTTGGGCTAAAAGGGAAATTTTTTTTTTCCCTGGTACTTGTCAAGTAAGTTTCTTGTGGTATTGCACAGAGGAACATGAAACCCTAAGATTATATACACTGGACATTTTGACAGAATCGAAAAAAAAAGCTTCTATTGACTATGACAGGGATACACCAACCCTTCTCAATCAAACAATTGAGGTTTAGCCTGACGTTTTTTTCAAGTTTTTGTTTTCACAGAACTCTCTGATCTTAGAAACAGCCAACTGTAGGCATTTCTAGAAATAAGCCTATTGTTAAGGCCACTTCAGAACTAAGCAGAAGCGTCCTCTGGTCCCATAGGGACTGTCCTCTCCCTAGACTCACAGGAGGGTGTGACAGCACCCAGAAGAGGGCCCGTTCCACCTGAGGGTCCAAACAGAGCCCCCTGCCAGTGCAGAGAGGGGTTAAGAGGGCTCCTGTACAGGGCGCGGAAATTCAAAGTTAGAGGAATCTGCAGCAGTTTAATGGGATCTATACATAGTACTGAACAGGGGCATCATTTTATATTGGCAATGCTGTGAAAACTGTGGGAGACGAACATGTTGCAATTTCACAATCTTGTTCTTAATATTATTGAAAGAGAGCTCTTCTTGGCAGTAATAAATTTAACACAAAAATCAAATACAAAACAAATTTATTCTTCCAGAGCTGATGCCCCAGTCATTTCTTTCTTGTCTTGCATTAAGCTTTGAAATCAACTGTCACTCCCTATCGATTGCATCTGAATTGTTATCTATATTTCTCAAAAGCGCTCTTGACAGTTAATACAGTGTAAATTATAATCTGGGGAAATGCTGCTTGTATTTGCCAGCAAATTGCTTAGATTCTGAGTAAGGCTGCTTTTATTCACCATTCTTTTCTTGTGGCCATCTATTCTAGTAAGGATCATTCAGGCCAAATTATTCTAAATTTACACTCGGCTAGTATGTAAATCATATTGTGGAAATCACTTTTGGAATCGCTGTAGAATGTGAAGCAGTGTTTGAGTGCCTGAGCGTTGCATTAATGAAACAAATGTCACCTCGGGGGCCCAACCCACGAGGGCAGCCTCCAGCGGGGAGGTTGCCATGCAGGGTGGAGGCGAGTTCAATTCCAGGGTTCCCAGGACCTGCAACGGTTGGGAAGCCCTTCCCTTCCCCGCCACCGTCCTGGAGAGGCTGATGCTGCGGTTCTCGCTGAGCTGTGTGGCCTCCCAGAGGCTGCCATCCTCTAGAGATGGTGTGTGAGGGCCTGGGAGGATCCTCCATCCCTACTTCTTCATGGAGTGGGGAGGCCAGGTAGGGTCAGTCCTTGGAGAGACCCAGCCTGCTCCCTAGACCAGTGGTGGCCAGTGAACAGTGTGCAAACCACACATGAAAGCCACCTAAAATTTTGACTATTAAATTTTTCAAGTAACCACACTAACAAAGTAAAAAGAGATAATATTTTTATAATATAAAATATAAGAAAGAATTTTTTCCTTCATATAGCCAAAAGATTATTATTTCAATACGTAGTCAATATAAAATTGCTGACATATTTTAAATTTTATCTTGTTCACTAAGTTTGGGAATCTGGTGTATTGGACACAAACAGCACATCTCCATGAGGACCGGCCCCTACCACATGCCTAGTTGCCACCTGTGGCTTGTGGCCACCATGTTGCACAGTGCACCCTGGAGCCCTTCTGGTGCCATCAAGGTCAGGACAGAGCTACACTTTCCCTGGAGTCTCCAGCCCCAAGTTGATGGAAAGACAAGGGCAGGGAAGAGCTGAGGGTGGAGCCCTGGGGTCCAGAGTCACCTCACCCTAGAGGGCACATCTCTAGTGGGACGAACTCATCCCTGAAAGGCGCAGCCTTGCCCTTTCTGGTTATCTCATGGACATGGTGGCAGAACCCTCACCTTATGGACAAATTTGACTTTGCTTCAGAAATGTCTCGTGATTATAATTTTGTGTCTGTTTCCTACTCCATGAAAATTTGCAGTTGCAATATAGGGAGCTATTTAAGGAGTTGCTTCTGTTCGTTTAGGAGTAACTAATTATCCATTCATTTATTCATTCAAGAAATATTTATTCAAAATCTAATTTGAGTTGAGGTGATTAAAATATTCCTGCTCTAAAGGGTGGATGGATGGATGGATGGATAGAGAGATCTATATAAATCTTATGTCTGTGTCTATATATTTGTATTATATAGTTCTATCCATAGATGTCTGTCTCCATCCATCCATCCATCCATCCATCCATCCATTTGTCCATCCAGCCATCCGTCTATCCATCCATCCATTTGTCCATCCATCCATCCATCCGTTCATCCATCCATTTATCCATGCATCCTCTGTTCATCTATCCATATGTGCACTTGTCTATCCATTCATTCATCCATCCATCTGCCCATCTATCTTCCATTTGTCTGTCCATCCATCCATTTATCCATCCATCCATCTGTCCATTTAATCATCTGTCTGTCCATCCATCCATCTCCATATTCATAGCCCTGTATCCCTTAATATGTTTGGCAGGAGGTGGGAGAAACAAATGATTATAATACAGGAGAATAATGTGTTGGGGAATGATGACTCTGGGGTGATGCTGTAGCAAGCTAACAGTTGTTGCTAAATATACCAAGTGTCATTGTCACCAGTTAAGACCTAACCAAGGGGTAGTGCAGGAACCCTGGAGGCTTTGGGGTCCTGGCTATGAAGATGAAGGGTCTGCACACCCTCAGAGATGAGTTGGGGATGGGCATTCTAGGTGGAAGGGCATGAATTCCAAAGTAGGAAAAAAGGAAACTGCCTGAATATCTTCCACCAACTATGTTATCCTGAACCAGCTGAAGGAAACTTGGGTCATGGTCTTCAGTCATGTGACCCCCTCTTCTGAGAGTGGCAGCAACTTTTCCAGGGAGCCCTTTGGAATCGTGTATAGGGTTTTGAGGACAGAAAGAACAGATGGGAAGGAGAGGGGACTTCACTGGCTGATCATTCTGCCTCCATTTGTCAACTTTAGGATTGAATTCTATCTGAGACTCCTCTCCCGGCAGTAAAATGCTGTGATTCCTATGATGACTTTGCAGCAATTAAAATTCCACCAAATGACTGCCTGGGGTCATGGACTCCCCATGACAGCAAGAAAGTGCCTCTCAGAGCACCTTTGGGAGCAAGGATTTTACTCTCATCAAAAATCACATCTTCCTCCAGGCCCAATATGTCCCCACTCCTGATTCTGTGGATCTTTATCCACGAGAAGGACCATTAGGAAATGTCTCAACAAATATTTGTAAAACAATGCACCAGTATCTCTCTAATACATTTCCTCATCGAATAGGTTTAGTACTTGACAATTTGACATTGTTTAATGGGATGTAATCTGAACTTTGTAAGGGTGTGATGCTATCTTTGTAATCTCTTTCTTCATAAATTTAGCACTGAGCACAGGTGCTTATGGAATGCTACATGGGTAAAAAGAGCAGGTAGAATAAGATAACCACAGCTACTAAATGCAGACACTTTGGGTCATTCCTTACAAGGGAAGCCCAGTCCAAGGATTTCTATGCCCAAGGGCCTTCCAAACATCTCTTATAAAGAAAATAATATTACTTTGGAAATTGGCCTTATGGTTTTGATATCCACTTTGCATAAAATATTAGACTGAACCGTATATACTGAACCAGTACATGCTCAAAACCAGCAGCTTCACCTGGTTCCATCTAATACTAGTGGAATGGAACTTCAGTTGGAGGCTAAAAACTAAGATGTCAAGAAAAAGGTGAAACGTGTGTATGACTTTCATCGAAGCCACAGAATTGCGTTGTGTTCTCTTTGTTGTGTTGCTTCTGTGTCTTGTAGGCGTTTTCATTCCAAATCCTGGAAGGCAGTGGTGGTGAGTTCATGGAGAATCACTTGTGAATCTTAAATACTTCTGGAATCCTGAGAGAGGCCGCCGTCTCTTGGATGTGAATTGGCATTTACCAGGCTGGGTAGGCCCAGGGGCAGGGTGGGCGGAAGCTGGCTCAGAGCACCTGGGCTCCTTCTGTCTTGCCCTGCCAGGCACCCCTTTCCACACGAGTCCTTGCTGTACTGAAATCCTGTGTGTCTTGTTTTGTTTTAATGCATTACTGACCCCGGGTCTCGGGTTATGGGAGTTCTTTTCGTACAGTTAGTTACACGCTCATAAAGAGTCTCACAAAGATGCTGTAACAAGCTAACAGTTGTTGCTCAATATACCAAGTGTCATTGTCACCAGGTAAGACCTGACAGTGGCAGAGAGAAGAAAGGTGGTTACTGAAAAACGCAAAACACTGGGCCTGCCCATTGGGTTGTCTGTTCTGGGACTTTCTGCTGGGTTTTATGGTGAACCATCTTGATGGCTGTTACAGCTCCATTGTGACCGGTCCCATATGGATGTGCCTCCCAGATAGCGTGCCATGCTTCTGAACCCCAGTGGCCATGGATTGGAAATGGAAAGACGCCCGTGCACCCAGCACCCCAGGTCACACACCAGCCTTGAAGAAGATGGGCTCACAACTCTCGTTAAAGTGTTCATGGGGTCCATTGGTTTCCTTGCCGTGGAGTTAGGTGGACCACTTCACCCCAAAGCTGGAGAAAGTAGATGAGGCATTGAAACATAGTAAAAAAAAAAAAAAAAATGTCTGGAAGTTCCTTGTGTTTCCCCAGCTAACTAGTTGTGGAGGACAACTAACTAGCTGCGTTGTGGTGGGGAACTAAGTGTGGCGCTAGATGAAGTAAACTCACTTCTAATTCCCCGAAAACTTCCCCAGTTGCAGAAGTTAACATGTTGCTCCCCTAGTAGGCACAGGCTGTAGATTTTGTATTAAAAGCATCACCTCAGCTAATAGGAAGCAGAGTTTGCATTTATTTATCATGGGGAAAGGTTTTACAGGTAGACGCTGTAAAGACAATTTGGGAATGTTCGTTAGCTGGAAAGCTGCGGATTCCGCCGGATTGTGATTTTCCATCTGGCCACACAGGTTGGGAAGCTGCAGTTGGGTGTGAGCTCTGCTGTCAGTCAAGGGTCCCCAACTGTGCGTTGCAGCCCTCGCCACGAGGCCCACCCCAACTCATTAAACCAGAGCAAACTGTACCGAGGGCGCCGCTGTGCGATTTTAATATTTGGTGCATGTGACAGGATCATTTTAGTGATTTGCAGGATTTATCTCCTCTTAAAAGTACTGCCTAAGGCTACTCTAATTGGTAGGAAAGCAAATTCCCTCTTCTCCTCCTGTCAGTCTTTGTTTTATTTACTGAGAACTGCCGAAACCTATTTACACAATAATGAGGATAAATCACCGGGATGCTTTCAACACAAAGAGAAATGTGGTGTGAGTTGAAAGCTGTACAATTAAAACAAAATTCCAGATATTCCTGAAGTGGTGTGTGCAGTTAGGGAGAGCAAAATAAAATTAAGACAAATGGTAGGATCGCACCCTGGACCAGCTCTGGAAGCTAATCAGGATCAGAATTCTGGAGATATTTTATGATGGGCAATTTCACTAGAAATGGCAATGAAGTAAGTGCCTGTGAGTTACCATCAATATTTGTAATAAAAATAAACAATCATGCATTCCTCTGGCCTGCAAATAAACAGGGTAAGTTTAGGCGTCATAATTATGACATTGCCAGAGTGGTGGTAAGTCATGTGGAGATGTCAGCTGAGCACTGGCAGCCTCTGGCTTCTTCCCAGCTAAGAGGGCCACAGCCACTTGGATGAGACACTCCAGATGTACTTGACTGTCTGACCTGGAAGGACCCACTTAGATGTCAAGAGCATCCTACAGTTGAGAATGGTTCTTATCAGAGGGCGTGCCAGAAAAAGACTTACCAGCCCAAAGAATTATGCATGGAACCTGCCTTTGAACTTGGCTCTGATGGGTGTTGGGTAATACCTGGTTTTATTGGCTCCCAAGTCCCTGAACTTGGCTCTATGGGTGTTGGGTGATGTGTGCTTTCAATGGCTCCCAAGACCTTTGGGTTTGCACTGGGACCTTCATGAACTCAGTCACCCTGCTCTGAGGTGCCCTCCCATGGAAGTCTACCCAGGTTGCCTGTGGCTGATGGGTGTCAAAGGCTGTGACGGAAAAAGCCAAGAAATCTGTATGCAGAAGTTCAGGAGCACCCCCGCTACGGTGCTCCTCATGAGTGCTCTCACAGGCAAAGCCTGGCTACAGCACCATCAATGTTGGGGGCTGTTTAGGAAACAAGATCTCTCATGAAAGAGGTTCAAGTTAAATTTCCTCAAAGTGAGGAGAACTGGAGGCCCTTTGGCATCAGGCAGTGAGTCCAGGAGGTCAGGGCACTGGGGGTTGCCCAGGAGGACCTTGGGCCGGTGCTGGCCAGGCCTCCTCTGTCCCTGGAGGCTGCACCAGATGTCCCCCAGGACCTTGCTGGTGCTGACCGCTGGGGAATCTGTGGCTTCTGTGTCCTTCCTCCCCTCCCCGTGTGCCTCTCTCCAGCCCCCTCCTACCCCCCATCCTTGCTCTTAGGTTATAAAACGGTCTTTCTGCGTTTCTCTTTGCATCCTGACAGCTTAGGTGATGGCTGCTCAGTTATCCTGGAAAAAAATAATTCACATAAGCAGATTTTAGCACATTTACCAGGTCTTTTAACTTCATCTGACACTGTTTGGATGGAAGATGAGAGAAGGATATTTTTGTATCCCAGGGGAGTTACTTTATGATGACTCTTTCAAGGTGAATATTGGCATTTATTTAGCCTGAGCAGAAAATAAAGAAGAGCACATAGGAGCATGAACATGGAAACACCGGAGTCAGCAAAGAGTATTTTATTTTGTTGCTTTGAATTGCTATCTCTCAAACACAGCTAAATCTAAGTTAATTTAAAGTTTCTCTTGAGGAATTCATATCAAATTAAAGTGTTCTTCTGCAGCAACGACAAGAGCAGGGAACACATCTGAATTTCCTCCAAATGATGGTCTATTTTTACAGCCTCATAAGATTTGCCTTTGTGGACCTTATTCCACTATCTTGGAGAGAAAATTAATTTAACTAATGACAGCTCAGACTAAAACATCAATCAAGAGGAGAGAGAAGCATCCTGGCTATCAGCGAAGAGGAGAATGTAGATGCAGGGCCGGGTTCCAGCATAGGAACTTGTCACCTGGACTTTCTTGGCTTTTTTTTCACGCACGGTGCTGGCGTCCTTTCCGGTTCTGCGAGTGTGGCCCCTGGTGTGTCCTCACCTGTGGAGGAGTTCAACCCTGCTGCCATTCCCCGGCCTGGCCTTCCCTCCGGCTGGATCTGGCCATTTCAAAGAGCAACTGGGACATGTCCGTTTCTCCTCCTGGGCTTCCCTCGCACAGCAAGTCGGGAAGGCTGTATTTATTTACATTTTAGCCACATGGCTGGCTGTTGTTTTGGCCTGTTTGAAATGACCCAGGCTGGTCCAGGGCGCCGGCCTCTGCCTCACCGTCCTCCGGCACAGTCCATGGTGAGGCGGGGCCTGGAGGAGAACAACTTCCTTATGTTCCTCACCATCCGACACACATAATGGGGCTTTGTGGCACTCTGCTGGCATCAAGAAATGCCAGCGGATTGTTTAGAAAATTTAAGACGTTTTCATTGGCAGTTAACCACGCTGCTTTTGATTCCATGGTGCCGTCACCTTATTGATGTCGACTCCGATTTATGAATGATGAAGTGGAGGACATTCGCTATCAGAAGCTCACAATGTAGCTCTTAATAAAAGATTAAACGAGGAAGAGAAGGCAGCGCGGATTTCTGACACTCTGCTGATAAGCAGCTCCGATTCAAGGCTGCGCGGAGGCAGGAGGAGACAGTGACAGATGCTGAACGGGAGCCGGCGCACACATGTTGCTGCCGCGCTCCGACGTGTAGCCGTGTGGAAAATCTGTCTCGAGAACTTTTTACAGATCAGACACCAAAAACGTCTTCTCCTTACTCGAGGCTGCACGTTATCCGAGGATGCAAAATTAATAGCCGTGCAGAGGGGACGCCGGCCGCGGGCCGGGCAGCCTTGCTGCGGGAGGCGCAGCGGGGCCTGGGCGCGGGAGGAGGGGCAGCGGCGAGCTGTCACTTTGAGAAATGAGGGGTCTAAGAGGCTGGGACCAGCTTGGCAGATGTGCAAGAGGAACGGGGAGCATATTGATCAATTAAATATGCAAATACCTCAGCAAGTAAAGACAGAGATAAATAAACTGACAGAAACATCAAACTGCACATTAATGATTCCATGAAGTGCCCATCCCAACAGTTTAGTTTTAAATAAATGCTACTTTACCAAAGTCAGTTTATAATGTGGTTAATGACTGGAGTGGGGCGACGGATGCAAACCGTGCTTGTGAGCCATGGTGCCATCCTTCTGGGTTGGGGTGGGGGGCGGTCCCCAGAACAAGGAGAGGAATTCAGGTTTCCCTATAACAATAGCCCACCGATATCCCATTGTTGCTGACTTTTTCAGGCTGTTTCTATATCATTTCCTTTCTCAGCCGCCCCAAAGAAAGCCTGATTGTTTCCACCCAGACTTTGCCTGCAGTCTCCTGCCCATGGGTGAACCCCGTAAACCCGGGACCCCGTATTAGATTTCACTCCTGCACTGCAGACCCAGCCGGGCAGGATGGGTACCTTTTGTCCATGACTTTTACTCTGTGAAAGGCACCTAATTATGACTTTGCTCTTCAGACTAATGAAATTATCGTCTTGTTCTCTTGCTTCTGTACTGTTGTCAAGACTTTGAAACATGATCGTTTAATTACTGACACCTACTGTAGCTCATTTTATGCATGCAGAGCTAGAAAATGCTTGTCTCTGGGAGCCCAACAGGAGCGCTGAGCTCTGCCCTTTTGGCTGCATGTGCAAAGTCCTCTTTTCATATGAAAATTTAATACAGCAACGGGTCAGCTCGGGCTCTCTTCTGTTGAGCAGCCCCAGCTTTAGGCATTTATAACAGAATTATTTGAAATTCCTCACCAGGAAAAGGGCAGAAATTGCAGCATTTGGAGGATGCTGGAACAAAACCCCAACAAAGTTCAATGATATCTGCCTCTGGCCGCCATGTACTCGCATACCCACAAGTGGCCCCGTCACGATAAATGTAGGAAAGTAAGATGTCATTTCAAGAAACTGGGGAAAATATTCAGGCTTTGACATTTGGGCTGTTTTTCCACTCTGATAACATCAAAACTTGTACTTCTTGATAATAAATAGGAGAATGTCAGCTGTCCGTCAGGGCTCTGAGGCAGGCACAGTGGGCAGGCTCGGAGACAATGGGCGCCCTCGAGAACCTTCCCGGGCTTCGCCTCTCGGATAAAAGGGTCGTGTGCTGGGTTTCCTCTGTATTTTCCCAGGAAGTTCCTGCATAGGTGTTGCCTCTGTTTGTTAGGTCTGCCTGGCCCCCCTTGATTTAGGGGGAGCCAGTCTGCAGGGGAGGGTGGATGGGAGAAGAGGCCATGCACCTCAGGGTTTTGCAGCACCGCCTTCCAGATGGGTGGCACCGCTGGGCTCTGCTCTGGTTCCACAAAGGTCCTGGGGCCACTGGTGTACCCCCAAGAACTCACCCACACAGCCATGGGCCTCATCTCCTTTCAACCCTCCTAGGTCCCTGCAGGAAAGTGGGGCCCAAGTGGACTAGAGGTGTCCCCAGGAACTTGGACAGGAAGAGCAGAACCCCTTCCTGGCTGCGTGGAGGGCCCGTGTACACCGCGAGTGTGTCTGTGACCACAGTGCTCATCCCAGGACCCCGAAAGGAGACCGGCTTTGTCTTCCTGTCTCCCAGCTCCAACTGCCCGTCTAGGCCCATCTCTGCTCAGGTTGCCTGCAGTGAGATGGCCATGGCTGGCAATCAGGCTGGCGGTGCCTGTCCTCGATGCTTGATTAGTCAGATTGATGGAAGAGGCCATATGTGGCCATGTCAAAACTTGGCTACAAGGCTCTTTCCCTCTCTATGAAGGACAGGCAATAAAGAGGAGGCCTGGGGTGGCGGCGTGGGCAGGCTTCTCTCTCGGTTTGAGCCTCTGCTCAGTATTTAATGGTCGACTCCCCTGCCAAGTTCACGCAGGGCGAAAGGTGGCTACGGGCTGGGCGTGTCACCAGCTCTCAGGAGTTGGAGCTACAGGGGGCTTTGGGAAGAGATGGCATTTTTCTCATTCTCTGAGACAACAAAAGGGAATGCTTAAGGAGGAGAGCAGCGGGAGGAGCAGGGAAGACAAAGGCACCGGCGAGGTCAGCGGAGCTCAAGGGCTGCACGGTGCACCGCCTCCGGGAGGCTCGCCAGGAGGCCGCGCCCCAGCACGTCCTGCAAACTCCAGCCCCCCACTCGCTGTGCAGGGACAGGGGCAGCCCCCAAGGGCCTGTCGCACCCCCACACCCGGCCCACGCCGGCCCCCGCCCCGTCCAGCCAGCTGCTCGGAGGGGCCAGGAATGGCGGGCGACGCCAGGCCAGGGTGGCTGACGGTGGCCGCGTGGCCGGGAGCGGAGCTGTCAGGTTATGTCTTGTTGCTTGGCTTCATTCAGTCCCTCTTTTAATGTGCATTCAAGTAGAATAAGTGAATCTTCCCAGCACCAGCTGAGCTCGGGCTTGTTTTTGCATGGTGGCTGCTATGACCACTGAGGCCACCTGACATCCGGCAGCCGGCCTGGGTTTTTTTGGCAGAGTTGGACGATACACATGCTCTTTCATCTAAATGGGAACTCAGATGGATCATAAAAGCCCCTTCCCCCCACCCTGCATTTTGACTTCTTCATAATAATCTTTGTAGCTTCTTGATCATGTCCTGTGTTTTTCTGGACAAGTTTGAAATTGCATGCGTCAGGACTTTGCTAATTAAAGTCATACTTTCAAAAATGCCATAATAACTGTTAATTAGCTTGATGCTATTTTCAGCATAATTTGCTAATTAGTAGAAAACCTGTACAGCATTTCTTCCTAATTACAGTATGGCTCCACACGCCGCATCTGTGACTTGACTCCAAATGATGCCATTACAAAGTCCCACATTACGGATTCTTTCAAAACAGTTAATTACCTCTCCTGATATTGACAAACTCTAAAGTCAGCTGGATTTTTTTAACTAATATGTGCAGAGAAATAATCTGTGTCATGTCCTTGTCCATGATAGGAAAGTAATCAAAAGTATCATTTTAAAATGGCACAAGTATCGATACAAGTTTATTTGTAGTAGCATTTCTGCACACCAGCCCTTGTCCCAGGTGGAGAAGCACAGGTGTGTTTAGGCCACTCCCCTACCAGGGTCCTCAGGACTCCTCTGGTAAGATTTGATTGTCGAATTTTGAGAGTATGGATTCACTCCTTTGTCCCCTGATGACATACTGATACTCATTGGGTTTTTCTGTGGAGGTCTGAAGGGGAATGGAAATGCCTTACCCATACTCGGAGGAGAAGCTGCCCATGGGAACAAGGGAGCTTCTCCAGTAGCTGGGCCGCAGCCCAGCTCAGTGTGGTGTCCAGAGCCCGCTCTTGGTACACCCGAGCCTCAGGTAGATTCGGTGCCGGGAGGCATACGAAGCCTTGTCGCAGGGCCTCCTTCCCCGTCCACTCCCTCTGGAGCCTGGCTGGGGGAGAGGCATCCATCCACTTCGCAGAGGGCAATCAGGAGCTAAGAGCAGCCAGGTGGCTTCCCAAACTCCTGCTGGTGAGGCAGTGGTTGAGTGAAGGCATGAGGTCTTTATGCAAGCAATTCCATATAGTCCTCCCAGCAGCTCCATGAAGTCGATGGACGAATGGAATCTCGGCAAAATTAAGTGTCTCGCCCAGTGGCCCATGAGGAAGAAGCAGAACAAGGGGCTGAACCTGGCCTTACTGTCCCCGTTCCGCATGCCCACTCATTTTGCCTGGCTTTACCCGTCCTGCAGGCTTTACAGCCTCTGCCATGAGCACTGCCTTGCCCCAGAAGGTGCCCAGGACTTTGTGCTCACTGACCCAGGGACTCACCCACATCTGCAGACAGGCTGCTGCCAGCCTGAGTAGGAAGTCACCAGCAGGAGACTCTGTCCCTCTGGCAACTTCCTGAAAATGCAGCATGTAAACATTGGGAATCTTGATGCCTTTTACCTACTGTCAGAGGAAGCTGAGATATTGCAAAGTTGAAAACAGATGATGTTGACAAATGTTAGAATAGGCTCTGTGGAGGCCCCAGGCAGATGCAGTTTTCTGGAAGAGTCTGCCCTGGAAGCAGGAGGGTCATCCAGGCTATTGGGAGAGCCATGGCTGCTGCAACCTGGGGAGCTGGAGGGCCCCAGTGAGCAATGGAGAGCCTGGTCAGTGAGCTTCCAAGCAGAGTAGAAAGCCTCCTTCCAGCTCGGTCTGAGGAGGAGCTGGGGCACAGAGGCGGGGCCCAGAGGCAAGGTGCTGGATCATAGGTCACCGAGCCCTGCAGGGGGCCTCTCCCCTGGGACCTGTGGGATGTGCCAGCCACGGGGGCAAGGTCCTGGGTGATGGGTACAGACCTTGGCATCTCTTCTGGTCGTCCTAAAACTGACAGGCTCAGGGTTGACAAGTGAGTCCTCAGCCCTCGTTGTGACTAATTAATGCACCCATTTTAGAACCCCCTTCATTTATGGATTTTGAAAGGCATTATTAAATTAATTAAATGATGAAGAGTTATTCATTATGAAATCAGGAGGTTTACATGGATGACAGGATTTATGAATTAAACATCTAAAGTTCTGCGCAGGAGACACCCAAGTGCAGATCACCAGCTTGACAGATTTTCCCTTTAAGCCAGCCCACGTCTATATCATAAAAGTTTCATTTCTATTAGAAAATAAGAACAGGAACAGGACTGGGGAGCAGGTTAATAGGAAGGAGGGGGGCACTTAAGCCTTTACCGAAATTATTCTGCCTGTGGGTTGCATCTCCAGCCACACGAGTTGGGGAGTGGGGCTTGGGTAGGAGAAGCACGCGCTTTGTTCACCCCAAACGGAGGGTGGCTGTGGAGAGTCCCTCACACGTGGGGCCCCGTGCACCCCCACCAGGGAAGCCAGCAGGTCTGCTGACAGGCCTGCACGCTTCCTGTAACAGAGGCGCTCACCTTGCTGTTGACCTCAGCAGACGTTCCGAGTCAGACTGATCAATGAAATTAACTGTAGCTTTAAACTCTGGCTTAGCTGGAGAGGAGGGGAGCGCAGAAGAAATGGAGAAGGTGGTCCGGGTTTCATGCGTGCGCTGTGATTTGCAGATTAGCTGGAGAGGCTCGTTCCCGGCGTCAGGAAGTTTGCCAGCAAGTCTTTGTTTACCATGCCAGGGGAAATTGTCAGAGCTGGTAAAAATTTTCTTCAAATTTTTTCATCTTCCTAATCTAACAGTTTACTGAACTTGATAAGTGTCCTATCAACATGTTAATCAAATTACTTATGAACAAAAATTGACAGTTTTCATTAATTATACAAGATTATTCTAATTGCAATTCAAATTTATTCATTTAGAACAGAAGGTATTCAGTAATATTTTACAAAATTTGCATATTAAATGGAGGGAGTTGTACATTATGTATGATAATGTATGCACATTTTCTTATTTTTAACTTCAGGGCCATATGTGGTGCTGTTGTCGGAGCAGGTGAAAAGTCTGAGTGTGTTTAATTTGCTTGACAAACATTAGGCTGGGGCTTGTCAAGTGGAGTATAGTGAATGCCAATCTTTATTTACTCCTTATTGATTACCCCAAACTCTAAACATCTGCATACCTTGTATAAATTTCCACTTATGAAGCTGAAATTGATGAATGAAAGCCCATGCCATTTCCCGGGGATTGGTACATTTCAGGAGTGAATCACAATCAATTATTGTCATAGGACTATTGAAATATAAAGGGAGAGCTGGGAGGGAGGGCCCAGCGCCCTGCTCTCACGATTGATTCAGGCAGGAGCCTGTTCCGAACCGTGTGTGCCAGATTAGCCCGTGACTTCATGACGAGCATGGGAAGTATGCTAATTAACGGCTGGCTGCCGGCGCCCTCCCCTAAAATGGGAAAATACATATTTGGGGGTTATGATTTGATGGCGACGTTCAAGTGCGTTGTCACAGATTGGGAAAGCGTTTTCATCAAGCTGGCTTGTTATGCCTCGTTTCGATGTGGTTTAAGCAGCAGTCTTATTAGGTTAACCCTGCTCAGTGAAAGCAAGCAGGCTTACTTTCTGATTAGATAAAATGTGCAGGCATAATGGGAAAAGTCATTAAGTGATGAATGTACTCTTAGACATGGACTAATCATACTCTATTTATGTAGCTGGTTCGTAGCTATGACCCTCTCGTGTGATTCTTGTGCTATATTTATGGTCAGTGGTGATTATCATTAATTTGTAACGCACATAAACATTCATGCAACACGGCTCACTCTCTGAGCCGTCACAGGAGGCCTCATTCCCGGTCTGGACCCATGGTGTTGCTCACCTCACAGGTGTCCGGCATCCGTGGCACCAAAATCCCCAAATAAGTGGAAATCGCCAAACAGCTCATTGCACTTGGCTCCTATGGTTCCAATGACAACAGTTTTATATGGAAATTGAGTTCATCAAATTAATTATTCACTGCTTTTACGGGAGTGGGTTCCAAAGCAGGGGCATGTGCACACTGTGAAGACCTACCCCTCTCCTGTTTCCTTGGGGGCACCCCAGCACCGCCTCCTGGCCCCAGGTAGTTTCATAAGGGCTCCAAAGAGGAACCCGACTAAGAGCCCCGCTACTCATCAGTTGGAGCCTGGGACCCGGGGAGAGACCCGGGATCATCCTGCTCAGTCAAGTTCACTTGACTCTGTCATTTCTTGCCGCTGCTGAGAAATGCTTCCCCTGCCAGTGTCCCAGCCCTGGGTCCTCAGGCAGGCCGTTGGCCAGAGAGAGGCGGGCCCATCAATCTCCCTTAACAGCCTGATTGGCTGCAGGTCAGCTGAGAGGAAAAGGTTTGAGATTGGGACGGGTTTAGCCAGGAATCTCGGAATTTCCCGGATAATTGGGGGAGAGTGACGCCAAGCTCTTCCTGTCACTTTTAGATATTTCTGAACTACCTCTGTAATGAATTGGAATGCCTCTTACCAGGGCCTCAGAGACGCCGTGAGCCACTGAAGTTTATGCTCTCCAATTATCCAGAAGGATTCTCAAAAGTGGGCTGTGGGCCTCTGAGCTCTGTTGTGCTTGTAATACATGGCATCACCTCCTTGGGTGGCAGACCACCGGGCCACGGATCCACAAAGGATGGCGCGGCCTGCTGGGGACCCTGTATTGGTACAGACATCACTGCAAGTCTGACTCAGAGCTAATTGCAGATAGTTCATTTAACTCTGACTTCTGCAAAAATGGATGTAAATATGGAGGGAAACACACAACAGTCGTTTTCGTGAAGAACGGCCTTAGGACAAAGACAAAGAATAAAAAATGTCTTTTGTATTTACTTGAAACAAATGAATGGTATCAGGTGAAAAATATCTGTCTGTGCTTGTTCAGATTTAAGGCCTACAAATTTGCACCTTATTCCAATTTCCTGCATGCACGGGAGGAAGTGCGAATAGCTTATTCAGAGGCAGATTAATGCAAAAGAGCTGAGAGGGCACATAAATCTACAAGTAGTGACTTGTACCATCATGTAGGTGTAATGATTATCAAACTGGAATCAGGGCTCAGAGTATCAGCTTAACACAGAGAAAATTTGCTTGATGGGAGAGTATTAAAGTCATGCTATAATATATCCATATACTGTGACTAAATTTTATAGTTCATGAAGCATATTAGTATTACACTATATCCCGGTACATTCAAAAGGTGATTTCCATTTAGATGCTCATTTTTCATGAAGATAAATATGACATGAATCATAATTTCCCTGAAGTAAATATTACAAATAATAAAATACTCAGGCAAGCAAGTTGAGGAATGACAGTAATGTTTTCCATTTGTATGGTAAGTGGCGAACCTTGTGGCCTATCAAGTAACAAATTGAATGTTTAATCTTTCTCCATGCAGATTGAGGATGGCAAAGTAGCGCGGTCTCACAACAAATTGAGAGTTCTCTGGTGACTCGTGGAGTATCAGCTCTTTTGCCTTCAGAGGCCAATAGAGGGTGTCAGCAGAGCTTTGTCAAAATAGATCACGAGCATGAAGTTGTAAAATTGCAATTTACAACAAAAAGACTTTGGGATAACGGGCAAATCTTAGGCATGCTAAATACATAGCAAATATTTAGAGAGGCTTTGTAAGCAATTTAAATATTGTTAGGGGAAGTTGCTTAGCATCTGTGGAGCATCCCAGCGGTAAAGAAAGAAATGTATCCTATCAAATGGTAAATAGTCTATTCCAAATGATAAAAATATTCTTTAGATACTAGCTGATCGAGTTAAACTAATTGGTTGACGGTGCCTTAAAGCCGTGCCCAGTATTAGGCTGGCGGAGGCCCCGCTGTGCACGTCACACCTTATGGTGTTAATGGCGCTCTTTGTGCTACATCATCTTTGCCGATTTGCCCTCACATTTTGGAGTCCCTCCGGGCCTTGGGGATCCTGGTGCAGCAACAGCTTGTTTCCCTGGGATCTCGATGCTGGCCTGGAGCCGGCCTGCCGCCTGGGGTCTCGGCAGTCCAGGCCACAGTTCAGGGTCACTTGTACCACACAGCCCGGGGATGTTCCTTCTGCTGAAGGTTCTGTTGTATATTAATTTTAAGTTGCAGTGTCTGCACTGCAAGATGACACCACTCGCATTTTGATTAAGGATTTTATACATGAAAAAATTTTCATTATCTGAGTTCCCAGAGACCTCCCTGATTGGTTGGCTGTCTGACCCACAGCTGTGTCTCCAAGCGTCGGGGTAAGGACTCGGGCACATGAGTGTGCCCTGCACTACCTCTGGTACATGAACAATTAATGGGGCTTTTGACTCTCAGGGAAGTCAAGACTCTTCATAACCAAAAAAAAAAAAAAAAAAAAAAAAAAAAAAGGCACTTCAATGGGCTTTGCTCATTTTCCCGTTGATTTCAGGGAATGTGGAAAGAGTCACTGAGTTACAGGGTAGTAAAAGTGGTCGGGGGCTGCCTCTGCATGTCCTGAGCCTCTACGGTTTGCATTTTTTTTTTTTTTTTTTGCAGATGTGACATAGCCATGGGAAAAGAAGTGGAGGAATATGGCCTACTTCCCCTCCCTGCACCCAACAGGACATTCATTATTTATCCTGGTTGTTTTCCTCTTTTAACTTCTGCCCAAATTATGAGTGAGGATATCTGGTCATTAGAAAGTGAACGGAAGATTCCCCTGCATCTGTCTTCTCTTATCAAATGAGTCAAGGGAATGTGTGTGGAACTCACTGGGAATGTGTTGCTGGCTGTTTAGCGGGTGGGGGGTGCAGGGAGGCTGCAGAGTTTGGGGAGCAGGTGGATGATGGAACCGTCCGACAAGAAAGCTGTGCTCAGGCAGCAGAGCCCACATATCAGTGGGACGGCCCAGCCGCAGGAGGGGTCTGTCCCAAGTGTGTTGCAGGCAGGAGCTGCTCCCAGCCCAAGGCTGCCCGCCCACCCTGGCGTTTGCTGGTTTCCGCTGAGGCCCGTCCGAGAAGCCCTCTAGTGGGGACAAGCGGGACCACGCTCCTGTGCCACGAGCTCTGGCCTTGTCCCTTTGGCCCCCATGCTCTCTGTAGACCCTGCCCCAGCGGGAGGGCAGTGACATGGAGGGGCGTTGGGGTCTTCTCTGCAGGGCACATGCTGCTCTGTTCACCTGCCAGGGCTTTGGCGGCCAGCAGAGGGGACCACCATGTCCTTTGCAAAGAACCAGACCAGGGCCTTCTGCAGATGCTGGGCTGCCTTGTGGACAGCTGCTGGTTCCTTCCCATGAGCTCTTGGAAAGTTGCACAAACCCCGACTGGAGGGGCTGTTGGGGAGGGGACAGGGGTTCCCGGTCCACCCCCTCTGCTGTCACGCCTCTGGCCTGTGCGCCGCCACCATCTGTATAGGCCCAGGCCTGCTGCTCCCTCTGCCCACACTGGGGTTTTGATAATTCCCTACCTTTTTTTTTGTAATTGCAGAATCATAAAATATTTTAATTTCAAGGTTAGCAATTTTCTCTTGCATACTTAATTTATAATTAGCTGGTTTATAAACCTGTTCTGCGAATATAATTTTACTGTTGCCAAATGTTCTTCATGAATAATTAAGGACAAATCCCTATTTATCAAATTATTAATATACCTAATAGCCTTGTTTTCATAAACAATGCATTGGAGCTGGATTTAAAGAAAACCTTCTCAGAGGGATCTGGTGTTCGGTTCCCACCGCGGCCGGGACCCGCTCTGGGCATCCGCACAGAGGGATGCTTGTGCTGCGCCGATGTCGTGGCCCCGGCCTTCTTTCCTCCACAAAAGCGCAGGTATCAGTAGCTGGACAAACACAATGGCCATTCACCAGTGGGACTGGGCCTCCGCGGCCTTGTGAACAATGTTGTTATTTGTTCTAGCAATTCACCAGGAGCATTTTGGAAGGAAATGTAACAGATGAAACCCTCCTTTCAGCCTTTAACGACCTCTTTAAATCCTGCCCCCATCAGGAGTCTACCAGTTTTCAAAGCGAGGAAAGCAACTTCGACGCGCCAGTTTGGATCTAAGGACGCAAAAGCCACCGCCTCGGGCCCTTCAGTCTGTTGACTGGGACCATGTGAGGTTCAGGTCCAGAAGGCGGAGGAAGAGCCATAGCGGGTGCTGCTCCCCGACAGGAAAATGGAAAATCACGCGGAGGGCGTGACGCATGCTCGCTGCAACTCCTTCCTGGAGCACGCCCACGTTCCATCGAGGACAACGAAACTGTTCTTCTCCCTGTGCAAGAAATTCAAGTCCTTTTCTCACGAAGAGAAGGTTCCCAGCTTACCCTATCAATAGTTTGAACAATTGGAGAAAAATAAGCAAACCACGAGGCCGATTGGGATGGATCAGCAAGGAGTTTCTATGGCATGGTCCCGGGCTTCCCTACTGGACGTTTTAGGGACTGAGCATCTATGAGGAGCGTGGGGGCGGGTTAGCTGATTTTGTTTGCCTCTTACCATTCGCCAGGTTTATAGTCAACGCTCTGAAAGGAGATCAGGGCCGCGGCGCCTCTCTTCTTGGGGCTGGCATGTGCGAACCCACCACTCGCCATGTGTGACTCCATGTGCATGATTCATTCCAGAGCAGTTTTAGTCCTCATAAAATATTCATTTTGGTTGTGCAGGGCCCTGTAATTGCCATCTCTCACCCTGAATTATTTATACCTTGCACAGACTGACAAAGCTTTGCCATGCGGCCCTAGATGAATCAGAAACACGGATCTTTGCTGCCAACAGCATTATAGTTCCACAAAATATGGCACCAACGTCATTCTGGGCTGCCTCATCTCTAAATCCAGCTTTTCTTGATTTGACATTTTCTTTACTCTTCCATTGTCTTAGCCAGGCAGAAAGGTTGCCTCTTAACTGTAAGCAGCAACCTTTCTTGCTTGCATTATAGCCGCTGTGCTTGAGAGAACTAATGTATCTTTATTGCCCTTACTTTTTTATGCTCGGTAACAAGACAGCGCTTGGGCTCACTTTAGAGCCATATATTATACATTAGCGATAAAATGATGCAAATAGTCCTGAATACTCTTCAAACAGATAGTGGAGATCAGGCTGGATCAAGCTGCTTGTCACAAAAACAGAAAATGAAAGGTGACGTGCAAAGTTGGGCCGAGTGGCATGCTCCCCAGCCGTGGGCTGTTGCAGGCCCAGGGCTGAGGGTCCCAGGTGGGGCTGCAACTTGTATGGGCTTCTTTGTGGGCCAGTGCCCCCGACTCTCAGCATCCTAAATGCATCTATTCACCTCCCCCCCCCCCCCGCCCACAACCCCCACCCAGCCTCTTCCCCGGGCCTGTGCTTACCCTGACATCTCCATGTTGCAGCCAGGCGCTGATCGGTATTTCCTTCTGTTTCTGCATTCCAGTGTTAAAACCCCTTCTTGACCAGGGGCACTCAAGTGTGCGTCTCTCTGTGTCTCTCATACATAGTCTCCTGCACCCCACACGACAGGAGAGGAGCGGTTAGAAGGACAGACATTGGAATCACATCTGAAGATTTAGGAGAACCGTGCTAATGTGAATTAGGCACTGGTAGGATGGAGCTAACTCCCCTGCAGACCTTTTAAAACAAGAAGGGAAAGAAACCCAGTCAGCTCTGAATGTCGGGAGCTCTTGTTTCTGAGCAGAGACAATGACGACCTGCAAAAATCCCAGGGAAA
Source organism: Homo sapiens (assembly GCF_000001405.40). Taxonomy (NCBI): domain Eukaryota; kingdom Metazoa; phylum Chordata; class Mammalia; order Primates; family Hominidae; genus Homo; species Homo sapiens. Next base: position 129,886,655 of record NC_000010.11, on the reverse strand, counting down.
AAAAAATTCCCACATACCAGAGGGCCGCAGAACAGATAATCTGTGAAATATTCCAACACAGCTGCCTGGTGGCGTGGGGAGCCGAGCAGGGTTTACTGAGATTTTAACACCTTGGTCCTTCCCCGAGCCACAGAACGGGATTAATTTATGGCTCCTGGCTCATCAACAAAGGGAGGTGAAGAGAGAGGGCTCGGTGCTGTTCCGAGTAATGGATGACCTGTACACACATTTCTCTTGTATATGTTGACACGCAGGAGTAATGAAGTTAAGGCTTTGCACACATGTGCCCCTCATTAAGCTGCATTACCTGCATTAAAACTAATAATTGCCACTCAGAGCTGTGCGCCCATTAATCATTTATAATGTTTTAATAAGTTTTTAATCAGGACCTAAAAGGCTAGAGAGCCGCATAGGCAGGTCCAACACTGGTGTCCTCCGTGCATGCACAGGCTTGATTTAAAATGTGATTTTTTTATTAATAATTCAGCCTACAAAGATGATAGTTCTTAATTAAGCAAGCTGGTGTGGATGGGGGAAATGTACATCCGAGGAGGAAAGGATTAACAAGATCTTTCCCACTTGGAGATGGGAAGCAAAAAAAAAAAAAAAAAAAAAAAAAAAATTAAAACCAAAAACAACACCCCCTCACCCACATTTATTTTGAGAATGACCTCCCCAGCCATCAGGAATCAGGATGGCGAAAGAAGCATTCCCGTGATCTTCAGATCCCTAAAAACACACACGCGTATGGTGGGAGAGGCTTGAAACCCTAAGTTGGGATAAGCATAGGCACTTAATCTCTGCATAACCTGTAAAAGCCTCCCCTGGAGCTGGCAACAAGTCAGGGGGGTGCGTCTGTTGTGAGCCAAGTGATGCTGGCATTTTTCTTAAATAAGGAGCTTCGTGATCAGAGCTGGCAAATAGAACAGTGTCCAGAGGGAGAGAGGAAGCTGTTTTAATGAGCCCGCAGCGAAAGACAAAATACAGACTGATTGACAGGGCGCGTGATCTGCTGGGGAAATAATGTCAGTGCTGCATTGCCCATTAGAAATAGAGAAATAGGTAAAGGGGGGAAAGAAAGATAGGCACTTGAAACAAGAACCCTAGTGTAAATATAGTGCACTTCACATTTCTTTTGTGTTGTGCAGTTGACTTCTTTGAAACAGATAACCTTATCAAAACTATCATGAAATATCCGGAGCAGTTGCAGAAAATACTAACTAGAACACTGACAGCGGGCGGAGTGGGGTGGCTGACGAAGCTTGTAGCTCTGGGATGTACTTGCCTTTAGAGTGTCTACCTGGATTTTACTTATCTGAACACATTAAAACCACCCGGAAAAGTTTAATGCGAGTCATACAAATTTCTCCAAACGGAGGACTTGGCGGGGATCTGTTCTGGAAGGGGATATTGAACTGGCCGGCAAAGCCATTAAATCCCATCAGATCTCTTTGGCATCATTTTAATGAGAATCATTGCAAAAGTACAAGATCATGGTATCTATAAGTGCCTCTTGACAGCCGCTGCTGAAATTGTGATGAAAAGAAAAACCATTATAGCAGAAATTTAGCGATAAGGCTCTTTGGAGGGACGGTGGGGCCTAGTGTGGCTCTAGGCTGTGAAGGGTTAATTTTCTAAACCTAATAATGTTCGATAGTGAGGTATTTGTCAGGAGATAAAGAAGTGATAGAATCTGGGAAGTGGGTCCCTTGGCGATTGTAGTACAAATATTGTTAATGCGGTGTGGTTACTACAGCGGAGGGAAGTAAAATAGCTGGAGTCCACTAGAGACGGGCTCGGCTACAGTAGAGCCAGAATCCCCAGACAAAGGCCAGTCGTTGTTGAACTGCAAGTCAAGCCGTGGATATTTTCAAATCCTCATACATCTACATTTACATGCAGGATAGCGTGTGTGCTCGGGGAGCATGCACGTGCAGGCCAGGTACTCCCAGTTGGGGAGTCCAGCCATCCAGACCTCTCGCCTGGAGAGGGGAGCCCCCAACAAAGGACATCTGGGCACAGCTGTAAAATTCAAGCTTGCCGCCCTCTGCCCCTTCGCTATGACGTCATGCAGGCACTACAAGTATATGAGACCCATAACTTGAAATGTACAAGAATTTAATAAGTCTGGTGTTAAAGCAATTTGTCATGGCATATTTGAAGAATAAATCAGACTAATGGAGCAGATTTTTTCTCCCGTATGGCATTAAAGAACGTGAGCCCAGTAATAGCTAATGGCAGGAGTGAGAGAAAAAGAGAGGCCTGACATTAAGACCCTCGCATTTTGGAAATCCAATACGTATTGACCTGTGTACTATCTTAGTGCACAGATCTGATGTCAGCAGAATGTAGTCTTGTATAGGAACTGCTCATTACAGGTTTTGTGAGGGAAGCACATTGTCTCTGAAGCGCCCGAACCCGATCGGCTAGAATTGCTCAGTAATCAATACTCCAGCGACTGATGGCCGGGTGTGCACACACCACAGCTGTGGCCACTGCTTTCAGGGACTTCCCAGTAATTAGCAGGGACCTCGAGGAAGCACTCCACTGGCCACTCTTATCAGTCAGGGAAAAGTCTCTTAAAGGCTCTATCTTTTAATTTGACTCTTAACTATTTCATTTCAATAGCACAGTAAAGGCTGCAGCCACCGGCCCCCATGAGGGCCTCGGATCACGTGCCCCACTCTTGTGTTCTCCTTCGGGGCAGGACGTTTTTTGTTCGCTGAAGTGATGTTGGCATAACATGAAATTAACCATTTTAAAGTGAACAGTTCTGTGGCATTTAGTGCACTCACAAGGTTGTGCAACCATCACCACCATCTAGTTCCAAATGTCCCCGTTACCCCCACAAGAGGAAACCCTGTACCCACGAAGCAGCTGTTCCCCATCCTCCCCTCCCCCACCCCAGCAACCACCAGTGAACGGTGACTTTTAAAACTGTGTTTTCTGGCTGGTTTTCAGTACTCATTTTTCCTTGTCAAGGTTATTACGTATTAAAACAGTAGTAACTGAAAACATGGGGGCTCGATCCGGAATAGGGCTCTCTGCAGCCCCCAGGAACCTCTGGAAGCTGTCACCTCCATGATTCACACACGAACACTTTGGGTTTTTGATGGATGGCCTGCAGGCCCATCCACTGTTGTATGAGTTTGCTGCTTATTAAGAGCTCTCTGCCTTAAAACTCAAAAGCAGGTTCCCCCCATCCCCCACAATAAAAGATACCAACATTTTTTATTCTTGACTCTGATTTCCCACATTACCCATCATTGAGGGCCGCAAAAGGGGGTTGTCCTTCTAGGACCGAGGCTGGAACCCAGGCACGGGAGGCTGTGCTAAGAGCCAGAGCTCTTTCCTTGCAGCGTGGCCACTTAACCCTGCGTGGGGGTAGGCGCGCACCTAGGAGTCACAGCTCGGTTTGATGAGGCGTCTTTTCAGGGGGCCAGTCAGTGTCACACCTTCCAGTGTACAGTGACTCACGTTTTCAAGCGCTGGAGAAACCAAGCCCTGGAACAGTCTGAAACTTGATGATTAAAGAAAAAATCCTGTACAGGGTTCCTGAGATGCTGAGAAGTAGGTAATTTCAAACAAGTGATAGCCACATGCAAAAAGCAAGCCATTAGAACAGTTCAAAGTTTCCTTTTTCTCTTCAATCACCAGGGTGCGACCGCCAAGCCCACTGCATTTCTAAGGAGACAATCTATTTCTCCTTTGACCAGAGGGAAAGAAATCATCATTGCATGATTAGTGGCTTCAGTTAGGTGAGAACAACAGCGGCAGGGAAGGCGGTGAGGATGGGCTGTATTAATTACCCAACACTTGCTGGCAAGATAATTTTATCAGTGGTTTGGCCAGTGGTAAGTTGCAGCTTTTGATAAAAGTGGATACGTTCTTAGCTACATGGAAACATGAGGGTAGGGATGGTGTCAGATGAAGTGCATCTCATCAGCTTTTCTCTGACAAACCAAATTCATTCCTTATGTAATTGATAACGGCCTTGGCCAATTATTTCACACATTACAATACACAGAGGCCCCCTTTACAGGTTTTGCAGGGCTGTAATTAGCTATGCTAATATCCCCTTTATTGGCCCTAATATTGCTCAACACCTTTTGCCATCCTGGAACCCACTAGAGCCCCATGGCCTGTCAGGACCGCTGATTATTGAGAAGGATAGCTTTAATCAAACATAATTGCAGTTAATTTTTCTCTCCTGCTCTCTGTTGCCAGCATCTAATGCCACGGACTCCTTGATATTCCATTAAATTACAATTAAACAGCCTCCTTTGTTTCTGATTGTCCTGAACAACACCACAAAGTTCTGTAGCCGTTTAAAGGAGAGCTGTTTGGTCCTAATTGCCTGCTAGCTCACAAAGGGCCAATTTACACAATACCCATGTAGAATTTAAACAGTTCATAATGTAATGGATATTACACAGGAGCCTAACACTACAATTAAAATGATTTTCATCAGATAGAGAAGCTCTGGTTAATCAGCTTCATAAAAGTAAATATAAATGAACTAATTCATAGCTTAAACACACAGAAATAGAGCAGACTTTGAAATTAGTCACTGCGGTGGGGGCTTGCCCCTTTCTTGTGTGATACCTAGATTGGGCTCCAGTTAAAACGGTTGATCCCATTATTTGTTTTAGCCCAGTTTAAGGTGTCCTCATTCTGCTGCTCCACGCTTATGCTGGCACTGGAGTTTTTTGTTGGGACTCTGAAACAAACACAACCAAGACCAAACTCTTTCTTCCTTGGGTGCAGTGGTGGCCACAACTCTATTTAGAGCAGATGAGTCATTGTCCCAGCAGAAATGAGGGCCTCGGGATTTCTAGATTAAACTCAAGATATCCGGAGTGGCACCCAGCTGCCCCTCCACCCCTGTCCTCCCCGGCACAGGGCCCGACTGTGCCCCTTGGTCCATCTTCACAGGACCCTCATGAGTTAGTAGAGGGAACCTCCCACAACTCAGCCTCCTGGAACCAGCCCTCCCAAGAATGAATGAGGTTGCCCATATGGTTCCCTGTCCTAGTCCCTGTGCACCGCGAAAGAGGAAACCTCATTTCAAAAGTAATAAGATCACACCTTTCCCCCTTCTGCTGGTTCCTGAGAACTTCCCAGGATTCTGTGGGCTGTTTCCGAGTGGAATGGGGCTGGGAAAGCCGCGCCTGGCGTGTAGCAGTTTATCTCGAGCTGCTGTCTTCCCCTCTGCCTGGGAGAAACAAGTAAATAAAGCCCATATTTCAAGCTTGATTTACTCTGGTACCTACTGTGAAAGATGATGACTCTTTAGGGAAATAAAGACAGGGTCAGGGAATTAGTGCACATAATGGTCATTTTGATGACGGGCCAACAGATGCAACGAGAGACACACTGTACACAATTAAGCATAATGTACTAATGACAGGTTAGAATTTTTATCGCCTCTTCGTGATGGAGCAGCAAATCCATGTTTTGCAGTAATAAAGAGTTTATTGGTGCTAAAGCCAAAGATTTTCTGACATAGGAAAGATTTTTCCTTTCATAACAAGAGTATTAAATTCTTTGTGTACCAGACTCTAGAAGTGAGATATGTAAAGTGGTTGTCAGATATTTCTTAGGAAAAAGCCAATTAAAGGGTAATTGAGTAAAGGATGAGAATTACCTTTTGACTTCACATGTTGGGCATTCAATTTTCTCACCCCCTCCCCAAACACTGAAATCGTGTGGCTCACTGAGCACCTCCTCGTGAAAGCATACATTTGCTCCGTGTGTAACTCTGCACAATATCAGAGTCACACACCTGCTGTACGGTGCCAGCCACCTTGCAAAGGCTTAATTGAATCCCCAACTCAGACATGACCAAAACTAGGGTAAGAGGTAAGCGCAGAGCTCTTCTTTCTCTCTGCTGAGGCTTCCCCTCTGTCCGTCCCTGTAGATGCCCCAAGAACCTGGCATGGAGCCACTTGACTGTTGAGCTTACTTTATTTGTGTCACTGGGACCTGTGTGCTCAGAAAGGATCCTGGTCTCTAGGGTTGTGCACGACAGCTCTTTCTCAAGTACTTGCACTGCTCTTTAGGCAGTTTGGATAGAAGCAGAAACTATCATTGCCACATAGAAAATAAAGAGAGGGAGTGAGCAAGCAAGAATGCATGTGTGTGTGTGCATATGTATGTGTGTGTGCATATGTATGTGCGTATGTGTGCATGTGTCTGCATGTGTATGTGTATGCGCGTGTGTGTCTGCATGTGTGCATGCATTTGTGTATGCATGTGTAGGCATGTGTGTGTATGCAAGTGTGGGCATGTGGGCATGTGTGTCTGTGGGCATGTGTGTGTATGTATGTGTGGGCATGTGTGTGTATGTGTGGGTGGCATGTGTGTATGTGTGCATAGGTGTGTATCTGCACCTGCTTGACTTGACCCTGGGTATGCTCAGTATGTTTCTGGGGTCCAGCACCCGACTTTGTCCTGCTGATTTCTGCAGAGGATGACAGTGAAGGCCTAAGAATGCCAAACCCAGCTCTTCATGACAGTGCCGAGTGAGGGCTAGTTAGGGTATCATCAAAACTCGCTCTGTTCTCTTGGAGGTAAAAGGGTGACTGTCTAAAAGACATCAAGAAATTTAAAGAAACCTCCTCTGGAGCTGGGGAGAAATCTCTCAAATCACAAACAAAGCTCCTGGAGATGGCTCCGTGCAGGTACATTTGCAGATGAGCAGCTTCTCGGGCCGGCGCCTGCTCCGAAGATTAGCTGGGTGGTAATGTGTGGTGTAATTGCACCGTGTTGCTGTCCCCGAAGTGAAAACCTAATTGCCTGACAGGACGATAACTTGGTGGCGCCCTCACCTTGTTAGGCCCTTTCTGATGCAGTTCAAATGCAGTGTGGCCGCAGGTGCGCCTCATTTACCTCGCTGCGGAACGTGTGGAGTTTAATTGCACAGTGGTTGTTAGGAAAAATTGGTGGGTGGAATATCAAGTGACTTACTGTATGCTGATGGCAGATGGTGTGAAGAGGCATTGTGAGCTAAGTGTATAGGTGAGGTGAGTTAATAAAAGATGTAAATTCTGGCCTAAAATGGTGAGGCCTCATGGTATGCAGGAAAATTTAATTAAGTGGCCACCACTCTTTCCCCCATCAATTGGATTTTCTTCTGCCACAGTAAGAAGTCATCCAGGATATGCTGGGGGGGCACTTAGATGAGTCTTGGTCCGTTGAGTGTTTTCATTTTCTGATATTCTAATTGCCAGCGAGGAACCTTGAACGTAAGAAAATCATGTGAAACTTCATCAAAAATTAATAATCACCAAGTAGGACAGATGATATTTTGGGAGGAAGTAGAGAAAGGTTTGTGTTGATGACCTTGCTGGACAGGATGCTTGGCCACGTGCAGAGAGTGGGTGTTTCAGCACAGACCCAAGCTCTGGGACCTCTTGGTTGTGGCCTTTTCAAGTTGAGGCAGAGGTTATACAGGGAGAAACCCCCCCACCCACTTTTCCTGTGGGTAGTGGTAGAGCCTGGCTTCCCAGGTTCTTTGAGTTCAGACTGGAAGCCAGCTCTCCTGCAATGTCACTGAGCATGCAGGAATGCGGAGGACAACATGATGACGTTTTAGTCACAGCATCTCAACACACTGTCAGGACCCCTGAATCTTCATGCCATGAAACATAAGGGCAAGGCATGGCGGGAAATGGAAATAGCACTCGCTTCGGCCTCACCTCCCCAGCCCTGCAGAGTGCTGTTCCTTGCTTTCTGCCTCAGCAACAGTTTCATTACCGCCTCAAGAATTCTTGGTTAAAACAATATGCCTCCCAATCAGTTCTTAGATTTTTTTTTTTTTTTTTTTTTTTGAGACCGATTTTCACTGTGTTGCCCAGGCTGGAGTGCAGTGGTGCAATCTCCGCTCACTGCAACCTCCACCTCCTGGGTTCAAGTGATTCTCCTGCCCCACCCCCCAATTGCTTTTTAAGAGCTGTACCTACTGTAACTCTTTTTTTTTTTTTTTTTTTTTTGAGACAGAGCCTTGAGCTGTCAACCAGGCTGGAGTGCACTGGCACGATCTCGGCTCACTGAACCTCCTGGGTTCAAGCGATTCTCCTGCCTCAGCCTCCCGAGTAGCTGGGATTATAGGCACATGCCACCGCACCTGGCTGATTTTTGTATTTTTAGTAGAGATGGGGTTTCACCATGTTGGCCAGGCTTGTCTCGAACTCCTGACCTCAAGTCATCTGCCCACCTCAGCCTCCCAAAGTGCTGGGATTACAGGCGCTACTGTAACTCTTAAAACCCATATTTAAAAGTGTGTTTGCTTAGGCAGTGGTAGCCTCTGGAATTAGGGTTGCCAGATAAGATATGGCACATCCAGTGAAATTTCCATTTCAGGTCAACAGCAATTTTTTAGTGAGGAGTATGCTTTGGGACATTATTTTTTGTTTATCCAAAATTCAAATTTAACTAGGCATCCTTCATTTTTAGTGGGTTGAGATGGTAGGCCTGTCTGGGCTGAATGTTTCCCCCATGGTTAATGGGCAGTTGTGCAAAGATTGAGCCAAGAAATGCCAATGCGAAAGTCGCAGCTATTATCATAAAGCTTGGACACCCACAGCGTCAAGGCAAATGCAACTCACTGCTCTCCTGTGTGGCTATTTCTGGGTGCCTCCTCGCCGCCTCTCCCAGAGCCTCTTCTCAATGTCGCCCCCTAGAGGGAAGTGTGGAAGCTGTGGGGTTGAGTCTCCACTCCTCCCTGCGCAAGAGTGTCTTTTAAAAAGTTTGAGTCTTTTGTCTGATAACCCTAATAAATATCATCTTTTTGTATTTTTTATAGATTCTTTCTAAAGTTTTTCCTCAAGTGCAATCAGAACTGTTTGAAGAATGCAGGCAACCCTCGAGATATGCGGAGATTCCAGGTATACATTTCTCAAAGACACGTGGACCGTGGTCCTGACTTTTCATACCAAATTTGAATTCTCTGATTTGCAACTGTTCAGGAAGTAATCTTGAGTTCTTTAAGGGCTTGGAAGCAAACTGGAATTGGTGCATTTGATAAAAATATGCAAATAAAATGCTTTAAGAATGATCTGGTATATTCAGTATGCCAGATTCATCAAGTCTAATGTGGGCACAATATAGCGAACAGCGAACTTAGCTTTGAAAACATGGCCATGTGGAAGCTTTTTTTTTTTTTTTTTTTTTGGAGACAGAGTCTTGCTCTGTATCCCAGGCTAGAGTGCAGTGGTGCGATCTTGGCTCACTACAACCTCCGCCTCCCAGGTTCAAGGGATTCTCCTGCCTCAGCCTCCTGAGTAGCTGGGATTACAGGCGCACACCACCACACCCAGTATTTTTAGTAGAGATGGGGTTTCAATATGTTTTCCAGGCTGGTCTCAAGCTCCTGACCTCAAGTAATCCGCCTGCCTTGGCCTCTGAAAGTGCTGGGATTACAGGCGTGAGCCACCGTGCCCAGCCCAGAAGTGCTTCTTTTGGGATTGATTGAGGGATTGATTTTCAGTGGGAGGAGAACTATAATGCAACCTTTTGGGAATACTCCAGATCTGAGATCCTCCTCATAGAGGGATCTGCACCTGCTTAGTACAGACCTCTGCAACTGCCAGAGTCTCTTCCTGGCCTCGGCTTCCTTCCCCCGAGGTTTACTGTGTTCTTATTGCCCACTTTCCATGCTAGTTGCATCTGTTCCTAAACTCAGGCTAAGTCCTGTCTCTGGTTTGCCTCAGAAGATTTTATCCAAAAGACGGATACAGAGGGGTAGCTGGGTGGGGGGGGGGGGGGGGTTCAGGGATGAATTATGATAGATTTATGTACCATTATGATAGATTCATATTTTTCTTGCCTTTTTTGTGAATGATTAGGAAGCTAATTCAGGGTAAACACATTGGATGATTTTGCTAATTTTAATTGTAAAAATAGTCTGGGCTAGAATACAAAACCAGCCAGAGAAGAATTTGGCGGCTAATGGAAATGACCACTAGCTTGGATGAATGACCCAAGAGCAGAATGATTCCTGTTTGGGATTTACCCAGTTTTTCCATCAAATAGCTCAAAGCATTTCTCAGAAATTTAACTTATGCCTCAGTCCTTTAGTGAATCACGTGACATCTGTCTCCATGCCTGCCCGGTCAGCTGGTCAGAGGAGGCGGGCTCTTTGGGCCCGCCCACAGTCATGTCTGCAGCTGGGGACAGTGTTTCCTGCGAACAGTTGGGTCTGCTTCCATTTGTCACGCACTAGGCTTCACAGGATACTGGTGATATTGATCCTTCTAAGCAGAATGGAAGTCAGGCAGGGCTGAGGGGCTGTGTCCTCTTTGTCTCACCAATGACTGAACACAGCGTCAGTTACAGGTGATCTCGTGGTTGACTGCAGACCCCGTAGTTACTAGAACTTCCTCTGGTCTCTTTAGCTGAGCCCCATGCCTCTCAGAAGGTGTAACTGACCTAGGAGGATGGCAGTGCTTACACAATAGTTTCAGCTGCTTTCACAATCTCAGCAGCTTTCTGTAGGTGCTACAGCCCAGGTGAGACACAGAGCACAGCTTGCCTGCTCTCTCTGCTGAACTACACTCTTTACCCTTCGTGGCTGACCTATATGTAGATGACTGCAAAGCCTGTGTCTTTAAAAACTTTTTAAATTTGTTTTTACTTTTTCATGTTTCTTTAACCTATCATGTTTAGGAACGTAAAAAGGGTTAAGTCTGCACCTCAGTGTTAGTTACGCATCTTTGCATCATATTCAGATAATGCATTTGTAGAGTGTCTTCAATGCCCAGGGCTGGGCCTGGGAGGTAGAACACAAGGGGGGCACCTGGGTGACCAGGAACAGGCCTTGGCTCCTCCAGGCAGAGGCTGCCAGGCCCACTCGTGGTACCAAAGGGGCAGCAAAGCCACCTCCCACCAGGGCTGCAAAGGGCAAAGCCAGTGGGCAGTGGTCAAAAAAGGAGGGTGCTGAGATACCCAAGGCTGGACCTGGGATGCTGGGCCAGCACTTATAACCTTTTGAGGTTCTGGGTGGCTTGACACTGTTGCGACCTCAACAATCCTGGCAGTGGCCAAGGGGAAGAAATGCCAGGGAAGCTGCCCCCGATGAGGGCATTTGGGTGGGATGCGTGTGTACCGCCCCTGCTGCATCATCATCTTGTGGAGTCTGAGATTTAAAACGAAAAAGCCGGCCGGGCGCGGTGGCTCACGCCGGTCATCCCAGCACTTTGAGAGGCTGAGGCGGGTGGATCACAAGGTCAGGAGTTTGAGACCAGCCTGGCCAACATGATGAAACCCCATCTCTACTACAAATGCCAAAAAATTAGCCAGGTGCAGTGGCAGTGCTTGTAATCCCAGCTACTAGGGAGGCTGAGGAAGGAGAATGGCTTGAACCCAGGAGGCGGAGGTTGGGGTGAGCTGAGATCGTGCCACTGCACTCCAGCCTGGGCAACAGAGCGAGACTCCATCTCAAAAAAAAAAAAAAAAAAAAAAAAAAAGAAGAAGCCATCACTTGCACATGTATTCATATATAAACATAAGCTTTGGCTTCTTTGTTAAACCCCTGAAAATACTACTTATTTGTATGTTTAATTATTTTATATTCAGTGACTCATTGAATACAATGAATTGTATTCATTTTGTATTAGGTAACTAGTTTAATTATTTTATTAATAGGCTTTATTTTTCTTAGAGAAGTTTAGGTTTAAAAACAATTTCGCAGAAAGTACAGAGATCGCCCGTGTACCCCCGTGCGCCCCTCCCCCTGGTTTCCCCGATTATGCTGGTGCAGGGGATTCCTTACATGTGCGGACCCAACACTGATGTGTCGCGATTCACTAAGGCCTATGGTGGCCTTGGCTTTTAAGCTCATTTTGCATGGCGTGCTTTGTCTGGGCCTTGCAGGGAAGGTGTACCCTGACTGGGAACCCCTTCCGCTTCTCCACTCACGTGCAACCACCGCACAATTCTCTGTAGGGCTGTGGTTCCCTCGGGTGGTGCTGACTCAAAGACATGGCCGAGTGTGCCCAAACTGTGGCAGAGAGCCACCCTTCCTTCAGGTCAGAGCTGGGCTGAAGCTCCAGGAGTGCTTCTGCAAGACCCAGATGAAACCTGGCCTCAGATCTTTGCAGCTCCAGCTAGTCCGGGATGAATGCACCACCTCTGTTAAAGAAAGCTCAGGGCCAGGTTGTCATTTCCTGGTTCCTGGGTCCATTCAGGGATGCCATTTCTGGATGTTTGTGGCAAGCTCCCCTGGGCAGGTCTATGGAGTCTGCAAGGCCATCCCTGCCTGGCCCTTTTCGTTTCTCCCTCTACCACGAGGCAGCTGAGGGCTTAAGAGGGCCTGATCTGTGATCTCTCCCCTCGACATCCTTTGTGCCTGGACCTAAGAATGGAAGCCTCTCACCGCAACAGAGAGGACATTCCCTTGGCATACCAGGGTCCTTGCCAGCCTTTGCAATGAACTTGAGAAAGAATACCTTTCCAGGATTGAAAACACTCCCACTATTCATATTCAACTCAGTCTTTTCAGATGAAAAAAAGTTCATTACCAGACATTAAATGTAATTGTAAAATTGACCCAGGGATCGTTTCCTGATAAAATGTGGGCAGTAGGAATGTTCCTGATTTATGAAGCCTTTTTTGGGCAACTCTGAATCCTCCCAGCTCTTCAAGGGAGGCCAGTCTCAAGTGAACTCATTTTAATTAGATAAACTTTCTAATCAATATGTGAACAGATCAATCAAAACAGCGGCTTTAAAATGAGTGGCTAGAGGGGTGTTTCTGAAGCTAATGGCTAGAAGAATATTTCTCTGAATTGAATTCACTTGTTAGCATAATAGGAGATTAAACTGTAATTAGTGGAGCAGGTTTTGAAGAGAAGCAATCTTGAGTCAAAACAAAACAAACAAAACAACCCACCCACCCCCATTAGCCAAAAAAGCTGTGAACGCACATCGATCAACAGTGTCCAGGAACACGTGAAATTTCCTTGTGCTCTGCAGTATTTAAGATGGCTTGTATTTTGCCTAACAGGGGGCTCTGCTTTTCTTTGCCAATTCCATTTTCAAATCCACTTCATCTTTGCAGGTTGTTGTATCGACAACAGTCAACGTGGACGGCCACGTGCTGGCCGTGTCAGACAACATGTTTGTGCACAACAATTCCAAACACGGGAGGCGGGCCCGCCGCCTAGACCCGTCAGAAGGTACGGCCCCTTCTTATCTGGAAAATGGTAGGCACATGTTACATGTCTTTTTTTATTTGCGATGCTTCTTTTTCTTTGCACCATCCTTTATGTTCATTCATGTGGAGTTACTCTCACCAGGCCCCCGCCCTTGGTCAGACCTCCTGCACCAAGGCAGGATGAGGGGGTGTCCCCGAGGTGGAAGGGGAGACAGCCCTCCTAGGCTTTCTCTTCTCCTTTATTGAACAGCGGGACTTTCCCATTCACCTGCCACGGCCTTCATGTTTCCAGGCGTTCTTTTGCTTACTGCTTTTCTTGCGATTTTAATTTATTTGGTTTTATTTTGGTTTGTCGGAAGCGCCCATCCAGAAGCTCATACCCAGATACCTCGTGCAGGCCCAGTGGGTGGTTACATCCTGGTCCAGTCAGCTCCGAAGGGACAGGACCATTTCCTGTCCCTGGCTGGAGTGCGTGTGCATGTGATCCACGTGTATGTGCGTGTTCACACAAGAGTGGGGGCAAGGAGGAGGGGGTGAAATACCAACCAGCATACGTTTTTTTTTTTAACCAAATGCTTTCAATTGATTGACTTCTTATTTTGTTTGTTAAAAGAGAAGGGTTTCCATAAGGGTGGTAGGTAGGGAGAAAGGTTCTTGGATATCAGGTCGGAATGCAGAAAGACTCAGACACAGTGGGCCTTGCGCCGAGCCCCTCAGGCACATCCCACTTTGTGCTCTGCACAGCACCCACAATTGAACACATCCCCTTTAGAATAAGAGCCACTTCCCCCATTAAACATTTCATAATAATTACGAGATTCTGACCAATATGAATTGTGGAGAAAGTAATGTGAGTGTTTTTTTAAGTGAATTGCAAACAAAACAGCATGATCGAATCCTTTAGAGCAAAGAGCCTGTAAAACTAAATGGTTTTAAGACAAATCCTCTATCCCGAGGTCCCACATTCGAGAGCCACACACGAGGCAGACAGATGCACGCACAGGAAAATGAATGAAGCGTGTGCAGATTATCAGCGTGAAATATAATTCAGACAAAAACTGGAAGACAATTTATGAATCTGCTGTGGTCCACAAAAATAAACTAATTTGTTTTTCTACATTAATGACTAAGGTATAAGAGAACAAAAATATAATAATTAAAGGTCGCCCTAAGCACCGATGTCATTAGAGCCTGTGACGTATTGTTTATCTCCTTCCCATGCACTGAAGGTAGGTGTGTGTTTTGCTTAGCAACCGTCACTAATGAGGTTCACAATTAAGAAGGTTGAATCCCCGGTCCTCAGTTCCTCGCTTCCCTAGAGAGTGGAGCTTTCACGCAATAGGTTCAAGGGGCCTCCCCAGCCCTCTGGTGTTAGGTTGTAGTCTAGGTCCAAAATCAGCCTCCTCTAATGAGCTATTATGATCTGAGCAAAGTACAAGTATTTATTTTTGTAAGTAGCATGAAAAAGCATTTGACTGTAAGCAGAAAATGTAGCGTTTAGAGAAATAAAGGCCACTAGTGGGTACCTTGGAGATAAAACCCAACTAATCAAAAGCTATTTGCAGAAGCAGTCTTGCTCAGGATTTTTTCCTGTTTGTTTCTCGACATTTAAACCAAGTCAGTTCCTTGCAAGAGATTGAAATATCTTGTCCCACCCTAGAAAGTGACTACTAATTTAAAAATGCCAATAGGGTGACTCTGAGGACTAGCATAGACAGATCGTTAAGAAAAAGGCATTTGTCATAAATAGTAGGGTTATTTATTTTTTTGTAATTAATACCCAGTTATCAAGTGCCCTAGAAAAAAATGGCAGGGCTTATGCTTCTGTCACTTCCTGAGAGAGTTGACACTTAGGAAGTTCCTTTTAAGTCTGCGCATATTTGTCCCCCAAACCCCTTCCCTCCTTCTGCCTGCTCAGGACAGATTGCAGGGGTGGGAGGCTGGCTCTACATCAGTCCCACATCCTTTAAGGAAAGTGCCCCCCAAAACCGCAGATCTGTGCTTGCGTGCAGCCTCTCCTAGCTAACACCTCATTATCCAATCATCTAATATTCACCAGCAGTGTGTACACAGTCGCTGATGGTTTCCAAGTAAACGAATTCCCCCTGCTGCTGCTGTGGATGTCTGCCACGGCGTCCTTTGAGCTCACAAAAAGCAAGGCAGATTATTTACAGTATTGAACACAAGTGAGGGAAAACAACCATTCTCCCTTTCAGCACAACACAGTAGAACTCAGGCTTTAATTTTTTTTCCTTGTCACTTGTCCCCTCGTAAACGACTCCAACCCTGTTTAAACCTTCCGCGAGCCCTGCCCAGCACCCGGCCTGCAGCACAGAAGCGATTTGCATGCCAAGTGCCGTAATGCGGTTAGGTTTATGCAATAAGGACAACTGAATCCAGGCTGCGGGGCTTTAGCGAGTTAAAGCGAACAGATGGCCCTAGGAGAGGTAAAGGTATAATCCTATCAGCTGGAGTATCAGCCAGCCATCTGGACATCCCAAGCACAATTACAAGACATTTTAGCAGGCAGAACAAAGAAGTCTTCATGAGGCAAGATTAGGCCTGTTTGAGTGCCTCAATATTGTGAATGCAGAGGAAGGTGACAAATGCTGTGATATTACTCAGGAGGGCTGATTAATGGGACCAGGCTGGGGAAGCTGTTTACTAATAGAATACTGGATAGGGTGGAGAGACCCCAAAAGAAAGGAAAAAAACCCAAAGATATGGGTCTCCAACACGGGTTTCCAAGTTGAGTCACGCTCCCGTTTTGACATGCTCATCCCAGCCATTGGGCTCCCTGGCCACAGGATAAGCCAGTCCCCGCAGGCCCTGGGGAGAGCCGGCGGGGGTCACGATGGGCAGAGGGTGTTCCTTGTGAGCGCCTCTTCTCCCAAGTAGCTGAGAGGATCCTCAGAGTTAAAAACAGGTCATGGTGGCGCATGTCAGATCCGCAGGGGAGACTCGCCACGCCTCCTTTCTCTGGACCCTGGCAGCTCGGGGCCCCAGGAGGGTGGGCCACGCTGAAAGCTGCAGACCAGGATCTGTCTTCAGGGATGCCTCCCATCACAGGGCCAGGCCGGGAAAGAGATGGGGAGTGTGGGGGCTCCCTGTCCCCACTGCTTCCCTGCTCCTCCTCTGCCATCTTCAGCTGCCGGGCCCAGCTCCTGTCATCTGCTTGAGTGTATTGTGCGCGTATATCATTAGATCTCTAACGCTGTCTGTGTAATTCATTTTGCTATGGTTCCCATTGAACACATGTTCCCTCTCTATATGTGCACTGAAATGTATGCAAATACAGGCAGAAGGAAGATGGCTATCACTGTGGAGGAGGCCAAGGCAGGCCCGTGTTTTCTTTCCGCTGAGAAGCACTACAAATTCCGAGATGATGTGGCTTTCCACTGGGCCACAGCTGCCAGATAGCAGTCTCTTGTGCATGCAGTAGATCCTGGATTCTTTTTTTCTTTTCTCACCTCCAAAGTAAATTTGTTTACTGTAATTTTTTTTTTTTGTGAATTATTTGCCATAATTGGCTGTGCTGATGAAGGTCACCCCCTTGGAGGAGACTTGTCAGTCTTTAGAGAGCTGATCCTTTTCAAATGCTCTCCATGCAATTAAGAAAAGCAAATGTCATTCGGAAGCCTCAGAAATGAAAATTTGTATGAACTTATTAGCATGAAGTCAACAGCGCTAGTTAAGGGCAGGTTCCCAGTGTGTGCTCTGCGCCTCTGCTGCGGAGGGAGATGCGCGTGGAATGAGCAAATATAACCCCCGCTAGTCCAACATTAAAGCAAACAAAGGAAGGTGGCATGTCGGCGGTGTGCTAAACAACAATAGCTAATGGTGATTAACTAGACAGTGTCTGCACGGCGCTGCCTCTGACCTGTCAGGGAAACCACGGCACGCGGGCTTCCGGAAAACTCCCGCTTATGAAGATGTGCAACCGGATCTGACCCAGAGTCTAAAAAGATGATTTATCTGAAGCCGAGCTGCACAGGGGCTCAAATAAGATGAACAACCTAATAAGGCCCCAAGATGTCCTTTGGAGGGCTCTTGTCTGCAGCTGGAGAGCCGTGGGGGAGCAAAGCCAGGAGCTGGCGGGGTGGTGGGGGGCGGGTGGCTTGGTTAAGCCACTAATTGTTTACCAAGCTTAGTTACTACATTTTTGGGCCAGTAGCCCTCGAGGTTGCTGTGAGCGACGGAAGGGCACCAAAACAGCAAGGGTACTCCTCGGGCCTCAGGGTTGAGTCCCTTATTCTAGGGTTCATCTTTAACCCCCAACACCCCCAAATGCTAAGGCAGGACAAAGAAGGGATGCCACCTCTGGGTGTCCCAGGGCTTAGTGTAGAGGCTTCCTCTTCTCTTGGAGGACTGAGGCCTGGGCCTCCCGCCATTTAGGGTGTAATTGTGTCCAAACATCAGCAAGGAGACCTGTACATCGAAGAGGCCACCTGGCAACCATTACAGAGGCCTACATGGCCCATTCTTCCTTGTGCACCAAAGGTAACCTCCCAGCTCACCTAAAGGGTAGAGTAGTCTGAGGGTCCTGAGGATAGTGTCCTGGCCCGGGCTGCGGAAGCCCTGCAGGTGACAGGCTCCGAGGCTTTGGCAGGCGTGGGCAGGCATGCAAACAACCCCTCCTTTGCATGGGAGCCCATGTACAAGAGGCCATCAAAGGCAGTTTAAAAGGTCTGCCAACACCATGTAAAGGAAGGGCTGATCAAAGCCGGCCTCCACCAGGCCTGCAGCCCTCAGCCCCGGCCCTGGCCTCCTGCTCAAGGCTGCCGAGGGCACCGTGCTGGGACTCCTGCCTGCCTGTCTCCCTGGGCTGTGGCCTCTTGGTCCCCTCCCCCCTGCACCCTCCTTCTGCTGTCTGTGTGCCCCCAACCCCTCCCGCCCCAGCAGGGCTGCCTCTGCGGCCGGTGCAGCAGCACCATTGTAATAACTCATGCAAATGCGAGAGCTCCCGAGACAAAGAGAGGTCACGCCAGCGGCGCGGGGATCCCTGTCGACAAACAATATTAGATGTAAAATGTGTACCTTTGACAAAAGTATTAATATAGTGCCTTTGATTTTTTTTCCTGATGAAAAGTGAAAAGTAGTAATTGTGGAGTGACAGAGGAAAATGAAGTTTTGAACTAAAAGGCAAAGTTCGCGGATGAAAAAACCCAACCCAATTAGCTGCTTATGAGGAATCGAAATGCAAGGCATTTGCTCTTCCATCTCCTTCAACAACCTTTTGATTGACTCTGCTTAGATCTGTACAGCAAAGCAGATAAATCGACATGCCACATGCATGCAATGCTTAATCATTTGTAATAGTCATATTTGCGCTGACACATAATTTGCTATATCAAGCCATTTTTTTCTCGCTCACTAGTATTCCGCAGCTCGGCCTTTCCTTTATAAAACATTTAATAGTTTGCTTTAAACACATCAACATGCTGATCTACGGTTGCCCTTTGCGTGCCGCCTGGAGGAACGGCGCGCCTCTCCTCCCGCGGTGGCCGCGGGACGCGCGGTGGCCGAGCGGCCCAGCGTCGGAGGAGGACGGGGCTCTAAGGTCTGCCTTCTCTGTCTTGTGTGAGCAGCCACTCCGTGCATCAAGGCCATCAGTCCCAGTGAAGGCTGGACCACGGGGGGTGCCACCGTCATCATAATTGGCGACAACTTCTTTGACGGGCTGCAAGTTGTATTCGGAACTATGTTGGTGTGGAGCGAGGTAAGCCCGCGGACTCGGTCAGCTTCGCGCTGTTGCTGTCTTCATGAATGGATTTGACAAGCTGTCAATAGTGTATTGACACAAGGTGCCCTATGGCAAATTCCCCTTTTAACACACTGCACTGTTCGCCTGTGGCAGCAGCTTCTCCCGTGGGTGGCTACGGAACACCCCCCTGCCCTGCAGCCCTGGGGTTTAAAACCTGCCATCGAGGTCCCCCGTCCACTGGAACAATTAGTGCTAGAATTACGAGAAGCAGGTTTAAGGAGACATATGGTGGCAATTTTCATATGAATGATGCCCTGTGGCCTTTCCTGCAAACTAAAACCTGGGATCATTTGCAGATATTTTTCTTAAAAAACACTGTAGGTCCCGGGACTCTGGGTGACAGCTAGGAGGGGGCATTCCAAGACGATGGTCCAATTTGTGCTCATTTTGGTAATTATATCCAACTGGCAAGTGTCCGCCTCTCATAGCCAGCGCCGCTGAGCGCCTGTTCACCGTGTGGTTTTTGTAGCTGATAACTCCCCATGCCATCCGAGTCCAGACCCCGCCGAGGCACATTCCTGGCGTCGTCGAAGTGACCCTCTCCTACAAATCCAAGCAGTTCTGCAAAGGTGCTCCTGGGCGCTTTGTCTACACCGGTGAGTTCACAGCTCCAGCTTCTGCGGGAAAGCGGTAGAGGCCTCCTCCCCACCAGGAGGTGCTCATGAGGGCACGGGAGGACTGTACAGAGAGGGCAGGGGTCTGTGGAAAGACAGACAAAGCCCCCTTGGCCTGTGGGTTTAGCTGGATATGCAGTTTCCACATCTTTGTTTGAGATGGCGTATGAAGCCGTGGATGGGGCAGCCCCCGTGGCTGTGTGACCTTCGGTACCTCTCTCCCTTTGTGGGGCTTCTCACCTGTAAACAAAGTGGCAGGGGGAGTCATTAGGAACAACAGCCACCCAGCTACCACTGCGGCAGCTGCCCACATGCCTGGCTCCATGTGGGGCTAGGGGCCGTGTGTCCACCGGTCTCTATGCCTCTTCCCCGTGGTGTCACTGCTGTTCTCCTGCACAGGCCGAGGCTCAGAGAGGTGATGAAGTCAGTGCCCGGGCCACACCCCGGGTAAATGCAAGGCCCATGTAAGCCTGGTCTTTCTTGCTCCAGCCTGGGGTCTTGAACCCTGCATGACGCTGCTTCCTAAAGGAGATCCGTATTCTTTGAGGGTGCGGGACAGACTCCTGTCAGCAGGAAGTGTGGCCTATGCAGTTACACATGCTTGCTATCTTACAGTTGTTCTATACAATGCTTTGTCCACTCAAGGGCTGAATTAGCCCCACTTGTTCGGGATTGCTGTTGAGAAATGCCGTAACTAAACTTCAAATTGGCTGGGCATGTTGGCTCACACCTGTGATCCCAACACTTTGAAAGGCAGGAGAATCACTTGAGTGCAGGAGTTCAAGACCAGCCTGGGCAACAGGGCAAAACCCTGTCTCTACAAAAATTTAAAAATTAGTGGGGCATGGTGGTGTATGCCTGTGGTCCTAGCTACTCAGGATGGTGAGGTGGGAGGATCACCTGAGCCCGGGAGGTCAAGGCTGCAGTGAACCTTGATTGAGCTACTGGACTTCAGCCTGGGTGACAAAGCAAGACCCTATCTCAAAACAAACAACTCACTTCAACTTAAGGCATGTTTGCATTTTGATTTCTAATCTTAGCCAACTCCAAAGGCTGTGACATTTGAGAGATGTTTTTAATGATGGACAGTGCCTGCTGGAACCGAGTGACAGTGAGCAAGATGAATACTTACTATCTGTGGGCTTGACCTGCATGTGCAGTGGCTGGGTGACTGTGGCCTGGTGTCCTGGGGTGGCCATGAGGACCACAGCAGGAACCTGGACTAGAGGATGGGGCTTCAACTCCTGCCATCACCACCTGAAGGACGCCCAATGGGACACAGTCCTCTCCTCTGTCCAGAGAGCGGGTGACATGGAGGATGCTAAGCCCCCTCTGCTTTCAGAAGGTTTAAAGAGGCAATAGACGTCCTTCAGCCTCTTCCCTTCTTAGGAAGGACGGAGTGAGCAAGAAAGGCAAGATATAAATCCTGCCGCTGCCCACTGTACATCAGGCCCAGCGTCACCCCAGGGTGTGCCTGGATGGGTCTTGGTGGCAGGCCAGGGCTGCTGTCCCAGAGGTGTCCAGTCGACAGCTCAGCACTCTCCATGTGGTTAGGATGGGAGAGGCAGTGCCTGCCCCACACTAGGGGCCACCTTCTGTGGGACCAGCACACACAGGACCAGGCGCTCAGGAGCTGCCAGAAGACCACAGGGGAGGTGGGCATAGCAAAGAGCTGATGTCCGGACACCTCTTGGCTTCCATGTAAGACTCTGAGATGGAGAGAGGGCTGCTCCTCTAGGTTTTGGAATCCCAGTGTTTTAAAAAAATAAAGACATGTCACAATGGGGTTCAAAAAATTGGGGAACCTTTTAAACACTTATATACACTTCAACAATTAAGAACTTTTGCTGTGCAACAAAGTGCAGCATCTGTAGGCCCCAGGTACCTGGGAAAGGCGAGATGTCAGAATCCCACCGTGGGCTGGGGGGTCCTTTCTGGCACCTTGCCGGTGTGTGCTGAAGCCACACGGTGCACATTTCCACATGCCTCCTGTGCAAACTGTTGGTATGTGTACCACATGCCCCTGAGTCCCTTGGCACATCTGGCTGTAGAGGCTGTAGGCCCCGTGCAAAGACCTGGTGTTTGCAGACAGACTGGGACCTGGGCATATGCTTACTCCTGTGGTCCCAATTTCTCCTCTGCTCTATCTGGCAAGGTTTTGGCAAGGATCGGGGATGACTTATGTACAGTGTCTAACACATGGCAGGCACTCCATAAATGGTCCTTCCTGTGGAAAGTCACTGAGGGTGAACTTCGGCTGGGTTCTGTGGGACTCTGCTCGAGTCCTGAGCTCCTTAGGAAAGCGGGTGTTGATTATTGCTTGTGAGCCATGGAGCAGC
Organism: Homo sapiens; assembly: GCF_000001405.40. Classification (NCBI taxonomy): domain Eukaryota; kingdom Metazoa; phylum Chordata; class Mammalia; order Primates; family Hominidae; genus Homo; species Homo sapiens. Next base: position 129,864,783 of record NC_000010.11, on the reverse strand, counting down.
ACCTGAGCTTCGGCGGGCACATGGCAGGGGTGGGCTCCTGTGTAGGTGCCTGTGTCTGCTGCGGGGTCCTGGTTTGTGACATGAAAGTGACATGTGTTTGCATGTGGCAAGACTGACTTCCTCTGCACAAAAATGGATGAATAAGCCCCCTGTTCTTACACTGGACTGTCAGCCCATCCCGGATGAATGCTTTAGTGGATGCCTTCAGTGGATCCTTTCATGAGTTCAGATCTTTGCATATGTGGGCTTTTTGGTGGGGAAGTCTGCACAGCTATTGTTAGAAATGAGACTTTTTTAAGAAAGAAGATTGCTGAAAGGTCCAGTCCTTTCTTTGCACTTTGCCTGCTGTCTCCTGGGGATTCTGTCCCCAGTGCTGCAGAGAAAGGCCTTGGGCTGTGCATTTGGAGACAGTTGCGGATGTGTAGGGTGGGAGGAGCTGCCTGTCACTGGCTGGCAGGTATCACATGGTGTGGCGGAGCCTGTGATGTCAGCGTCCCCCCAATTCCCAGCATGGCCGGGCCCTGCTTTTGCTGCTCTGGGGCTGGTGCAGGGAGGGGGCAGCTCTCTCCTGTCTGTAGCCTGTTCCTGTTGCCCTCCAGCCAGGTAGGATGCCTTCCTTGGCCAGGGATATCCTCTCCAGGTCTCATATCCTCCTACTAAGGGACCAGTGGACCCCTTAGTTCCAGCCCCCACCCAGCCTGTCCAAGTGCCCACCTTCTATATCTGCAGCCCATATTGTGCCCACTCTGGGGCTGACTGGGCTTCTCAGGCACAAGCTCAGGGTCCTGGCTGCCCGAAGCTTCAGGGATTTCCTCCATCGAGACATGCTCCCATGAGTGGGTGTTTGGTGATGCTTGCCACAGCCCAGCCTTTCCTGGCTGGAGGTTAACCTATTGGCTCCCCCACACCCCAGTCATTAACAGGAATATCCATTTCAAAGGTGATGTAAGGGATACAGGCTCTACAGGCTGGGGAGCAGAGGAAAGGTAGGGTCATGACCTGTCTGACCTGGAAGCTTCTGTCTGATTTGCATTGCCCCAAAATTGATGGGGACAATGAGGTAATCACCGGGAATTGCACTCCCCCGCTGAAAACTGAGCCAGCCCCTTTGCATGTCACGACGTAGGCACCGTCCCCTGGGCGTCTGGTTCCCATCAGTGTCCCCCAGCCCCGGAGGCTGCCGGGACACCCTCACATTTAACCTTCCCCACGTGAGGCCGGCTGGGGCCGCCAGGCGGAGGGCTAATGAACCTGTGCTCAGAGGAGGGGCCGCCCGCCAGAGGCTGGGAGGGGCTTTGCAAAGGGCCTCAATGATCTGTTTACAGTGATCTGAGAAACACCAGATTTTTCTGAACCAGACCCTATTAGTCAACCCCGAGTGGGAAGGGGAAGGCAGGCCAGGCCCCATCCATCCAGGCCCTTTTGCCTGCTGCTTTCAACTCCTATAAAGACACAATTACCTTGGGAGGCTGTGGCGGTTCAGTTGATTAGCACGGTGAATTAAAAGAATGAGTCACAAATGACATGTCCAGCGCTTCCATACTGGTTCTTTGTATTCCCATGTGCCTCACCCTGTTGTAAGAAGGTCAGAAATTAGAGAGAGAGAACAATTTTCAAGCGGCTAGCACTTAGGAGCAGAATTAACAATCACTCTGTATGTAATTGCCAGTTAATAGTAAATTGCCTTCTAGACTGTAAAATGCAATATAAACTGGTGGGCACCTAAAATTAAATTAATGAGATATTTGCTGCATTTAAAAGTAAATAGTGCAAATTAATAACTGAGTGCAATGCTTGTTTTAATATTTGTCTAACAGTGTGCCATTTGCTTGTTTAATAGTAATTAAAATAGTCCCAGAATGTCCTACCTGAGAAACTCGCAGTATACACAAATTGGGCAGTTTCGCATTTATAATTTCACCCGTAGAAACGCATCAAATGGTTAAGAGTAATAAAAGAAATTATTTTTTAATTAGAATATAAGCATTACAGTGTTATTTGATTAAGACAGATTGGAATTTGTATGCATCTAATTGAAATTATGTTACTGAGGAAACTACTTTCATAGACATGTTTTCAAGTGTGAAGCATCATGGCACAAATGCGTGTGTTACTGTTTTCCAACAGTGTCCATTTGGCAGAATGGTTTCCTATTAAACAAAAGCACTGAGGCCGGTTGGGAGAGGTGGCTTGACTTCCAGCATCATTCATGGGACCCTGGGGACGTGGCTGGGTCGGGTGTTCTTACTCTTGGTTTCTTGCACCCGGATGGTTGATTGACCCACCCTCCTTTTAGAGATTTCTTTTGCTCGATTAAAGAAATTACCACAAATTACTGGGAGTCAACATGTTGTCTGCGACAGACTGAACCCAGTTACTAAACAAGATATTGGCAGTCGATAGCAACCACATCCGAAGTGGACACAGGGAGCTCTTGACGGCGGAATACCTGGACCGCTCCCAGCCCTGGGATGCAGTTACTAGATGGGAACATAAAAGTGATTATTTTCTGCACAAGGACGTTCATTCAGCTTCAGGCTTATGAAATCGTTACTCAACCAGTAATTGCTAACAGTTTCTGTTCTTTCTGATACAGTATTTATGGTTTACTTTCCTTCTTCTTTCTTTTAAAGTCATAATGTGCCTTAAAACTGGCAGTGTGTCAAGGGGCGACGCTGTGTCCTCCAGGGCTGTCCTGGCCCTGGGTGAGGGTTTCTCCCGTGTCTCCTGGCGGGTGTCCACAATTTAGTCCCACTTCACTCCCCTTGTGAAAGCACTCATGGTTCTTAAGTGTGTTAAAGATCTTTTGTGTGCATTGAGAGGCGGTCCCGTCAGCACTGCGGAGTCGACTGTGCCCTTCGACCACGCCAGCCCCAGCTTGCTGTCTCCCAGGCCGGTGCTCCTCAAACAAATTACTTGGATGCACAGAGCAAATGATGCTTAATTGCCGCCCACAAATCATACTATTTTTACTATGCTCAACTCAATGCTAATGCCTTCCTTCCATGTAAACCACATGCTTTCCTCATGGGTCCTGGAGTTTGGGGAATCTTTGGCTCAATTCTGTCAGTGACTCTCATCATCCCGTGGTGTGGCCAGGGGCCCCCCGTGGCTGACTGTTCGTTCCTGTCTGCAGTGGGCCCTCCTGCAGCCACACTGGCTGTCCTGCTTCAAACCTACCAGTCAATGGTGTCCAAGGATGTCTGTGTCCCCCCCATGATCCCCAGTGAACCCCCCAAGAATAGACACCCTCCAGGCACCTTTGCTTTTCTATCAGGTTGGTTCTATCAGAGAATAGCTTGGGTCTGTGTGTTCAGCTCAGGCTGACTCTGGACCTGCCCAGAATCGGGATAATCACAAGATAATGCGTGACTCCAACAACACAACTTCTCCTGACGCCACTTTAGTTTTTGTCCTTTGTTTAAATATGGATGGCAAAGGGTGACTTTTTTTTTCGTACCAAGTGGGGTGGCGTGCATCTGTGCCTCAGCCCCTTCCCCTGGGAGTGAGGCCCACTGCCATCACTGGGGTCATTTCAAGGGTCCTCAGGGCCCCTTAGGCAGAGCCACAAAGGAAGGGAGGGAGGGCAGGCTCCCACCGCTGTCCTCCCCACTGCTACGGCACAGCATCAACCCAAACCATGATCAGTTAATCTGCCAGCATGCTAAGTGGGTGCTGGGGTGAGATTCGATAACACGGCCCTTTGAAGAGTGGGGCCGGGAGGGCTTCCAGGGTCACTGCTGTCCCCTCTCTTTCCTGTCTCCAAGGAGGCCAGGAGAATGAGACACACCGTTTGTGCTATTGCACAAGTAGACTATTTGTCCTAATCAGTGACACCCATTTACTAGAATTGCTTAAAATGAACTATACCTCATACAGAAATCGCACATTTAGAGAGTTCCATTCATCATCTGAAAATTGAGGGCCAGTAAACTTTTCTGCTCCTCCAGTGGGATCATAGGCATGCATCAACATGTTAAAAATGATTGGTGAGAGGGAGCTGTCACCCATTTATCAAGGAAAAGAACATTATTTGCTAATTTCCCAACCAGGCTGGTGACAGGGTGCTTCGTCTTTAGACCCACGGTGACCAGCATGGCCTTTTTGTTATTAGTACAAGTCAAGCGCTTTTGGGCTATTGCTAACAAGACACATTTGTCTGTCATCCGAGGGGGCTTTGGTCGTTTTCCAAGTGGCTGTGACCAAGTCTGCACCCTGCACCCCGATTGGCTGCTCTCATCGGGGCCACGCTAACCCAGGAGGAGAAATGAGCTGATAAATCACAAAGTTTCCATGTCAAGGTGAAGGTATTGACTCTTCAGCACCAAACCTGACAAAATGTAGCAGACAGGGGACGGCCATTCATCTTCCCCAAAGGACAAAAGGGTCATCTGGATTTCACTTGGTAATTGTTGGGTTGAGGATGGCAGAGGCGGGCCCGGCCCTCTTCCTGTTAAGCCCCCTGAGTAGGTGGGTCCTCTGGTCCCGCTCCTCACCCACCTTGCGATGGTCCTTCTCGGTGCTGCAGGGAGGAGAGTCGGGGGTAGAGCGGGATCACACTCCGGACTTTTGAGTTTCTGATTGAGTAGGACGTGCTTCTGAAAACAGCTTGGAGTGGGTCCAGGAGATGGTGTGGGACTGTGGGAGAAGAGCAGCAGACCATTTAGAACAAAATAAGTGTGATCACCTGAAGTGCAGAATAAAGCGGGGATAATAACATGTAAAATTAAATATCACAGATCACTCCAGCCACAACTCCCACAGGTTAAACTCTGAAGACCAAGGGAGACATCAGCACAAACATGTCGGTAGAGGACCTGAAACAGAAGTGCGTGGTTCTTTCAGCACCAAAGAGGAGGTGAAATAGATCACTCTGTTGTCCTGGAAAAATAGGAACAAGAACCAAACACTGCCTCTGTTTCTCTTTCTGGCTTATAAGTTACCAGTGCCTCAAGCTCCCTCCCACCAAATCTACACGGCTGGACATCAGGCCCAGTGCTAACAGCCCATGGCTGGAATCGATAGACTATGTTTCGCTCCAGCGTGTGCCCCGCCAGCTGGGTCAGTGACAGTGCTGGAGCCTGGCTGCTCGTGGTTTCATGTGAGGCTGTTTTTGGAGGGTCCTGAGACCTGTCTGTGCACGTTGGCTCTAGGCTGAGGCTTGGATTACAAAAGCCTAGCCTGAGAAAAAGTGCTTTTACAAAACTATCATTTCAATCAGTTGGGCCTTTTTAATTTGTTGTAGAAAATGCATAATGAGGCTAGGCGTGGTGGCTCATGCCTGTAATCCCAGCACTTTGGGAGGCTGAGGCGGGTGGATCACCTGAGGTCAGGAATTCAAGACCAGCCTGGCCAACATGGTAAAACCCTGTCTCTACTAAAAATACAAAAAAAATTAGCCAGGTGTGGTGGCGCACGCCTGTAGTCCCAACTACATGGGAGGCTGAGACGGGAGAATCTCTTGAACCCGGGAGGCGGAGGCTGCAGTGAGCCGAGATTGTGCCACCACACTCCAGCCTGAGCAAGATAGACTGAGACTCCATCTCCAAAACAAAAAAAAAGCAAAATGAGTAAAACGTAACTTTTGTCTTTTAGAGTGGCTTTGAAATAAAGCCACAACAACAAATAGAAGGCTGTCTGTCAGCGATGTGGACTGTTTGCTACACTAAAAGGCAAAATCAAAGTTTTCAGATGCTTTTCACGAGCACATGGAGCAACTTGACTTCACAAGGAACCTAAGTGCGTGCAGAGGGCACACTCTCGAAGGGTCATTACGGAGCGTGCGAAATTTTAAATAGAGAAGCTCCCGTTGAGATAGGAGGCCGTGGCAGATTTTGGTCAGCATTGGTGCAAATCATCTTGGGAGGAAAGTTTCTTAGAGGTACTGCGTGGCCGGGGTCATTCTTTTCTTCCTTTCCTTTCTGGATGCCACCCTCTCCCTGCACTCTTGAGATAGCCCTTTCTGTGTCTTCCCAGATAGAGAGCTTATAGCCTGGCACAGTGAGCCCTGGAGCCTCTGAGGCCTGGACCCGCACTCTAGGCATCTGAGGAAGCCTAAAGTCAGGAAATCCAGGGGGTCGGATTAGGGAGGGTGGATTCTGCGAGGTTTTTCTCCATCTTTTTACCTCCTTGTCTTCTCTAAAGGAGGCCCTTGGCTGGGAATCTCCCCACTGGCCCTTTTTGTCTCAGCCCCAGGCACCCAGGCTGGGGTCAGTCAGATGCTTGTTGATGGCCATCCCTTCTAGCCCTAGTTCGGAAGACCCACTTGGTGTTTTTCCTAAGGAACATGCTCACACTGCAGAAACATCCCACCCAAGCTTAGGCCTGTGGGCACTGAGCTTCCAAACAGGCACCAACCTGAGGGTGGCGGCTCCTCCAGGGCTCTTACGATGGAACAGCCTTCAGGACAGGTGGCATCGAGACTGCTTTACCACATGCTTGGCATCAGGCTGTGGCCTGTCCCAAACTAAAGACTGTAAACAGGCCATAGGCTAGGGTGGTGATTGTTTCAGAAGTCCACTGAGTCTTAATACCCTGTAAGGGAGAGAAACGTGTCACCGGCAGACACCACGGAGGGTATTGGGCTGCAGCTTCACATGCCCACTGCCCAGGGAAGCTGGCATTTGGTATGTACAACCCCAAGGACTGGGTTCCAGGCCATGCCCTGGCTTTGCTGTGGCACCATGATAGTGAACACCTGCCACGTGCCCGAGCCCCGTGTTCACCAGGGGACTGCTCCCCTTCCTCACCACCCCAGAGTCCACCAACATCGGTGATTCGCCTTTCCTGTGTATTTGCAAAATGCCAGCTGGCGGGAATGATCTGTAGGACAAGCGTAGTGTGAGCACGGTGTCTTATGTGAAGGTGTGGCGTGCTGTGGAAGCTCGCCATCAACATGGTTTGGAATCTGCCCCTGGCTCCCAGTGTTCTCCTACCTGGACACAGTAGGTGATACTGAGAGGCGGGGAAGCTACTGGTTCTCATAGGCGCTCATGGTGGGGGTATCAGGTGGGGTGACATACCTGCCCACCCGGCAGTGGGTCCCTTGCCAAGGGAAGTGACAGTCTCCATCCTGGCAGCCCGGGGCCTGGTATCTGGATGGCAGTTGGCACGTGTCTGGTGCAGAAGCCACATTTGCTATCACACTGACTTGAGGTCTTGCGGGAATGAAGCGGGACATGGAAAAGTTAATAAAATAGTCAAAATGGAGAAGGCACTCCATCCGATGACAAGAGGAGCAGATGAGGCGCTGGCAGATTTGAGAGGAGGGGCGCCCTGGGGAGATGGTTGGGAGGTGGCCGTAGAGGCTGTACCCCTGGAGGCTGAGCAGCAGGCGTTGAGGAGTTCCAGGCCAAGGAGTGCCAGCTGGGCATGGGGCTGTGAGGGGGGAGGCCCAGGGCTGGGTTGGGGGCTGCCGTGGCAAGAAGGAGGTCAGATGAGGACACGATGGCCTTCTGGTCCCAGTACACCTTGGCATTTGGGAACCCCTATGTGGAAATAGGACGGTTTTATAGGAGACACATAATCCAGCATGCTGTGTTCAAGGGCTGTGCTTTTGGGGATTCCAGTGTTTACATTAATCTTGGTGATGTCTTTAAAGCGTCTCTGCCTTAGAACATTCCTTTTCTTCTTTATGCAGCCTGAAAAACCAGGAGTTAAAAATGCCTCCATGGAGATTGAAAAGGGTAATAATGTTGGGAAACAGAGTTATGCTCCCTGAATGGGAATCGATTCCCCACACCAGGCCCTTCCCCCACTGCTGGGCTCTGTCTTGTTCACACCTGTGCGGAGCCCTGTGCTTTTACACAGGCACTGGACACATCTTTATTCTAAACGGCACTCCGGCCCTGGAAGATATTTCCTTAGTACAGATGGAGCTGGCACATATATTCTAATTCAGATGAGAAACGTTAGTTTCACTAAAAACACTGTATTTTGTTCACATATAATTCACATATTACAGAATTCACCCAAAGTATACAATTAAGTGGCTTTTCGTATATTCACAAAGTTTGTGCAACCATCAGTCTAATTCAACAATGTTTTCTTCACACGAAAAGGAACCCCGTGTCCACTAGCTGTTGCCCCATTCCTCCTTCCCTTGGGTAGCGTCTGTCTCTGGATCTGTCCTGGTCCCCAGAAGTGACAGCCGTAGAGAAGTGAGAGCATGGAGGGCAGCCTGTGCCTTGGTTTTCCTTTCCTGCCCTCCCCTAGCTCCTGGCAACCATGAATCTACCTCCTTTCCCTATCCATCTGCTTGTTCCAGATATTTCCTATAAATGGGGCCACACATTATATATAGTTCTTTGTGTCTGGCTTCTTTCACTTTGCGTGTTTTCCAGGCTCATCCCTGTTGTAACAGGTATCAAGGTTTTGCTCCTGTACATGGCTGAGTATTATTCCATTGTATGGATATACCACATTTTGTTTATCCATTCATTCATTGATGAACATTTGGATGTTATGGAAAACACTGCCAGGAACATGTGTGAATACATTTTTTTTTTGTGAACATATGGAAACATGACATTCACTTTGGCTTTTCAAAATTGAAAATGTGATACCTTCTGTGTTGGCCAGATGTCTCCAAGGGGCCTGCATTACTCATTACCTTGAACACCTACTGTGCACATCGCACTGAGTAGGGCAGGCACGTGGCAGAGGGTGACCTGTTGGGTGGCCTTCCTCCTATGGGGAGGGCAGATGCCTGAACAAGTGCATGGGGTGGCTGGGAACGTCCCCACGGGAGTGTGGCCCACCCCAGAGCACAGGACAGGGATGCCTCTGTCCTCAACCCTGGCAGGGACACCTCTGGCCTCGGGAGGGGCTTGGGCTTTGCCAACTCCTTTTTCTGTTTACCTCTGTGTGCAGATTTTCCGCTGGTTTAAAGTGTGCAAATCCATTGCTCAGAGGGTTCTCCACAGAGCATTAGATTTCCTGTTTGGTTCTTAAGACCTCTCTCCTCCCTGCAAAAAGTCTCTGGGAGGCGTGGCAGCAGAGGGACACTTGATGTTCCTTTTTTAAAGAAAAGGATATAGCATTCAATCGCACACATCTTTTTATCATGTTGAGGGTGGCTTTTACTGGGTGGTGTCTCTTCCTTTTGTTTCCAGGCATTTCTCCCCTTAGGTTAAAACGTTAGAACAGCCTTCTTGGGGAGCTTGAGGGTTATAGGATACCTGGGGCCCACTTCCCGACCTCAGAACCTCCGCCTTGGGAAGTGCCTGTCTCCCCCAGTCCCGTCCCCAGAGGCGAAAGCCACGGAGAAGTGAGGAGGCCACGTGCCTTAGTTTTCCGAGCTGCAGGGCTGGACTGGGTAGATGTAGTTTCCACACGACTATAAAAGCCATCATCCAATGTATTCTTTGAGGTATGTAAACAGAATTGTTTGAATGCAATCCAATAGTTGTCAGCAAGGGTATTATTTTGGTACAAGGAAGATGAGCTGTCCCCTTTTCTGTGCCTGGTGTCACATCACAATGCCGCCATCCACTGCCAGGCAGTGGTGAATGGAAGCTGGTCCCTGTGCACGAGGCCCGGTTGGGCTGTCTGTGTGAATTCCAGAACAATATTCCCGATACGAAGGAGGCGGCTCTAATTCCAATTAGAAGTCAAGTGTTTTTCTCAACCTTAGAAGACTTTTCGACAGAAATACCCTGCAGTGAGCGGGTTGGGGGGATGCTGGAGTCACTGGTGTGAAACCCAGGGTGACCCTAGGCAGGTCTGAGCCATCCCCCGCTGGCACTGGGGAGCTCCACGGACGGGAGCGGCCAGGATGCTAGAAAAGCCACTGTCATTTCTGTGAGGGCAAACACAAGGTTTGCCTCTGGGTGTAGGAGGAGGGTGACCTGACGTCTTCCTGCCAGGCTGGGGAGCCAGGCCGGCCCCCGCGGGCAGCGCCCCTGGTGAACGACGCGGAGGCTGCAAGGCCTTTGTGCTTCCCGTGCACACCACAATGCCTGGCTCACCCTGCCGAGTGCTGTGATTGAAATTCATTGCCAAATTTATTGAGAAATTAATGAGAAAAGCTGCAAAGTATTGACTTTGAGAGGAAAACACAACTCATCTTGAATGAGGAGGAAAATGCAGCAATAATTTAGCCACTATTGATCTGGCCCTGTCCATGCATTGATCTTCATTTTACAATATTAATTTGCACCTGCAATCGGCTGCAGAGGGAACCGATTTCATTCCATGGCCGCGTTAATGTGCAAAGCATTAGGTGCTCTTAAGAAGCGGGGTATTACACGTCGTATCAGGAAGGCAGATTTTTTTTTTCTATTTTTGCTTGTTACTGAAATAGACTAAAAATTAATTTTTTTGTCGGACAAAATATGAAAGCAAAAACCCATCTAAAACGTAGCCCTCCTCTCAGCTGCCCTGGCCGCTTTTCATCCATGTGAGGAGCCATCAGCCGCCTGAAACTCCAGCTACCTCTCATCATCATGCCCGGATCAGTTCAAAGTTCATGAAATTTCTATGAGCATTGATCTCGCCCCATTGATTTTTTTTGCAGCAGATCTTTGAAATTTTAATTTCCCGAGCATCTGAATTTCTTATAGATGAAATGCACTTGGAGGAGACAGTTGATGATAAAGTGAAGAACTTAGCATCATTTTAAAGCCTAAAAAAGGGAGAAAAAGCAGGCATTTGCAGACTTTGTGTAATGTTTTTGAGGTGGAATGATGAAGGCGCTCTGGTGGGGGCAAGGTATTCAGGGGGGAGCTAAATATCAATTTTGTCTTCCGTGGCCACACATTTTTAATGCAACTTTTTATACAGTCATTTTTGAAAGAAAAGCTATCTGGAGAAACAGCAGGACAGAAAAACATTCTTCACCGCACAATCATTTGCTCACAGCAGTCTTTATCACCTGGTCAAGTTCACCTAGTTACTTATCAGTGGGACATTTAATAACCTCAAGGTGATATAATTGCTATTGGCATTTTTCCCCCTTGGATTCAGCTGGTTAATGTGTAAACTACTTGTCAGCAAATAGCACTTTGTCACTGAAATCACTAACACCCTCTAGAGGAATGTCTTTGTATTGAGCAATTTAATTTTACTTTATTTAATTTTTACACATTACAACCTGTGTTCATTCAGGCACACTGACGGCTTGCAGTCTGTTGGGGTAGGGTCTGGGTCTCCCTGTTAGTAAAATATACTATATCTTATTTAACAATCCCCATTGCCTTAATTGAGGCGCATTCTTGTCCCTCGGAAAAGGAACTGCAGATGTTCTTATTATGTAGTTATGTTGCTAATGTGAAAAACTGCCTCATTACGAGGATCTGTTTGTAGCTAGAAAATTACTGCGTTATGACAAATGCATGATTGGGAAGCTACAGGAAGATGATCATTATTGAAATGAAACTGGAACTCATTTAATAGCTGCAGCCAGCAGCTGGAATGAAGCAAATGAATGTCTTCCTGTTTTTATTGTTGGAGTCAGGTTTTTCAGGCAGGAAGAAAATTTGCGCTAAACCTAAAACTTCTTGTATCTCTCTCTGCGTGCTGGGCTTGGGCTTAAACAATGGAGAGGCAATGCTAAAAGCGTCTCACTTCCTACCTGCGAGTTCCCCCCTTGTGTGTTTAATGACACTATTTTAAAAACACAACTGTGGCTGGAAGAGCAATTACTCTAGGAGTACTTACAGGCGGCGCACACTGCTCGCTGGCTGGGCTGGTCTCCAGCTCTCCCGGGCAGGGGTGGTCAGGAGGTTGCCATCACAATTAAGCTCTTTCACCCTGTCCCCTCCTTCCTGCCACAGTCCAGTCCTGTTTGCAGGCAGGGAGCCTCCAGGCCTTGGGGGGACCTCAACGCCCTGGACTGCCAGAGTCCCTTGCAGCAGTTCCCTCTGCTCTCGGCTGCTGCTCACAGGATGCCCTTGGGGGTGGATTTCCCACAGCTGGTGGGGACCCACGACCAAGCCCCAGGCATGTAGTAGCTGCTTGATAAAATGTTTGGTGCAGGAACTGGATTTAAGATGGATGGTTCCACTACTCTTTGTAGAAAGTGCTCACTGGCCCCAAACGTGTATGTTTTCCAATCCGAATTTTTCTTTTTTTCTGTGTTATCAACCCAGAAGTACTGAACGTGTCCCCTTGCTTAATTTAATTGAATGACGTTTATAAGTTAACGGACTTGCTATTCAGGTCTAATAAAATAATCATATACATTTTGGGGTATTAGAGATCAACATGAACTCAGGGCGGGGCTGGCTGACAAAGAAGGTTAAGCCATCAAAATGAAAACTACAACCACGTATGTCACAAGAAAGAAAATCCCAGTGCCTCCTGCCCGCCGGTACGTCTCTAATTGCAGCAGGCCGGTTGGAGCTGCTCTGGCCCCAGCTGCAGCTCAGCGCCTGATGCCATTTCTGCTGCCACATTAGCTGCAGCAATCCCAAGTTGAACTGACATCACAGACCGTTAACATTGTATCAAGTGCGGTGTGATGAATCCCCCAGTACACGGGCATGACTTAAATATTTAGAATGCTTCTTCTGTTATGACTTAATGCATGTAAAGTAACGAGATTAACTCCAGTACACTCAAATATATTTAAATATGTATCCTTCCCGAGCTGTAGGCTATTCCAGCGTGCAGGAAGCATTGAGTCTATGTGGTCGTGTCAGGCTCTATTTGTATGACCCGCTCTGGATACTGGCCTGCATATGATAGCCGGATATCTGGCCTTTCACAGGCTGCCCGACTGCTTGCCTCATTTGGCATGGAATGTGATTCCCGGCTATTCTAGCTTCTGATTCATTCAGGTTTTATTGCTGTGTAATTTTCTTATTCTAAAATAAAAGCTCTCCAACAAAAATTACTATGCATTAGGCCGCGGTAGCCTACTCAAATGGATATTAATACAGTTTATCTCTAAAAGGACGAATAATGTATTTGAAACAGATAAAAGGCCCTCCACTAAATGAGGAATGTTAATATCTTATGGCACGGTTAATAAAGAGATATTTCACAGGGGAGATTTGTTTTATGACTTTTGATACAACAGCCTTGTAATCTGACATATCTTAAACGATATAATTTCACACATACATTCATCTCTTATACGCAGCAACCCATCGTAGCAAAATTTGAATTCAGGACAAATAATGGGCACTAATTACTTCTGGGGGGATTTCTTAGAAAACTCATCCTCTCAGATCCAGATATGTGGAATTCCATGCAGAAAGTTGGGAGCTTACAATACGTTTCTCAAAATTTTGAGAAACGTATTGTTTTTTTCCCCCTTCAGTAGAAAATAACATTTGTTTTTGTTGTGTTTAAGGCAGAGTTTAAATTAATTTAACCCAGTGACATGTGTTCGGAGACTAAGCATGCTGCTAAACAATTCCTGGGAATAAATTGCTCGGGAACCAAGTACATTAATTTACGGCTCTCCAGATGCTGACAGATGTGAGGGTGGGGGGAGGACCCACAAATATTAACATAAAACAAATTTGCTTTATTCTTCTTCATATTTCTTCTTCATCCCCGACTTGAGCTCACCCAAGGCTCCTTCTCTAATTATCCACGAGGTCAGTAAGCAAAATTGGGAAGAAGCTGGGAGATCAATACAAATTATCCCTGAGCAAACCAGTGCTGACAGTTTGAATTGCAGCATATGTTTACCCAAAATCAGGCAATTTATCTTAATATCAGCAAAGTAATGCAGCGCAGGTGAAAGGTCAGGCAATCTCTCCCCCTCATAATTACCCAGTTCTAAAACAGGAAAGTGGTATTGATTGGCCTGGCTCGGGGCTCTGTGACTGGACGTGCCAGCGCCTTGCCCTGGCTCGGCAGGGCTCTCGCCCGTAAACTCTGCGTGCGGAGGGCTCATGAGATGTGTGTGAGGCCCCGGTGCTTTCTCCTCCCGTCGGGGAACTTGCCAGTGATGGTGCAGGGCGGTGGTGGGTTCTGTAGGGTTTGGGGGGCTGTGGGCCAGAGGGGCCACCAGTTGGCCAGGCTTTGCAGAACCCAGGAGCTCTGTAGAAGGCAGGTGCTCTTGGGGGCACAGAGGTGGATTGGGAACCCCCACCTTCAGTGATCAGAAGCCTCCCAGAACCACGAATGCGTGTCATTCCTCCTGCAATTTAAAAAGAGAGGGGCAGTTTTTTCTAATTCTTGAACGTGAACTCACTGGGCTTCCAGTAGCCCAGCCCCTGGAAGGGATTTAGAGCTGGAATGGCAGCCCCAGCCCCTTGCCTCGGCCCGCATCCAGCCTGGCAGGAGCCCACAGTGCACAATTACGCCTCACATCCGAACTTCCAATGGAGTGCCGCGCTTATTCTTGGCATTGCTTTCAAGACATAAGTGCTCTTTGGGCTGAACTGAGAGGTGAAAGGGGCCCATGTACTTACCCTGCTTTCACATATTTTTGGGCATCAAAGAAGAATATCAATTCAACTGAAACATTGGAAAGCGTCTCTCCCAGAATGAGAGTGTATGGTTATTACAAGTCATAAAGCTTCTGAAAGCTTGCATTAAAGCGTCTATCACCTGTCAGGGGCATTTGCATGAAATCAATAATGGCCGCCCATCTATCTTTTCTGATCACCTTTCATCAGGCCGATTCATTAAGTCAAACAGTCATGGTGATTAGCTGGGGGAGAGGAGAAACCTGACACGTTAGAAATGCAGTGGGCCGCCTTTTTTGTTCCCTGTTCAGGAAAGGTAATACTTTATCTAATCCTTTTTGGACCAAGTCGCTTGGTGAGGCTGGGCGACTGCGCACGCGCCCCGCGGCCCGAACTATGCTTTTGCCTGACACTCTGGCCTGGGCCTAGGCAGAGACATGACAAATTGTCCCCCAAGTCAACGCTGACAGCTTCTGATGATTAATGGTCTGATTATGAAGTGGTTTTACACATATAGAATTTACATCACAGAGAGTTAGAAATTTTGCCATGTCACATACGCCGAGGCATTTTGAAGAGCTTTACTATTTGCAAAGAAAAAAGAGGGCAAAATCCCAGCAAAAGCCATGTCATGTAAAATCAATACATCGGATCAATGCTTTATTAACAAGAAAATGTCTTACTTCACATTCCTGTGCGGACCTTTATCTCCGGGATGTATGATGGAATGTCAAATCATATTGTGGTCCTCAACTTTCGGGCGCATTATTGAGTGTACGTGCGAGGCTTCCTGCGTTGCTTACAAGATGCGCCGACGCCCAAGCACTCGAGAACGGTGACCAATTATTTTGGAGAGCACTTGCAAAGGCGGCCCCCTAGCCGTCCTCTCCGGAAGCCGCAGTCTTTGTGTCCGCCCCCGCACCTTGCACACCTGCTGAGGTGGGGCGTGTTAATCATCAAATTACTAATGAGTGATGGCCCAAATTGCAGGCAGAGTAATGAATAGATGGTGGCAGGTCTTATTAGTCTCCGAAAAACCTCTGATTTATGTTGTGCCACGCACCGTGGAGTGACTCCACGGAAAACGCCATCTACATCAAGAAGTAATGTACTCCAATAAGTATTTTCATCTTAACTCGTGTCCCCGGGCCTCCAGGCTCAGTTTTTGTTGGAGTCAGGCAGAGCCATAATAAAGCCCGATGGCTCCTTATAAAGCTTGTTAAACACAGTGTGTGCAGTCGGACGGAGTCCCGGCCGTGATTCATGCACTGTACACAGCGCATGTGCCGCTGATTTATGGCCGCGCACAGTTCATAGTCAAAATTACAATTTGAGGGATAAAAAGATTAATTACTGTTTGTGGCCAGCAATTTCGTGAGGCTGGTGGATTGCAGCTGTAGAATGATAGTGCCCTACATCAGTTTGTAGGCAGCCATTCACAGATTATTAAAGCTTTGCAAGAATAAGTGCTCCTCCTGCCTGGTTTGTGCTCAGGCAATATGCTAGACAAAAAAGGACCACAGGGATAAATCTGAGGCTAGCAATAGCTGGACATATGTCATAATTGCCAGTTTCCCATAAATCCCTGGCCAGTGTGGAAGGCACCGTGTGATGCAGACATCACATCGTGATGGTGGTGATTGCTACATATGGCCCCAAGACCTGTAACTTTGTGACTGCACTACCATTTTTACAATATATTGAGTCACCCTTTGACTTTCTTCCAGTCTAATTATAGATCAGAAATAATCGTTGCTTTTATGTGCAAAAGAAAGGGGGAAAATCTATTCCTTAAGACACAGCTAGTATTCAGGGGTGCTTGCCTTAGAGAGCATCAGAGCAGGAGAACTACACATTTATTTGTAAGTGTGCAATAAACGAGTAATGGATGACATAAAAGTAATTAACCTGATCTACATTTCTGTGTCCTGTTGCAGCCCTTAATGAACCAACCATAGATTACGGCTTTCAGAGGTTGCAGAAAGTGATCCCAAGACATCCGGGTGATCCCGAAAGGTTACCCAAGGTTAGTAAAAGAGCAAGTGGCACCCCGCTCATGGTGGGGCCGCCACTGGGCTGGTTCTGGTTTGGGGGCAGCAGGTGCTCTGGGAAGGGGGGATTGCAGATTCCCCAAACTCTGTGCCCACCACAGGGCCGACAGGTGTGAGGAGCTGCCCGGGCCCGCACCTGACCAGCTTCAGAGGTGGGCGAAGGGTGAGAGAAGGCGTAGACGGCTCGAGTTTTACATCTCATCTCCAAAGGACCATCTTTTTAAGGGAAGCAAAGAACAGCTTTTCTGATAACAAATATTTTGGATTCTGTGAGGGGGACATAAACTTCCGCGTAATGAAATAGTTCAATTAAACATTTTCCACTCCAGTGGCCTGCTCTGATTTCCATCTAAGCAGCCCCAGTCTGATCTGTGATTACTTGACTCTTGTTTTCCTTTCATTTTCTAAAGCTCGATTCAGTTTAATCTTTTGTTTACAAAGCTTTTGTTATAAGTCCCTGACTTAGCAGGCTAACAAATGAAGTCCACATATTAATATCTAGAGGGACTTTCCATTTAAATTCAACAAAGACAAAAGCTGCCCGCGTTGTTTATGCACACGCCACATATCACAGAAATTCCATTTTGATGTATAACATTAAAGACAAGTCAAGCTTATAATTTTTCCTTTCCTTTGATATAATTTTGTCTCTTTCTCTCTTTAGAAGCCCTATCTGATTTCCAAGGCAGAGTTGAAAATGCAAAATGAAAAATGAAGTCATAACATTATGGCTGATTGTTTTACATTCCATCCCTGTGTGTACCAAGTCTTGACCACCTCTGAGTTTTATTAACACAATAAAACCTTTTAGACATTACCTTTTTAATGCTCAGCATGAACATAGGCGATGTCATTAGGCTGCTTTTTAATTTGTGAACATGCTAGCAACGGATGTCAGATATTCACTGTTAGGATCATCAGGGCTGGGGAAGATGTTTTTCAAATGCAGAGCAGTTCACGGAGGGGTTTTTGTTCCTGAGGGTGAGCCCAGGCAGAACGAGTGTTTCCCCGGGAAGAATCGAGGCCTGCAACATCCTTACCCAGAGGGCTTTGCTGCCAGCCTCCATCTAGGGCTGGCTTTGTGTGCAGGATTAGTGACTGGGTCCCGCCATCCCATAGACAGACCACATGCCTTGGCAGGCCCATGGAAGCACTGGGTTTGAGGCTGGGTGGCCCTCAGGGAAGACACCCCAGCAGCTGCGCTCTCGGGGGGTTCCCTGGTCACCTTCCCACTCCCCTCAGGTCCCTGCAGAACCCCACAGCACAGTCCTCCCCGCTGGCAGCTGGTGTTGGCGCCACAGGTGACCGCGTGCCTGCCAGGGCCCTCATTGGTGAGCACCCAGCCTCCTCCAAGCCACCTTCTTTCCCTGAGCCCCCAGGGCGGCTGGGGGCCTGGATGGGACCCCTGGGAAGCCTACCAGCCCTCCAGGGAAGGGCTTCTGCCTCCCCGGGGGACAGAAGACTTTCTCAGTTATGGGCATTTTTTCCCATAAGCCCTCCAGCAGGGTGACAGATCAGTTAGCCCACAGCCCACTGCCCCATATTACTTAGCTCTTTTAATTCAGGTGAAAACGTATTGTTCAGGCTTCACATAAAACGATCACTGAACGAGATGAAATCTAGCAGTTTCAATAAACAACATAAATATTTGATTTTGTTCTAATGGACCCAAATGTGGAGTTCAGCGGCATGTAAATTAAACTGCCAAGCGATTCATCATGGTTAAGCCAGCCATCTGAGGCTGCTTTACAAGGGTCAGAGTGGGTCCTAAGTAAAACAGCAATTGGCCTTAACATACATTTTGAATGAAAAAAGAAATGGAATAAAGAAAATCAGCCGTAAGTGTCACAAGCAGAGAGACAGAGAAAAAAGAATAGAAATGAGAGATGAGATTCCGCAGATGTAAAGCGTGTGTCTCAATAAGGCTTTGCCGAGGAGTGCTGCCCCCTCCTCGGCGTCACCCCGCAGTTGATAATATTACCACAATATTGATTTTTGCAGCAATTTTTTTGAAGCTCCGTAATGCACGTGGTTTGATGGGTAATTGTGGGGCGACAGAAAGCCAATACATTGCACACACATTGTTTTGGATGCACGCGAATAGTGTTGCTTCTGAGAGAGGGGGGTTGGCTTGAATTGAAGTTTACCTCCTAATTTTAGGCACCATCAAAAATGACCCATTTTATCCTGTGGGAGTGGCATAAATAGGCAAATGTTTTACACACACACACACACACACACACACACACACACACACAAAGCCCAGAATGAAAATAAAGGCAATATCAAGAGGCACTCATGTGGCAAAAATAGAGATTGGAAGGGAAGACGTCTCTAAGTGATCAGAGACTAAAGAATTCTCATTCTTTTTAAGCCTTATTTGAAACAATATAATCAAGGCTAAGACATGTTATAGTAAAAAAAAAAAAAAAATGAAAGCAGAAAAAACAAATTACATTTTATGCATGGAATTGTGCTCTAACAAATTATATTTATTATAAGGTGCATAGTCATAAAATGATTTTACCATAAAATTAATTGCATGCATTTCATCTGAGTTTTTTTTCTGTTTCATGCATCATACACAAATATATTCTGTTCTTTTTTTCTAATATACAAAAATTTATTAGGAATGCGGTCATGTTGAGCAATTACCCATGCATTAAAATTCATCTTCTTTTCCCCGCTTTTTGAAGTAGCTACATCTAATGGCTCTGCACTCTTCAATGTATTCATAACCCCAGGCAAGAACTAACAGAATAATTGCTTTACAGTTTTATAATGACATTAGCACCTGAAGCAACGTCACCTTGGTTACCTCTTTTAACTGTGATGATATATACCATTCTAGATCATCGGGCATGTGAATAATCATGTATATTCAAATCGCTGTCGACCACTGTACAAGAATGAATACTCATAATAATAAAACTGTACATTTGTCATGAAACAACGGCAGAAATCATTTGAGCTTTAATAGTTTCCATTTAACTTGAAGTCTGTTATGTCCTATTGAAAGGCAGCCAATTACACTTATGGTTGTGGCTAAGAAATTTCCATCGAAATGCTTTTCAAACACCATTCGGTGCTAATGTATTCACAGCATGAGGCAGTATGCATAAGCTCGGCATATTGTAACAAAACAAACTTGTTCAAAGCATCCTTGACTGATTGGGTTACCCGTTTTGTGTCTCTCTGATATGACAAGACCACCACTTAAGAGCAGCTCAGAAAGTCGGGTTCATTAGTTAAGACACTATCCAGTAATAGGCAGATTAGGATAAGAGCATACGTAATTTTCCTAAACTATCCTTATGTTCCAATTGCAAAGTACCATATGGACAAGTAGGTGTAGGATATTTTCTGGGAATGAAAAATAGCTTGTAAATGCAGCAATCTTAATTGCTTTAATCGTTGCTTAAAATTGAAAGGCATGTAAAAAGTCTTGCGATATGATAGGAGAGATTATGAGTAATTATTAATACCTCTGAAAAACACTTTATCTTGCTCACAGAGAGCTGCTCAGGCTAACGAAACCTGATTAAGACAGCTGGGCCTTTCATTGATTATACCTGCTTCATGACAAGTCTAATTCTTTATTTGTATGCAAACTAGATGCATGCAACATCAAGCGTCGGCACCAATTTCAGAGGTAAATGCCCATTGTCAGAGCCACCCATCCGGGAACTTTCTGGATTAAGTGCTGTTCCTGGGAACGTATGGCACGCACAAAAAGTGATGCCCGTAGTGATTAATCTTGATAAATAAAGGGTCCAGAGTCGGCATGTTGGGGGAGATGGGGAAACAATGAGGCGAGTGAGTCCTTGGAAGGCAGTCGTTGCCTTCTCAGATGTAACACAGATTTAACAGTGGAGTCATTACGGGCCTGCTTCCCACCAGCCGACTGCACTGTATTTGCATTAAGAGGTTCAGGCTGAAATCTGCTTATGTGAATCTGCAGAAATCATAAGCTGGTGTGTCTGTGAGGCACCACAGAGCTCTCTGGGAAGGCCACAGCCACAGGCCCAGGAGCGAAGGCCACCTGCCTTACTTTTTGTCCAGTCACCTTTGGGGTCTCAGGTTAACAAGAGGTGCCCAGATGTAGACACACCTCCACACCTAAAAGGTGGACCAGCAGAGCTCTCCTAGACCGCAGAGCTCTCCTAGACCGGGCCTGGGGTCCGCAGGAGGCCACTGTGCTCCAGCCACCCAGGGAATTTTTCTCTTCACCTCTGTGCTAGCACTGTCCTGGCTGAATGGAGTTGGAAAGAAACTCTCTGCCCGTCTTCCATGCTGGGGAGGGGTTTGGGCCTGGCCTCGGCTTATTAAAAAGCTCAGCTCCGTTTTATTACAGCTCAAGGTAGAGAAAGTTAAAACGTAAGCCCCCATTTGTATTTAAAATTAACTAAACTCTGGATTAATCCGCACAATCGTAAACTGGAGGTAGGCGTGCAGACGTGGATAAGACAAAACTCGGTGCATCCAAGCCCCCAGGCACAGCGCGCACACTCTCGGAATGTGAAGGCATTTATGAAGTCCTTTACAACATGCAGTCAAAGAGGTTAATTGAAAAATTTCTTAATGTCATTATGAAAGAACTAGATTAACCCAAGTTAATTCACTTTATTGTTCAAAATAAAGAGGAATAAGCACTGAACTCACTTGCAAATTTGGGGCGTGAATTAGGGGTGAGATGTTGTCTTTAAGGACTCTGCCAGTTTAATTAAGATATGGAAAATTACTTATTGTTCTTCACCACTAAAGTGCTAGGAATTAACAGGCAAATGTGGTGCCTGGGCCTTTCATATCTCCGCCATGTGTGTATTTGTTTAATACCCATAAGACTCCGTCATTAAACCTCAGGCACGGATTGGGCTCGTTCTCCGCCGGCCCTCCCGCTTGTCCGTGCACCTCTGTGAGCCCAACCGGATGGAGGAGCCACAGAAAACGCTTTTATTCAGCCTCCTTGTAAAGGCCACAAACAGTGTTGTCAGCACGCACGTGCCTTCCTGTCTGTGCCTGCCTTCGAAGTGCACGGCAGGGCCAGGACGGGTCGCTGTGGGTGGGGACTGGTCTCCACACCCGCAGACGGAACTGGTACTGAAGGGCAGTGATAACTGGCCGGTTCCTCCCATGAATCACCTCCTGTCTGCTCTTCCTTTAGGAGGTGTTACTGAAGCGGGCGGCGGACCTGGTGGAAGCCTTATACGGAATGCCTCACAACAACCAGGTAGGTGGAGGGCGGCTCCCCTCGCCCATCCTCCCCCCCATGCCAGAACCCGTGGGCAGCCGGCGTGGCTCCAGTGTGGGCTTTCTGGACATAAGCATGCTTTTCCAGCGACTCCACAGGAGTCTGATGTGAGAATGGCTTCCCATCCTTGCCCTCACGCTAGGTTCACGTAGAAATGATGAGTTGGTGTCAGGACCCAAAAGCAGAAAAAACTTGTCACAGCGGGAGTGCACAGCCTTGAAACCCATCTGCAGTGTGCAGTGGCGGGTGGACGGTGTTGGTGCCGCTGGGAACCAGGGAGGGCTGGATGGGCGCCCCACAGCATGCAGGACAGAACACAGCAAATGTTGCTCCCTTTTTTTTTTTTTTTTTTTAGACAGGGTCTTGCTCTGTCACCCAGGCTGGAGTGCAGTAGGGCAGTGTCGGTTCACTGCAACCTCCACCTCCCAGGTTCAAGCGATTCTCCTGCCTCAGGCTCCCGAGTAGCTGGGATTACAGGCGTTTGCCAACACACCCGGCTAATTTTTGTATTTTCATTAGAGATGGGATTTCGCCATGTTGGCCAGGCTGGTCTTGAACTCCTGACCTCAGATGATCCGCCTGCCTTGACCTCCCAAAATGCTGGGATTACAGGAGTGAGCCACCGTGCCCAGCCAGATATTGCACACTTTCAAAAGCGTCAGTAAATGATTTTCTAGGGGAAGCTCTTTGCCCATTAAGAAATAGATTTGGTCATGGTCTGGGCAAGGGACAGTGGGATGCCACCATGGTGGGCCCCCGAGAGTGCGGCCAGCTGGGCCGGGCCTGGGGTGACAGGCCGGCTCCCACTTGCTCCTGCTGCAGGAGATCATCTTGAAGCGAGCGGCGGACATCGCCGAGGCGCTGTACAGCGTTCCCCGCAATCACAACCAGATCCCCACCCTGGGCAACAACCCTGCACACACGGGCATGATGGGCGTCAACTCCTTCAGCAGCCAGCTAGCCGTCAACGTGTCAGAGACGTCACAAGCCAACGACCAAGGTATGCCAGCATGCTGGGAGGACCCCTGCCCTGAACGCCCTCCGAGGGTTGGTTGAGGCCTTAGCTGAAGAGGCACGTGTCCAGGGCCAGCTGGGGAATGTCCGTAGCGTTCTGTTCTCTCTGGCTCTGCTGGTTCCTTTGCTCAGGAAGACCTTGCTGCAGGTCCTCCCAGCCAGTGCTGGGGTAAGAACACTCAGAGAGCCCAGTTACTAAAAACGGCAGCTCCAATGGATGCCATGCGGGTCACTGGTATTTGCTAGAAGTTTCCCTCAATGTGTTCATAAGAGACTTTGCTTTCCTTGGAAGTCTGGGCTAAGCCATAGGATAGCCATGGCCTAGGGAGCTGAGGGGAGCCTGCTTGGACGCACTGCACGGCGGGATTTGGGTCTAAGTTTGGAACGAATCCATGGAGACAGACCCCCATTTCCCCACCCCGCACCCCATCCCACAGTGCAGTGTCCTGGGCCAGCCAAGGCCGCTGCATCTTGCCATTTGGGTCCATTTTAGTTTTCTTCATTGAAAAGCGCGCAGGCAGTGATCTTAGAAAACACCTCACCCATACTATTGCTGATTTTGTTCCCGTCCATCCACAAGCTCCCATGGCAGGAATGAAGCTTCCATGTCCCCCGAACGCCCCCATGTATAGAAATAACAACCATACAAATGAAGACCCCCAAACAGCCTTTCAGGGGAAGTTACGGCCACAAACAAGCTCTCCTTGTCAGTCATGGCATTTGAAGGTCTACAGAGGCCGAAAGTTCACAGAGCGTGGGGGGACAGACCAGGAATCCAAGCTGTTGATAATTGCCTCTAAAGAGAAACGTGAAAGCCACTGACGGCGAGATCGAAGCGCGCCCCGGCTGGCTGTTGAAGCCAGCAGAGACAGGATGGGGCTCACGGTGAGACAGTGGCAGCAGGGTTGGCGTGATAAGGTCATCCGAGCTGGCAGCAGGCGCTAGAGCAGGTGGAAAGCACAGGGTCAATTAGCAATGTTAATATATGATATAGATTCTCGGGGAACCCCCCCCAAGTGTCTGTCGCTGATAATAATGTTATTTTTGGCCGGGGGGGGGATTTCAACAGTCGGCTACAGTCGCAATACAAGCAGCGTGTCCCCGCGAGGCTACGTCCCCAGCAGTACTCCCCAGCAGTCCAATTACAACACAGTCAGCACTAGCATGAATGGATATGGAAGTGGCGCCATGGCCAGTCTAGGGGTCCCTGGCTCGCCTGGATTTCTTAATGGCTCCTCCGCTAACTCTCCCTACGGCAGTAAGTGTCTGTTTTTGTCACACGTCATCACGCAGATTCATATTCACTACCGAGTCGAGTGTGTGCATTGCTTGGATGTTCTGTGATGTGAGCTACTGGATAAAAGGAAGGGTGGCCCTGGAGGCTGGGCGTCCAAATGGCGACCGTAAATTGACCCAAAACGGGCCCGATGTGATCTCATTGGAAACCAAAACAAAATCAGAACAAAATGGGCTGCTCAATTGGAAGGGAAAGTCCAGTGCAAAAGAGCTTGCCTGTTATCCAGAGCGTGGCCGAGCCAGACGCATGTCATGTTTTGTTTTCGTGCCCCTGCCCCCCCGTCCGAGGCGAGGCCTTTGGTGCCCTCTCGCCGTGGCGCTGTGCCGCGGCCGCGCGTGCTGACCGTGTTTGCTTTGTTGCAGTAGTGCCGTCCAGCCCCACCATGGCAGCCTCTTCGGTCACCCTCCCTTCAAACTGTAGCAGCACACACGGCATTTTCTCATTCTCACCTGCCAATGTCATCTCCGCAGTGAAACAGAAGAGCGCCTTCGCGCCCGTGGTCCGGCCCCAAGCCTCTCCTCCTCCTTCCTGCACCAGCGCCAACGGGAATGGACTGCAAGGTGAGGGTGGTGCGGGGCCGTGGGCCAGTGCTGGGTCCTCTCCAGGGGTGGGGATGGGAGTGGGGGTGGGGGCTCGGCCTTTCTCCTGGCACCTCTGTGACTGCTGCATGTTCTCCCGTGGCCCACCTTGATGCGTGCCACCTCTGCCTGGTGTTCACAGCGAGGACCCCTGTGCACTGAGCCCCAGAAAGGACCAGATTCCTCCTCTTGGTTTTTGTCCAGCTCACCCTTCCGACGGCACCTAGTGTACTTACGGTGGAGCACCCTGTGCCCCTAAGGGGGTGGGACCACGTAAGAGAAGGCGGGAGTGTGGTGAAGGTAGCTGTGGTCACTGTCGGTCTGATTCAGCCAATGGGCCTTTGCCCGGGGCCTGGCACTTCTCAGCGCAGGATGCTGCCCTGCCCATAGCTCCTGGGCTTGCAGCCTGCTATGCACAAAGCAGCGAAAATAGCCCTGGCATGGGAATGGCGGGGCACCATGCTACCTGTGGAGCCCATCTCAAAATCTGCTACCCTCGTTGTCCCGAGGCTGGGCCTTGGTTCTCCACCTTATCTGCTGGGCCACACATCCAGCAGGGCTGCACTGTCTTTTGGAAAGAGGTGTGCGTCTAGACCCAGGGCCAGGTGTGTACCAACACCAGGTTGCAGTCCTGTCTGTGGACAGGAGCTGATTTTCCTACGTGATCTCTTTCAAAGAATCAGGAGGGAGAAGGGCCGGCCCCGAGGGCACAGCTGTCCACAGATGAGGCCACACGGGGTGGGCACCCTGTGCCTGCCCAGCGCCTGGCCCATCTGAGCTGTGCAGGCTGCACGTGGCCTGTGATGTGTGTGACGGGCAGAGCCACATGGGTGCCCCCAGGCCTCATGAACTTGCGAGTGGCCCTTTGTGAGGTGCTGAGGCCCGCAGGCACTTAAATTAAGTGGCCGTCATCTGGCCTCTTTCAGACACCACCTTTGGTATATGCTCCTCCCAGTGACTCAAATCCAGTTACTCCTTTAGAAACATGAACCCATTCAACCAGTATTTACTGAGCACCTACTATGTACCAGGCTCTCTGCTGGGTGCTGAGGACGTAGCCGCGGAGAAGACAAACTGGCCCTTTTGTGAAGTCGGTGGCATATTTCACTTTGATGAACTAATGCTCAAAAAAGGAACTGGAAAGGTATCAGTGATTTGAAATCATTGTCTTCACAACATCCGTTAGCGTATGAAGGGACGCCCAGGCCCCCGAAGTGCCGCCGACTGGCCTGCGTGCCATCAGCGGGCACCACACCAGGGTCGTTGCAGAGGCAGGTGGTGAGGTGCCGCGGCCCTGCCCGTGACACGGGGTCGGGCCGGCTGAAAGACGGCACCTCCTACGCGGTGTGTACGCACAGGGCTTCCAAACCGTAAAGTTGTAACGGTGAGTCGGAGATAAATTAATATTGTTGAAATTAATGAACTGAGAAATTGAAGCTCACGTCACTACATGAACAAATGTATTAATATGTTATACATAAATTAATGAGAACGATCATTCTGACAAAAATTAAACAACACCAGCGGTAAAAGATTTTAAATTACATTCGTACCAGGAGTTCATGTGAAAGCGTCAGCCCCACTTGGCGTTTTCGTGCAAAGTTTTCTCTTCTTTCCTGAGAAGAGAAAAAAGGTCCCGAGGCGGTGCCATGACTCACGTCTCTCCGTGGCCCTTGCCTGGAGGTTCCAGGGCAGGTGGGCTGTGAGTGGCTTTGATTCTGGAGAGCCCCTGACTCACCATTACGATACAGAGAGATGACCGCACGGTCAGAGCCCAGACCTGGAAGCAGAGGGGGAAACTGAGGCCAGTCTGGTTCTCACATAGGGAGCGAGAGCAGGGCCTGTGAGCCGGCCTTGACTGGCGTCACGGGAGTGACCAGGCTGGGTCACCTCTCTCGACAGAGGGGGCTCCGGGCCTCCGTTGGCTTTGCACCTGTTGGCAGTGCACCGGTCAGTGTGGGGAAGCTGCAGCCTCTGCACACAGCAGTGCCAGGAGCCCTTCCCTTTTCCAAAAGAAGCCTTTAAAGAAGCCTTTGAGGAGGGCTGCAGGAGGGGCAGGACTGGGGGTTGTTGTCCCCACGTGTGCCCCCACCTCAGGAAGCAGATTCCCCAGCACGCCCTAACCACGCCCGAGGCTGGTGGACGGAACTGTGCAAGACCAGCCTCCCAGTTGAATAGGGGGGAAGGGCAGCCCCGCCCGCGTCAGCGTTGGCGGGAGGGCGCGTGGGGGAGCCTGCAGTAACTGCTCTGTCCTTCTGTCTTGCAGCTATGTCTGGGCTGGTAGTCCCGCCAATGTGAGGGACTTCTGTTTACCTTCCGCAGCACCCAGCATCAAAGGACGGACTTCAGGGGACACGTTTAGTATATTAAGACATGCTGATGGAAACAGTATCTTCAAAAAAATCAGCAGCAATTGAAATGCTACAAAAGACTTTGTTTAAAGATTTTATTTAAACTATTAAGAATCAACATGCAAACAGCCTACTTCTTCATGAACAATTCCATTTTATTGACTGAACTTTTCTCATATTTTCACATTTCTCAGTCCTGAAGAATAAGGAAAACAAAGCGACGCCTATTTTGTATAAAGTTTCCGACTCCGTCTTGGCCATGTCTAGTAATTGCTATGTGTTGGGAGAAACTTTGTGAATGCACCATTTTGATGATCATGAAACGCTGATGAAAAATGCCTCCAAACATTTTTCTGTACTCATACTTAGATTCACAATGGTTGTGTATCTCTATAATGTGAAATATTTTTTTGTGGTGATAAAAAGAGGGCCAAGGAGGTATGAGCCATCAGACTGGAAAAAAGGATGACTATATGATGAGGAGAAACTGGGGTGGCAGGGAGGGAGGGAGGGTTTATCACTGCTTAACTTCATCTTCATGAAATGAAACTTTGTAACTTATTGTAGTTAGAAATTGTAACTTTGATATTGAATTCTCTTGCCTTCAACAAGCACACTGACAGAGAAAAAATGCTACTGTCTGTTGGTTCCAATATTCTCCCACTGCTAGAGCTTCCTGTTAAGCAAGTGTGATCTGCAACATTTTTTCAACTTTTGCTAGCACTGTATACTATTGCATTCTTAGGCTACTGTGAGGTCTATGTTTCTTGTACCAGAAATTGTCCTTTTGACTTCTAGATCCTTCTTCCCTAATGTGTTTTGTATGTGGTTATAAAATTGTAGACTTTTGTGATTTTGCCAAAGTTGTAGCTAAATATTTATACACTTGTCTTGAATTTTTTTCAGATCCACTTAAAATATTTAGAAAAACAAGTTTTATTCCTTATGTGTCTTATAAGGAATAAAATGGTCTTCATTTGACACTTACTTTCCCATGAACACTTGCAGTTGCTAAGGGACTTTATTTTGTAACATATCAATTATAAATATTGTATTTATCTTTGAAATTTTGTACATTGCTTTTCCCACCTTTTCCTTTTTCTTCTTTCTTGTCTGTATTGGTTTTTGATCACGGCCTGGTGTTGTGATACTGGGAAGAGCATTAGCCAAGAACTTGTCTCTTTGATCTGTTTCGTTAAGCTGAACCAGTGTCTTTACATTTCATTTGTACTTCAAAAAATATGCTATTGTTTAGACTTTCCATCCTTTTTTTTTTTATTTTGAGGAAAAGTCAAATTCATTGTTTATTTTTATATTATTTTTAAGTTATCTGAACAAATACTTTTGAAAAAAAAGTTTGTTGTATAGTCAAAACAAATCGGTGCCACCCGGCCGTGACAAATCCTAGTAGATTCTGTGCATGTGGAGCGGCCGCGAAGAGGTGACACCGTTTGGGGCTGTGTCCTTATTTTATTTTATTTTTTTGTAGAATGTAAAAAGTCATTTTAGATGCCACCCATTGACTTTGCCACATAGCTGAACTGTGTTTACTGGAAAAATTCAGAGGCCTAAAGTTTAAAATAAAATTTACTTCTGATGTTTTAATTAAAATGTTTGCCACATTAACTTTTCTGATGCCTTAAAAGTGAACTTCTTTAAAGAACCTTTGTGCTATTTTATCACAGGCTTACACTACAATTGTTAATAAATACTTCATTTGGAGATGTATGGTGTAAAACACACAAACACACACAAAAAAGCACAAGCCCGCTGCATGACCCGTCTCTCCTTTCTGGGACTATTTCTGCTGCGTCCTGCACCCTCCTGGGCCCACCTCCGATTCACAGAGGTTTCAGGGGGACCCAAATCACTGCTGGTTTTCAATTTTTTTTTAACAATACATTTTTGTGGTCAGTTCCAACAGCACTGTCCGTACTTTTAAAACTGGAATGACCTCCTTCAGATATCGTGCCTCTTAGTGCCAAACCCACAGTGAGACCAAAAGTGTCAGGTGTTTTTTTTTTTTTCTTTCTCCTTTGCACTAAGTGCTTTGCAGACACGGCACAGCAAACATTTTGCAAACTGCAGCAGAAATCGAATTTAAAACAAAAAGGAGGGACTTTAAAATACCTTCTTGACAAAAATCAACAATGCACAACTTACAAAGTGTTCATTCTAGGGACAAAATTAAATAAACAGAATGTCCCCAGGAGTCAGCAGGTCACAGTCTGGCTTTGTGATGGTTGACAAGGTCTAGCTACATGGGAAAGCCTGAGAAGTCACTTTGGAACTAAATTGCCTCCATTTTATTTTGTACGAGTAAGGGTTTGATCTACAAAAGAGCTCACATGGACGCACTGAGAACGCCTGCCAGCTTCCCCATGCCCTCACTTGGTTTGTGTTTTAGGTTAAGTAGTCAATGCCCACATCACTTCACTGTCTCAAGACTGAGCACTTCACTAAATGGTAGATTTTACTGTTAAAGACCCTACAATAAGATTGTTTTATC
Organism: Homo sapiens; assembly: GCF_000001405.40. Lineage (NCBI taxonomy): Eukaryota > Metazoa > Chordata > Mammalia > Primates > Hominidae > Homo > Homo sapiens. The sequence continues at coordinate 129,835,366 of NC_000010.11, read as the reverse complement.
TGTACATTTTTTCAGATATTTAACTGTATAAAAATGTTCATTTTACACAATATTTAATTAAAGTATTTCTTGTCTGTGAATTTCACTTTTGGTAATTTTCTCTGTTTTTGATTATTAAAATGACTAAACACTAACATAAAAGTTACATCAGGGGTTTCATTTGCACAGACCGGGTTCTGAAGCTGCAACTTGGCCAAGATAAAAATGTTCCACAGAGGAACTTTCCACAAAGTTATCCAGCCTCCGTCCTCTAACCTGCATAGAAAGAGAGGTTCAGCAAATTGTCACTTACGTGGTCCTGACCCCCAGAGGTGCCATCTGTATTCATGCTGCACTCTGGCTGATGTTTCTGTGTCACAGATGTTCTGTGGGCCACAGCAGCACTGGGGTGACACAATCACTGTTCCAGCACTTGTCTTTGAGAACTCAAACAATCCCAAGGCTCACTGAGGGGCTTCATAACCCACTCCCTCCAGACCTTCTGCCCCAGCCCCTCTGCTTCTGAATAGCGCACTGGGCAGGTAGAGAACAACGGCTCCGGTGACCCCAGACACATGCTTCTTTTGGTTCCATGGTTGGGTTCCACTGGGCAAGAACCAGGCTTAGAAGAGTGACACAGCAGCAAAGGCTCTGGATGGGTGTGCAGATACCAGGGCACCCAGATGCCTGCGCTGCCTACGTTCTGCAAGAGGGGCATCACGGATGCCACTGCCACCACAGTGGCACAGCAGACCCCATGCACTAGCCCCGGGCACTGCTGGCTGCAGGTCGGTAGCCAAATGCACCGACTATAATGAGATCTGCTATCAACACTGAGGTTCTAATTTACACGCCGATGTTCAGCTCCTCCGAGTTTCCCATGCTCCCATTTCACTCGGTATTTTTTCATTTTCTCCTCCATGAAAGGCTGGGTTTGCATGTTTTGGCTTGCAGCTTTATAACACATACACATAAGTGTGATCCAAATTAGTACTCACAAATGTCATCTTAATTACTTGTTCTGCTGAGCAAAACAGGAAACAATTATTCAAAACATAAAGAAACTTGTGAATACCTTTTTGTCGTGTCATTGACAATCAGGTTCTCATTTCAGCCTTAAAGAGACAGCAAAGAGAGAGGCTTATAAGGTACAAGCCTGAAGCCTGCCCACTCCCCTCCCCTGCAGGCTCCCTTCCAAGTGGCTGGAGGCTGGGGCTGGGGCTGGGACAAGCAGTGGCTGGGCAAGTCACCACCTTCCCATTCTGCGCTGGTGCCACAAGTACCCAACGCCCTGTAACCCGGGGATGGAGAAATTATTTTATGTTTGTGTTTCAAATCAGAAGCAAGAACTGCCTTCTTTCAAAATGCATGCCAATTATTGTCAGGCCGCCTTTTAAGGTCTTTCAAGCTTTTAAAGATTATTCAAAGCACTTGAAATGGGCTTCAATCTAATGCCTCATTTCATTGCATTAAACAGCCTAGTTAATAAAGAATCAATATATTCAAAGGGCAAGGTTATCTTTTGTCTATAAGGGGTGGTGTCATTCTGAACCTTTTATAGTTCAAATGCTGAAAAAGACCTCATGAAATCCATACTCATCAAGTGGGTCAACGCAAGCAGTAAAGAGGCCCCTGAAAGGGAAGAAAGGCTGCTCTCCTCTAAAACAACCCACGCCTTATCTCGCTTGCTCGGAGCGCCCAAAGAAGTCCTCAGAAATGTCAATTTCTCATCAAGACAAGAGGCCACAATGATCATTTTATCCAGAGAATACATACAATTAAGAGAATGCAGAGAGGCGGCGGCGGCAGTGATTTGTGGCTTACTCCGGCCCCACGAGCTGCGATCTCCCTCCCAGCAGATAAAAACAGTTGTTGATAACTGAAGTGTCAATATGCCGAAGAGTGATTTTTGAATGTGAGTCCTTGTGCTTTGAGCTCGCTGGGCCGATCCCAGGCCCTGATAACGGCGCAGCTGCCAACGGACACCACAGGTTGGCCCTCACAATTAATGCCATGAATAAATCACACAAAAGAGTTGGGATGCTTTATACTCAGTGAGACAATCCCCCGTTTTACCCTTCAAGGATTCCTTTTATGTTGGAATAAGGTTGCTTTTAATGAAATTTAAACTCATCAGAGGAAATCAAAAACCTCCAATCAGATTACAAATTGATTTTTTGGTCATTTGTCATGTCCCAGTGTAGAGTCGCAGATTTCACAGGGAGCGAGTTGCCATCGTGGCGGGGCTGGGAGTGAGAGTGGACGCAGCTCCCGCTCCCATCCCTGGCCTAGGGACAACCCGTGGCCGGGCTCCTTGGCAAGCAGAGGCAGCCCTGGTGACTCCGCCTGCCCCACTGAGTGCAGCCAACTGAACCTGTGACAATAACAGGTGCAATCATGGTGAATCCAGTGGCAGCTTTATAACCTGGGATGTCGTCCTTGGCAAAATTCACAGTGACTTCTAGGTCTGCACTCACAGATCCACGGATGGCCACAGAGACATGTTCTCTGGGGAGTGCCGTCAGTTTCGGTGAGTCCCCACCCCCGTGCCACCCCACCCCAGTTGGCTCTATACCACCCCACAGACAGCTGCACACAGGATACAGAAGCATGTGGGCCTCCCAGTCCGCATGTGCCAAGACCTTGAGATCTGGGCAGAGAGAATCTTGGCTAACTCCCATCCAGCATCCAGTGGAAGCCCCAGTGCTCTCCTCTGCAGAGCCTGCCCTGCCCCCCAGGCCACTCCAGGGTGGTGTCCCCCTGGAGAAGACTCGAAAGCATCTGAGGCCACCAGCCCCCAGCCTCCCAGTGGGTCTCCTGAGTGCCCTGGATGAACCTGCACCTTTCTCACCCCTGCATGGGGGCACCCAGTCAAGGCTGAGGGGGGAAGCTGAGGTCCTACTGAGTTTCTGGTACTTAGTGGGAATCTAGGAGGGCATTTTGTCCCTCCTGGAAAGACTGGGGCCAGGGACAAAGTGAGGGCAGGCACTACTTCAGGAGGAGGTGAACACTGTTTCTGATTCAAGATTCCTCAGAGACCATCTCTTAAATATAGTCTCCAAAGTGAGTCAAATATTCCACACATCTAACAGCAATACTCACCTTTGCCGCCCCTGATGATCTGCGGAGCACTTTATCCACATCGTCTCTTTTGTCCTCCCGCAAAGCTCTGTGCTGGAGCTGACTCCCCACTTCCAGGTGGTGAAACTGCAGTTCAGAAAGTTTAGAGGATGGGCCAGGGTCACCAGGCTGAAAGGACCAGGATCCGATGCCAGGGGACGTCTCCAATCTTCGAACCCTACCCTCTCTCCACTGATTTAGGTTTCAGGTATCTTCAGTAAGAAAGACTGGCCAGGCGCGGTGGCTCACGCCTGTAATCCCAGCACTTTGGGAGGCCGAGACAGGTGGATCACTTGAGGTCAGGAGTTCAAGACCATCCTGGACAACATGGTGAAACCCTGTATCTACTAAAAGTACAAAAAAATTAGCCAGGCGTGGTGGTGGGCACCTGTAATCCCAGCTACTTGGGAGGCTGAGGCAGGAGAATGGCTTGAACCCGGGAGGCGGAGGTTGCACCGAGCTGAGATTGTGCCACTGCACTCCAGCCTGGGCACCAAGAGTGAGAGTCTGTCTCAAAAAAAAAAAAAAAAAGGGAGAGAGAGGGAGAGAGAGAGAGAGAGAGAAGGAGGGGTATCTAAATGGAAGCAAGGAAAGAAGTCACACTTCCCTGATAAGATCCTAACCAAGCCACCCACACGGTTTGGAGGGCCTGACTCAGCCGAGGCCACCTGTGCAGGCCACAAGTGGAAACTAGCTTGCCCGGTGCAGCTCAGATGGGAGTCAGCGGGCCTTGCCTCAGAATATAACCAATGTCACACATCCATGCTCCCAAAACTGGAAGCAGAAGACCATGTCTCCCAGGGCCTTTGAAGCCACCAGGACACCTCGGAACCGCTGGCTCCCTGTGCTTTCCGTGGGTTTCCTGGGGTCCACATGGGGTCCACACATGCGGCTGGTGAGCCAGTGTGGGAAGGGTACACTGAGCCCATCCTATGGTGCAGGAGTGGGAGGGAGGTGCGGGAGTGGGAGGGAGGTGCGGGAGTGGGAGGCAGGTGCGGGAGTGGGAGGGAGGTGCAGGCTAGGACTGAGGCAGCCAGAGGGGCTGGGCTGCAAGGGGTTACACCTACAGCTGGCACCCAGCAAGGGCTCAATAAAAGTTAGCTTCTGTGACTGCCAACAAGGTAATAATGGGCTAAGGATGGAATGAAGAAGAGGAAAATAAGAGCAATCATGATTTGGAGGGTAGACTTGCAATGAATAACAACAATATCAAAGGTGTTGGCTAAAAAAGACACAAAGGGTCAGAAGGGGACCCAGGTATCTCTCACCAAGCTGCCCCATCAGACCACCCCCTCTCCCAACACTCCACATTGATGGTGGGCCATGGACAATGAGGGTGTTGGTACAGCTTGCTCAGCCATCACAGGGTTCATTAGCTAAGCCAAATATAGAACTTGTTTTTCCACCTATAAGGGACCAGATTCTTCACTGCCTGTGCTACTGTTGTGGGGCTGGCAGAACACAGGGCTGATGCAGGGAAGGCGCCATCAGGAGAGAGAGAAAAGATGCCTGTAACAATCTCAACAAAGGGTTTATATTCTTAATATACAATGAGCTTTTGCAAATCAATAACACTCAATGAACACCCTAAAGAAAAAAGAGGCAAATTTACAGTCCATTCACAAGGGAACAATAAAAGTGATCAATAAGCTTGGGAAATTATATTCAACCTCATTTAAAAATACATATCAAATTAAAATAATGAGATGAATTTTTTTAACCTATTAAATTAGAAAAGATTTTTCTTAAAAGCTAATACACAATGCTGTTGATGGAGGAAGGGTATTCTTACAGTTGTCGGTAGAAGAGTAAATTGGTACAAGCCTTCTGGAAATCAGTCTAACATATCAAGAGACTAAAAATATTCATATCCTTTTTACTAATTCCACTCCAAGGAATCAATCTGAAAGAAATAATCAGATATTAGACAAGACTTTTAAGTCCAAAATTGTTAGCTATGGCAATATTTATCAAAAAACTGGAAAGAACCCAAATGGCTCAAAATAGGAATTGGTCATTAAATTATGATATAGCCATTGTAATGGAATATTATATATTCTATTAAACCATAAAGATTGTTTTTGAAGTATATCTAATAAAATCGTCAACCTCAAATGACATAAAATTAGGTAAAACAAGCATATATATATATAATACTGTTTATGTAGAACGTAATTTCAATTTGTAAATTTCTATGTAGAGGGAAAATAAATAATATATAAAAATATACATATATTTAGAAAAAATACTAGTCAGAGTTACAGCAAAATTAACAGTAGGTATATCTGGGAGGTGAAAACTTACACATTACATTAATATTTTCCAAGTTTTCTTGTGAATAGGCAGGATTATGTGTTGGAGAACACTGCTCACTGTATCACTGTCTCACCACCCTGCCCTCCTACTACAGTGAACAAGGTAGCCGGGACAACTAACTCAGAGCCATCAGATTGGCCTAGAACACTGAGGCCTGATGGGATGGGCGTTGGTGCATGGCTACGGAATCTGAGCTGGGGCTTACATAGTGCTAAGACAGCAGACACCAGACTGGCAAGTGGGCAGGAAAGAGTAGAGGTGCACAGAGGTGTGGAGATCTGGATTTCATGGTCCAAAGGGGAGAGATCCCAAGGGAGGAGTTCCCATGAAGCCCCACTGAATTCCTTGCTCTGGCTTTCCCAGCATGCCTCTGGGGCCTGATACTATCTTCACTTTTATCTGAACTTCCTGGAGGAAGTTTCTGCTGCCTGCAACCAAACAGTTACTGACCAAGCAAATTAGGGGAAAAAAATATATTAAAATTAGCATTATAAGAGAACCAAAAATAACTTACAAGGTATGAGGTTTAATAAATACATTTAGCAAGATTAATGCATACAAGGTCAATATACAACTGTATTTCTATGACAATAACAGTATTTTTATAACAGGAATTTTAAAAATGCCATTTAAAAATTTTCAATGCCATTTACAATAGCATTAAAAACAGCAAATACTTAGAAAGCTACCAAAGTTATGCAAGATGTCTGCACAGGAAACCACAAAACTGTACTGAGAGAAAATTTTAAAATCTTAATAAATGAAGGAATATTCCATATTCATGGATTGGAAAATTACCTGTTGGGATGATGTCAACTCTTCCTCCCTAAACTGACCTATAGATTTAGTACAATCTCAAATTCCACTAGGTGCTTTTCTTAAAATTGATAAGCTGATCCTAAAATTTACTTGGAACTGTAAATGATCCAGAGCCAAGGCAATTCTGACAGAGACAGAGGCTGGAGGATTTGAACCACCCAAACCAAGACATCTTATGAGGCTGTAATAACTAAGACACTTTGGTATTAGAACAAGAACAGACAAATAACCTAATGGCACAGACCAGAAACAGACCTCCTATTCATGGTCACCTGATTGACGACAAAGGTGGCACTGAAATGCAGTGGCAGAGAGTGGCCTTTCCAATAAGTGGTGCTGAGGGTAGTAGAAACACACATGATAAAGACTGGATTATGCCCTTCTCACACACGTGAAAGGACAAACTCAGACGATTGGGCACCCTAAGATATGATGATTCCCCAGCTCTGAAGAGGAAAGGAATAGTGTGTAGAGACAAAGTGAACAGCTGATCTTAAACCAAGGTTAAGGGAACACCCAAGATCTAGCAATGAGCTGGAGCTATGAGCACCCAGTTGCCTTGGCAGGCTTGCAGGAGGGAGGACCTTTAAAGGGAAGGACAAAACCCAGCCCAGTTCCCCTCCAGCTGACTCCCTAGGCTTATTCACCTAGGGCTGCATCAATGCCTTGGACATGATGGAGACCCAGAACTTTGTGGCAGCTCTCACAGAGGAGTTGGTAAGAGTAGGCAACCTCAAAAGATAGCTGTTCTGAAACACCTTCAAAGAGCCCTATGGTTTTATTGTTAAAATAAAGATCTACATCAACAAAAAAATCCCATGTTCATGGATTCAAAGACAATATTGTTAAGATAACAACCAAAATTGATCTACAGATTCAGCGCAATCCCTATTATAATCACAGCTGGCTTCTTTATAGAAACGAATAAGCTCATCCTAAAATTCGTATTATATGGCACCAGACATGGAATAACCAAAAAACACTCTTGAAAAAGAACAAAGTTAAAAGATTCCCATATTTTGATTCAAAACTGACTACAAAGCAACAGCAATTGAGACATTGTGGTACTGGCATAGGATAGACAAATCAATGAAATAAAATTGAGACTCCAGAAGTATAATTATGTATCTATGGTCAACTGAGTTTTGACAAAACTGCCAAGGTCTTTCAAGGAAAAGAATAGTCTCTTCAACAGATGGTGCTGGACAACTGGAGGGCCACAAGCAAAAGAACAAAATTATATTTGTACCTCACACCACATAAAAAATTAACTTAAAACAGATCAAGGGCCTAACTGTAAGAGTTAAAACTGTAAAAACTCTTAGAAGAAAACAGGGGGCTCTTCCTGACCTCAGGTTTGACAATGGATGTGACACAAATCTTAGATGTGATACCAAAAGCATCAGCTGCACAAGAAAAATAAATACATCGGACTTCACCACAACTAAAAACTTCTATGTTTCGAAAGACACTATTAAGAAAGTGAAAAGACAACCCAAAGAATGAGAGAAACGATTTGCAAATCACTTATCTGATAAGGGACTTGTATCTAGAATATGAGAAGAACTCTTGCAAATCAATAATATAAAGACAAATCACTCAATTTAAAAATAGGAAAATGACCTGAATAGACGTCTTCTCAAAGAAGTTATACAAATCCCTAATATCCATGTGAAAAGATGCTCAACATCATTAGTCAGTAGGTAAATGCAAGTCGAAACTACAATGAGCTACCACTTCACACCCAGTAAGATGGCTGTAATAAGGAGGTCATAATAACCAGTGCTGGTGAGGATGTGGAGAAATTAGAAACTCACACATTGCTGATGGGAATCAGAAATGGTGTTGCCACTTTCGAAAATAGTCCAACAACTTCTCAAATGGTCAAACACAGAGGTCCCATATGACCTAGTATTTCCAATCCTAGGTGTAGACACAAGATAAATGAAAAACAGAAATTCACACAAAAACTTGCACAGGAATGTTTATAGCAGTAGTATTCATAATAGCTAAAAGGTGGAAACCACTCAAATGTCCATTACGACTTTTTTTTTTTTTTTTGACAGTCTCTCACTCTATTTCCCAGGCTGGAATGTAGTGGCACAATCAAGGCTCACTGCAGCCTTGACCTCCTAGGCTCAAACGATCCTCCCACCTCAGCCTCTTAAGTACTTGGGACTACAGGCATGCACCACCACGCCTGGCTGATTTTTGTATTTTATAAAGAGATGGGGTTTTGCTATGTTTCCCAGGCTGCTCTCAAACTCCTGGTCTCAAGCAATCCTCCCTCCTCAGCCTCCTGAAATGCTGGGATTACTGGTATGAGCCATCATGCCCGGCCATGAATGGATTTTTAAAACATTGTACATCCATACAACAGAATTATTATTCAACCATAAGAGGAATGACATGCAGAAACATGCTACGACATGGATGAATCTTAAAAACATTATGCTGAATGAAGGAAGTCAATAACCAAGAAACTCATATTATATGTTTTCATTTGTGTAATGTCCAGAACAGACAAATCTATGTACACAGAAAGTAGAAGAGTAGTTGCTTAGGGCTGGGGGACATGGGGTGATGGGGGTGACAGCCAAGGGGTATGTATGGGTTTCTTCCTGATGTGATAAAAATGTTCTAAAATGGACTGTGGTAGTTGTTGCCCTGTTTCAGTGAATATGTTAGAAAACCACTGAATTGCACACTTTAAATCAGTACATTGTATGGTATGTGAATTACTTCTCGATAAGGCTGTTACAAAAAATTAAAAAGCCCTGTGGTTTTATCAGAGCATAAAAAATGAACATTATCTTTCATGAAGAATCACTCTTAAGCGTTTTGATGTTCTGGGGAAACCATGTTTCCTGGAGCACATGGCCAGGACTCATGCTGCAGGCTGGCTGGCACATGGGATCCCCGGGCCCTCCTGAGTCTTTGTCCTCAGCTGGCCAAGACCCCACCACCACCTGCTCCCCAGGAGGGGCTGCTTGGTGTCCACACACCTTGGAGTGGGAAGGTGGTCTTGTAGGCCCCTATTGACCCCTTATCTCCAGACCACCAAAGTGGAGATCATGGCTCCCAATTCTTGCCTGGGGTGAGACCAAGGCAGGTCCACACTCTCCACAAGGTCCCGGCCCCACATGGCACCAGATGGGATAGCCTGCCCCTCCCCAGGTGGGATAGCCTGCCCTGTCCCCAGGTGGGATAGTCTGCCCCCTCCCCAGGTGGGATAGCCTGCCCCCTCCCCGGCCTGGACTCTGCCAGGGCTCTCTGGAGGCCACTCTTGGTCCTCTGTGGAACACACATACACAGAGCTTCTCGAAGGTCATTTCCAAATGACATGAAGGAAAAGTAAAATCCTTCCAGATGGCTTTTTAAAAAGAAGTTTCATTATTTTCTAAACATTTCAGAATAGTCAGTTCCACTATTTTTAACACAGTTCTTTTTCTTACATTTCTTTAAAACTTGTTGTCTCTTTCAGTTGGATCTCAGGAGTCTCAGCAGATGCCACCCCTGCCACCCTGCTCTGAGCCACATCAGTGCGTCCCTGGCGGATGGTGGCAGCCTCCTAACTGGTCCCCTCACTCCTGCCCTTGCCCTGCAGCTCTATCTCTCTGTGTCTTGACACCATAACCAGAGGGGCCCTTAAAATGAAAGGAATACCACTCTTGTCATACCCCCTCCACAGACCTTCCAAGGGCCACAAGGACACTGAGGGTCAGCCACTACCCTGCCACACCTCCCTCCCTCTGCTGCTGCAGAAGCTCCTGCTTGAGGCTCTGCGCTTGCTGTTCCCTCTCCCTGGAGCTCTCTTCTGCAAAAGCACCTGCTGTGCTCCCCAACTCACGTCTCACCCCCGGCCCAGGGAGGCAGCCTTGCCTGCCTGTCTAAAACTAACCCCCACCCCAAACACCACACATATACCTTCCCCTCTCCCTTTCATTTTATTTTTCTCCTTAGCACTTACACCATTTAATGAAATTCAGGTTTGACTTAATTAACTTCTGCACTGTCTCCCCATGAGAAGGGAAGCCCCGTGAGGACAGGGGCTGGTCTGCTTGGATTATTGCTGCATCCCCAGAACCCCAGCTTTTGCAAACCACATTTTCACAGAAACAGTGTTCCTTACTGTGTCTTCAACCAAGGCAAGGGTTCTTAACCTAGGGTCCATAAACTTGAATGAAAAACAAAAATTTAACTTTATTTTCACTAACGGCTATAAAATTCAGCATTTCCTTATGAGTATAGGCAAGAAGCCACAGTCATTTTAGCAGTATCAGATTGTTTATGGTTATCGTGACTTGGAGATTCTGGTAATAATTAGCTCAACTGTTCCTGGATTTTGTTTAATGCATGAATAATGAAGAAGCACATATACAATGATATCTCAAATTTTATTTGTAATGTTTTGCTAACTATTTAATAGAATTAATTTTTTCTGTGATTGTATGTATTTTATTTTGTGGACAATGAAAACAGTGTTCTGGGGAAGGGGTATGCAGGCTTCACTAGTCTGATTCAGGGGTCCATACACATAACAGAAGCAGGACCCTGGACCAAGGCATCTGCTTCTGTGCTCGAGGCACATGGCTCAATATCACACTACAGTGGTCCATTAATAATCCAGTTCTTTCATTATCTAGCATGGTTTTGCTCCACAGTGCACAGTTCTTGTGTTAGTTTACAATATACATTCATTAAAATTATAGAACTACATAAACAGAGCTCCAGACTTAGGCCTGACAGTCTCTGTGCAGGCCAAGTGGGTCATTCAATGCCAGCTCCATCCTGAGTATTTGTGGAGACCTTGTGGTAGGCCAGTCCTGAGCCAGAAGAAAGACAGGCATTAGGGCCAGGCGCGGTGGCTATGCCTGTAATCCCAGCACTTTGGGAGGCTGAGGCGGGTGGATCACAAGGTCAGGAGATCAAGACCATCCTGGCTAACAGGATGAAACCCCATCTCTACTAAAAAAATACAAAAAAAAAAAACAACATTAGCTGGGCTTGGCGGCAGGTGCCTGTAGTCCCTGGAGCTTGCTGTGAGCCGAGATTGCACCACTGCACTCCAGCCTGGGTAACAGAGCGAGACTCCTTCTCACCAAAAAAAAAAAAAAAAAAAAAAAAAAGGCAGGCATTAAACAGGTAATAATCCCCCCCCTTTTTTTTTACTTTCTTGTAATCCAGGCTTATTTCCCAAATAAAAGCAATGAACATGTATTTGGAGATAAAGGTTAATCCTCCTTATCCAAACTCTGCCTAAACCCCTTCAGCTTGCAGGCAGATGCACTATTACCAATGGGCTGTCAGTCTTTCTGGACCTTGTTTGAAGGACATTAAAAACAAACAGACATCTACATATAGTTGTAACACCATGAGACAATAATTTTTATATTATTCTCATCATCCTTCCCCCATTAGCACTTACACCGTTTAATGAAGTTCCCTGTCAGTACATGTAGATCCACCCCATCCTTTTTTGTGGCTGCAGAATAATCCATTGTACATATGAAACCACATTTATGGAACCAGTCCTCTGTTGAAAATTTTATATTCTTTGCTATTATTAAAAAGTGCTATGGTAACAAATAAGTAGAAAATGAAAAATTTTAAAGCTACCATTAAAAAAGATACCCCCACAGGATGGGCGTGGTGGCTCACGCCTGTAATCCCAGCACTTTGGGAAGCCGACATGGGCGGATCACAAGGTCAGGAGATCGAGACCATCCTGGCTAACACGGTGAAACCCTGTCTCTACTAAAAATACAAAAAACTAGCCAGGAGTGGTGGCAGGTGTCTGTAGTCTCAGCCACTCAGGAGACTGAGGCAGGAGAATGGCATGAACCTGGGAGGGGGAGCTTGCAGTGGGCCAAGATTGCCCTACTGCACTCCAGCCTGGGTGACAAAGTGAGACTCTGTCTCAAAAAAAAAAAAAAAAAAGATACCCCCACAATGGCAGCAAAACATCAAATATCTAGAAATAAATGGAATTTATTTATTCAAAATTGGTCCAGTGAAAACCCCAAAACATAATTGAGAAAAACATTTTAACAATCTAAGTAGTTGGAGAGATATACCATGTCAATGGATTAGAAAACTCATTATTGTAATTACCTAAATTTACCCCAAATTTACCCCAATAGATTAAACACAATCTTAATAAAAATGTTAGCAGGTTTAGTTTGATGAGCTGATTCTGAAATTTACAGATACATGCAAAGGGCTAAGGATAGCAACATAATCTTCAATAAGAATAAAACTGGAAAACTTAGACCATCACCCAGCAAGGCTTATTTTAAAGCTATCCTAATTAAAACAATGTATTATTGGTGCAAAGATACCCTGAAAGTTTAGTAAAATGGGTGAGAGTCCAGAAAGAGACCCAACATATGACAAAATGAGGCTGGGTCAACAAATGGTGCTGAGTCAATCAGCTTTATCTCTTGAAAAAAATAAAACTAACCCCTACCTTACACCATATAAAAAAGCAAGTCTAGATGGATTTCTAGCTGCATGTGAAAGATAAAACAATAATGTTTTTAGAAGAAAACATGGGAGAATATCTTTGTAACCTGGTGACAGGCAAAGATACACTAAACAGAAAACAAAAAACTTTAACCATAAAATAAATTGATAGATTGGATGACATTAAAATCAAGAAATGCTGTTCTTCAAAACGATATATTAAGAAAATGAAAAGACAAGCCACAGAGTGGGGAAAGACACTTGCAAGATATATATCTGACAAAGAATTCATATCAGAATACAAAGAACTGCATATCATCAAGAAAAAGCAGACAGTCTCACAGAAAAATGGCCAAAAACCTGAACAAGAAACATAAAGAAAATCATATATCCAAATAGTAAATTCACATCTTAAAGATGTTAAACTTCATTAATCGTCAGGAAAATTAAAATTAAAAGATCAAGTGATACCACTATATCTCTGCCAGAATGACTAATCTGAGAAAGTCAAACAATATCATGTTTTTGCAAAGATTGGGTCCACTGGAAGTCTCACACATTGCTAGTGGGAATTAGTGGGAATGTAAATTGGTAGAAGCACTTGAAAAAACTCTTTTGTAGCATCTACCAAAGCTGAACATTATGACTTGGCAATCTCACTACTAGGTATACAACCAACTGAAATGAGTACATGTATTCACTAAAGTACATGCATAACAAAGTTAATGGCAGCAGTATTTTTAAAAGCCACCAACTGGAAACATGGTGAACATGGTCACGGGTAGCAAAATATCTAAATAAAATTGTGTCATATTCATACAATATGAATATTGTACAAAATAATGAGAATAAATTTGCTATCATTACATGCATTGATATGAAATGAATCTCATAAACATAATGTCAACCAAAAGAAGTCAGACACAAAAGAGAGTGCACTATATGATTTCCCTTTATATCAAGTTAAAAATAGGCAAAACTCATCAATGGTGTGAAAAGGCAGAGTTGAGCTTACCCAAGCAGGGAGATAGTGACTAGGAGGAGGTCAGAGGGAGCCTGCTGGAACTTCAGATCAGGATTCAGGTAGGTTCACCTTGTAAATTGCATGGGGCTTGATGCTTATGGTTCTTGAATGTTGCAGTACTTAGTTCCTATTTTAATAAATTTTATATTTAAAAAGTGCCACAGAGAACACCCTTGCACTTGTATATTTGTGCATTAATCAGTGTTTCTTCAGGAAAGAGCCCCTGAAGTGGGGTTTTTGGCTTGTTAAATGTATACTTTACATTTGGGTAGGTGCGGTCAAATGTTCTTATTCACCAACATGTAAGAAAATCCCTATTTCACCCCACCTTCGCCTGTACTAGATATTCATTCATTTAAAAATATTTATTGTCAAAAGGATAAATATGTCTAAGTCTGCTTATATGAGATATATAGAGTGGTCAAATTTATAGAGACAGAAAGTAGAATGAGGGCTGCCAGGGGCTGGGGAGGGGAGGATGGAGAGTTATTGTTTAAAGGGGAAGAGTTTCTGTCCCCAAGATGAACGGAGTTCTAGAGATTCATGGAGGTGATGATTACACAATAGTGTAAATGTACTTCATGCCTCTCACCCAGACACCTAAAACATGATTAAAATTATAAATGCCTGGGCATGGTGGCTCATGCCTATAATCCTAGCACTTTGGGAAACTAAGGCAGGAGGATCACTTGAGCCCAGGAGTTCAAGACCAACCTGAACAACACAGGGAGACTCTGTCTCTACAGAAAAGAAAACACTTGCTGGGCAAGGTGGTGCATGCCTGTGGGCCCAGCTACTCGGGAGGCTGAGATGGGAGGATCGCTTGAGCCTGGGAGGTTGAAGCAGCAGTGAGCTGCGACTGCAGCACTTCACTCCAGCCTGGATGACAGAGGAAGACCTTGTCTCAAAAAAGTTGTAAATGTCATGTATATTTTGGCAAAGTTAAAGAAATGAAAAACATATTTAATGAGTGCCTATTAGGTGCCAAGCACTGTTCTGGGTGTTGGGAATTTAGCCAAGAATAAAACAGACAAACATTTACTGTTCTTGTGGGACAAACATTCTAGTGAGAATACTTTCAGTCAAAATTTTTGCTAATCTGATTGGTGATAATAAAATCTTACTGTTTTAATACACATTTGCTAATTACTTACACATTTTAGCATATTCTCACACATATATGTAGCTTTTGTATTTCTTCTGTGAACTGCCTGTTGCTATCATTTGCCCATTTTTTACTGGGTTGTCTTTTGTTTGTTAATTTGCAGGAGCTCTTTGTATTTGATGGTGGTTGCCTCTTTATGTGCTGCAAATATCTTCTCTATGCCAATGACTTTGCTTTGGGATTCTCTCCCTGTGCAACGACCCCACCCCTCCCCAGCCATCTGTAAGTCAATCTTTTATGGCTTCTAGTTCTTTGTTTAGGATAATATTCTCCGTCCTAGATTAAAAAACAAAATTATCTTACACTTTATCTTAGTACTTTGATGGTTTTCATAGTTTTAGCCTATAGTTGTTTAATCTCTCTAGGGTTTAATTTTATGTTTTATACACGGAGAAATTTAATTTTATTTTTTTCCAAATGGAGAACAAATTATCCCCAAACCATATATTGAGTTGTCAGCTCATCTTTTCTACCGATTTTAAATATCTCATTATTCATTTCTAAATTCCTTTTTTCTTTTTAAATTCCCTTCTACTGACCTTTTAGAGAATTCCTGCCTAGACTCCATCTATTGTTAATTCTTATAGTTTAAAAAATATGTTAATTCCTAGAAGAGCAAACTTCCTCTAAGAATCTTAATATTTTCTCAGCTATTTCTGTTCATTTACTCTTCCATATAACTTCCTTTTTTTTTTTTTTTTGAGATGAGGGTCTTGCTCTGTTGTACAGACTGGAGTACACTGGTGTGATCATGGCTCAGTGCAACTTTGACAATCTGGGTTCAAGTGATCCTCCCACCTCGGTCTCCCAAGTAGCTGGGACAATAGGTGTGTGCCACCACCCTGGGCTCATTTTTCATTTTTTTTTGTAGAGATGGAATCTCCCCATGTTGCCCAGGCTGGGCTCAAACTGCTGGGCTCAAGCAATCCTCCCACCTTGGCCTCCCAAAGTGTTGGAACTACAGGCATAAGCCATTGCACTCAGTCTAATTTTAGAATCAGTTTGATGCTGTACAGAGTTTATAGTATGGGGGCTATTGATGAAATATGGAGTTGCCCCATTCAGGTACATATTAAGTCTCTTCATTTATTACATAACAATTTAAAAGCAATTGCAGTAGGTGCTTTGCAGGAAACCTATTCAGTCCTTTGAGAACACAGAATTGGGAAGGCCTTCCTTGGTCTAGGCCAGCAGCAGGAATGAGGGGGTTTGAGAAACTGGAAGGCTTTCTTCCAGAAATCATGTGTTGGTTTACTCTGGAAACTGATAAGGAATTAGTGAAGCAAAGTTGGGGTTGGGGGTGAGTCTTGCAAACACAGCAAGAACAGTATGTGTTAAGGTCCTGGGGCCACAGAGAAACCAACATGGCCGCAAGAGCAGAGTGATGTCAGGAGGCAGGCATGGGGCATCTCCTCTCGCAGGCCTGCAGCTGGAATTTCCTTCTGTAGTTGATAGAAAACTGTCACCCTCCAAGTCCTAATCCTGACCTTAACTGGGAGCAAGAAAGACACAGACTCACAGAGCCAGGGATTGTCTGAGTAATGAGGGTCCTTAGAGGTCACTTAAGTCCACCCATCCTCATGTGGATTGGGGGATTAGCAGAGCCAAGGTCATAGTGACCGTCAGTGTGGAAAAGTTCACTGAAGGGATCAAAAGCCAAAAGCTGGTTCTTTGAAAAGATCAACAAAATTGACAAATCTCCAGTAAGACTGATCAGGAAAGCTGAAAAGGGAACACCGCTATAGACCTGATGAACATTAAAAGGATAGTAAGAGGACATTGTAAAAATACACATGCTAAGAAGTTTGACAACACAGAAAAAAAATGAACAAATTCTTTGTAAAACACAACTTGCCAAAACAGACACATGATGAAATGGAAAATTCCAAGAATCCTGTGTCTGCTAAAAAGCAACAATAATTAAGACAATGTGATACGGGTATAAGGTTAGAGAGACAAATCACTGGAACAGAATAAGGAGTCCAGAAAAAGACTCACATATATCAAGTCATTTGATTTTTGACAAGGCACCAATGGAATTCAATGGAAAAAGAAAATATTTTCTAAAGCGACTGACACCCATATGGGAAAAAAATCCTTGACACTTATGTTGCATATATTAGTCCATTTTCACACTACTGATAAAGACATACCCAAGACTGGGAAATTTACAAAAGAAAGAGGTTTAATGGACTTACAGTTTCACGTGGCTGGGGAGGCCAATCATGGTGGAAGGTGAAAGGCATGTCTTACATGGCGGCAGACAAGAGAAGAGAGCTTGTGCAGGGAAGCTCCCATTTTTAAAACCATCAGATCTCGTGAGACTCATTCACTGTCATGAGAACAGCATGGGAAAGACCAGTCCCCATGATTCAATTATCTCCCACCAGGTCCCTCCCACAACACATGGGAATTGAAGATGTGAGAGCTGGGTGGGGACACAGCCAAAACCATATCATCTCACCATATGAAAAAATTAATTTGAGATATATAATTGGCCCAAAGAGAAAAGCTAAAACTATTCAGCTTCTGGAAAAAACCCACAGGAAACTATCTCTAAAACACATAGGAAACCATCTCTATAGACTTGGGATAGGCAAAGATTTCTTAAGCAGGACATAAAAAGCACTAACAATGAAAGAAAAAAACTGATAAACTGGACTTCATAAAAACTTAAAAATTCTCATCAAAGGACACCATAAAGTATAAAGACACACTATGGCTGGGTGTAGTGACTCACGCCCATAATCCCAGCACTTTGGGAGGCCAAGGCAGACGAATAGCTTGAGGCCAGGAGTTTGAGACCATCCTGGTCAACATGGAGAAAACCAACCTCTACAAGAAATACAAAAATTAGCAGGGTGTGATAGCACACACCTGTGGTCCCAGCTACTTGGGAGGGTGAGGCAGGAGGATTGCTTCAGCCCAGAGGTCAAGGATGCAGTAAGCCAGACTGCACCACTGCACTCTAGCCTGGGCAATAGTGAGAGACCATATCCACAATTTTTTTTTTTCTAAATTAAAAAAAAGACATGCCACAGACTAGGATAAAATGTTCACAATGTATACATTGGAAATATATAGAGAATATGTAGAGAAGACATAGATCACAAGAAAAAGATGAAGAACGTTGCAAGTGCCAGGCTGAGGCCCAGCAAGCAGCGTCTCATCATTAACGTGCCCCAGAATAAATCCCAGGAAGCCTCATCGGGCCCCTCCATCCACAGAGCTTCCTACCTGGGTAGTGCTGCTCCTTCCACTAAGCTAGATGTTTGCCTTGTTTGCTGGCTGGAAAAGAACTTGCACCTTCAGTGTTCACCTTATAGGGTGGCCTTATAGGGTGATGCTAGTTTTCTTTTCCCCAAAGTAAATACAGCATGTAAACACCCACGGAAAGAAAAGGTAACCCTTCCTTCAACACAGGAGCAGGGTGGAGAGCACGGTGGGTTTTGGCCCAAACCTAAGCTGCTCACCCATTCCCTGCTAGCCCTGTGAGCCAGGAGGAGGACCTGCCAGCCAGGGGAGGCAAACGCTCCTGTTCTTGCTTGGACCCAAGCCCACTGCTTGCCCTGCTGCCCACGCTTCTGGGAAAAATGGAGTGAATGATGGTATCCACATTCTCCTGCAGCCGAGGATATTCCAAAACCCAAGGCAAGCTGGGGCCTGTGCAGGCAGCCCTGAGTGCCTGTGGACAAAATGTCCTGGGCCTTCCGGGGCCACTGGGCTCAGGCACACAATGTTCAGTGCCCGACCCTTCCCCGGCGTTGCCTTCCAGTGGTGGCCTCACTGCCTCTGTCCAGTGCCAGTTTTTGGAAAAGCTGCTCCACCCTGACAAGTGTGGGTCCCACTTGCCCCAGGCAAAGCCAAGGCCCAGGCACCAGAATCTACTTTCTAACATCAAAGTGGCTGCTTCTGCGTGGGGCCAAGGCTGACGGTGTAGGCAGGGTGGGACTCAGGCTACAGGGTGCGGAGATGGCAGAAGCCGGGACAAGGCCATCACAATGAGTTCTTCCTGGCCAGGTGCCACCCTGGTCCTGTCCAGTGGGGCGGGGACAGCCTGAGGGAGGAGCCTCGAGGAATCCAGTGGCCCTGGTGGCCACACTGACCCAGCCTCTCCAGCCTCTCCTGGCCATGCAGTGGGTGTGGGCAGCAGGGACCAGAGTGCTCAGGACCTGCAACGCCACCACCCGGGGATGCCTGGGATCCAGGCAGGGGTGCAGTAGAACCCCCACAAGGCCAGACCTTTCTAGGCTGTGCCTGGTGCACAGAGGCCTCTCGGGGCCACAGGAGGATTCCAGCCCCCGGGGGCTCACAAGCTGCCAGGGAAGGGGCCGTCTCCTGCATGGCTGAGTCCCGTCCCGGCTGGCCCGGCAGGAGGGTGGGGATGCTGGCTGTGGTGGCTGTGGGGAGGCAGTGGTGGTGGCTGGCAGAGGACCCCACAAATGTGGCAGTGCCTATGGGAAAGGCTTGTCCTCACCACTCCACGTCAGGGAGTGGGCAGGAGCCGGGCTCTGAGCACAGCAGAGGGGGTGCCCACCCCAGAGGGGAGGGGGTGCTGGCTTCCCGGGAGATGTAGGGTGGGTGTGACCATCATTCAACACAGGGTGAGCTGGCAGCAATGCTCAGGCCTCTCCCATCAATGTGGGTGATGGGGGGAGCTTCAAAGATGCGTCGGGTCAGCCCTGCCTCCAGGGACCCCTCCATGTGGCAGGAAGATGTCTGGGGGTGCAGCGAGCCACGCTGTAGAGAGCTGCTCAGGGCCTCGGAAAGGAGAAAGACCTGCCACAACCGCCCTCTGCTCTGGGTCCCTTGGGCAACCAGGCTGTTCAGTCCCTGCAGCCCCTCCTTTCTGGCTCCTCCAAGTGACTGGTCCCAGGTCCATCCCTTCTGAAGAGCCAGGACAGCTGCCTCATGGACTGCAGAGGAATTGGGACCGGGTCAGAGTCCAGTCACCCTCAGAAGAGCAGAGAGACCTTAGGAAATGCCAGCTCAGAGACTTCTCATCTAAGATGAGGACATCACTGCCTGCCCTGGAGGGCTGCTGCCAAGAGCAAGGAGAGGCTTGTAAACTGTAAAGTGCTGTGCTCATGGGAGGTGCTGGAGGGCCCTGAGCTACCTCTCTGGGGCTACTGGGTGGCTTTAGACGATCTCCTATCGAGTTCTGATCCATGTGGGGAAATTAAGAGACAGAGAAGCAAAGAAATTTAATGAAGCATTTGTGTGAGTTTCAGAGGAATTTCGATTCCAAAGGCAGTTTTTATGGGCAGCTAAAGTGTCTCCTTGACAAAAATAAGTTTCTAACGAGGAAGTTATAGAGCAACTGATGAAGCCCAGGTACTGTAAATCATTAGCAATGGCCGGCCTCCTGCCAGGGTCGCTGGAGGAACTCAAAGATGAAGAAACAGAGATAAAGAATAAAAATAGAAAATAGATCTCAAAAAACACAAATAGTTCTCGAAAACACTGGAAAGCTGCTGATAAGATTTTTCTTCTTTATAAAAGCTCAGGGATAGTCCGAGCATTAGAGGCCACTGAATGGTACCTTTAGGAATAGCAGAGATGGGAGGGAAACCTGGTTAATGAGAGACTAAGCCACCCCTGCTGTGGCTCTGGGGCTGGCAGGTTCAGGAGGAGGCAGATCACAGAGATAAAAGGTGAGGCACTCAGAACCCTAGGAGGAACGCTGATTTCGTTTTTTAAGGCTGAGAAATAAGAAAGTAGCAGCTAAAGGCTAGCCCCTAACCAGAACTCTTTGTCTGGCAGAAGTTCATGCATTTAGACTCATCGGGGTAGGGACTGGAGCTAGGCTGTCGGGGGGGGGCCGTGGTGGGAAATAGAGGCTTTGACAATACATATGAACTATCACTCTGACATCCAGACCTGTGACTGCTATTCCCCCAAACAGCCTTTGCCAGAAGAGGCTGTCTTAGGCTGTTAGGGCTCCTATCATAAAATCCCATGGATAGGGTAGCTTGGAAACAACAGAATTGTATTTCTCACAGTTCCTAAGGCCGGGAAGTCCAAGGTCAAGGCACCAGCAGATCTACTGTCTCTCCTCTGCCTGGTTTGCAGATGGCACCTTCCTGCCAGGGTGGGAGGGCCAAGGCAGCTCTCTGAGGCCTTTCATAATAAGGGCACCGATCTCCTTCCTGAGGGCTCCACCCTCATGACCTAATCACCTCCTAAAAGGGCCCACCTCTTAATGCCATCACTTTAGGGGTTAGGGTTTCAACATATGAATTTGGGGCTGGTGAGGGGGGACACATTCAGACCATAGCAGAGGTTTTTGGGGCCTGCTTTAAAGAACAGAGAAGGCTCAACTGAAAATAAGCCATTGATTTGCACAATGTGGATCTGCTATGCCATCTAATAGTAATTTGCCTTCTCTGTAGATTGAGGTAAACTTCAGAAACAGCCCATTGGGTCTGGAAGGGCACTGGGCAAGACCATTAGGTTTTGTTCCAGGCCCTGAAGCTCCCTGTGGAACTGGCCCCTTACTATCCTGGCAACCCAGTGGCTTCAAATAACAGTTGAGGATTCAATGAGGCATCTCTGGTTTGAGCAGGAGGCCTGCAGAGTGTGGTCAGCAGTGATTGGTCACTGGGAGGAGGCTTTAACTATTACAATTTCACACAGTCCGAGACCCCGGTTTGTTGCTTTCTTTTAGCCAAACTTCAATCAATCACTTGCCTGCAAACATAGGAGCTTCCACGCTGTGCTCAGAAATGACCTCGGTGTGATGGTTTCTTCCAAGACCTGCAGAACACACAGCAAGAAGAAACCAGTGGGAAAACGAATCTGCATTAAATGAGAAGCACCTTGCACCATTTTAACACATAACTCCGTTTTGCAAACACTCTTGGTTTTTCACCATAATTCAATTGACAGTTGGAGTAACTAGAAACAGTTTTCAGGGGAAGGGCTTTTCAACATGAAACTGAAGAAATCAGTCAAGAGGTCTCTTTCCCGTGGATGCTACTGGCAGGTAACCAAAGTTGACTGGTTAGATAATAGATAATGAAACTTGTAGCCACAGAGGACTAGAAAAATTAATTGCATTTCATGAAATTGTACCACAAGTTGCCAAACTGAAGACACACTTTATGGTTCGGGTTTCTTTCTGCATTTAGTCACCGAAGTGGCGTCGCGCTTCTCAAACTGGGAGCCCGGGAAATGGCCACAGGTTCTCTTTGTGATGTTGGCCGTCTTCCTCCACCAGCGCTAAGGTGGTCTGTACATCGGGAGAGAGAAGTGGCTCCTTTTTAACCCTAACGGATTTACACAGACCATTCTCTTCATTCTCCTAAAACCCAAGCCTTAGTTATCTCGGTGCCTGGGGGACTCCGTATAGAGCTGTAAACATCACACCACACAGTGTGGCTTTATGAAAATCAGTTTCTTCCTATGAAGGCATCATTTCTTGGGATGGACAATATCAGCACTTCCAGCTCTGCCCCACACTGTCTTGGGGACAGACAAAGGGGAAGGAGCACCAGTGGGGAACCCTCCAGCGTCAGCAGAGGCGTGCACCCATCACCCAGTGTGGAGAGGCCTCAATGGGGCAGGGAGCACTGCCCAAAGCGGGGGAGCTTCACTTGCAGGGAGTGAGTGGATGATGGGCTTTGCATCATTTTGGGTTTACTCTGCCCAGAAAGCTCTGGGGGCACTTGAGGACTCACACTTAGGCAGAAGTCGATCCCGTGTTTGCTGTGATGGAGAGGAGATCCTAACCATTGCTTTTTCTCTTAGAACTTTTCTAATCAGAATGGATCTCGCTGTCAGGAGGCCAGGGGCCATCACAAGTGAGCTATAGCCAAGGCGATTTCCTGGACATGCAGACCAGGGGAGCTCGGTGCTCTCAGACTTTTTTTTTGGTCTAACAAGAATCAATATTTAAGATTATGCAATGTCCGTACCAGCCTGAAGTAGCTGCCAACCCAAGGACAAGGGTTGGATAATTTACAATGCAAGGAACCCATTCTTTTGAGAGGGGGAAGGGAAAAAAATCAAGATTTAAGCTTCTTATCCTGGGCTGAACTTTTCTCCTCCATTCTTAATGGCACTGGGCGTAAATAAACCATCCATTCTGTTTTGTATGAATGGTCTGTACTTTGCACAGATTCCGTGGAATCGACAGGCCAGTTTTAGATCCTTGACCACAGGTCTGAGCTATGACTGCCTTGGAAACAGCACTTATTTACATTTTTTTCAACGTACAGTACTGTCGTTTAGCCTGATCAAAATCTACCCTGATCTTCTTTTGCCCCAACAATCAGCAGAGAGAGCCTTTTTATTGTTGGCGACTAATGGTTCTTCTGTCCCATATTTTTAACGTGAAGATTAAATATTTATAAATGCCTCGTCAATAGCATCCCATAACCAGGTCCTCCCGAAGCCGCAGACCGTGGCCCATGCTCACTCACATGAAGTCAGAGGTCACAGGTCAAGTGAGCAGCTCGCAGCGGCTGTGGGGTGCATCTGCTGTCACCAGGATCTGGACAATTATTTAAGGGGCAGGGCTTGTTTGTCAAAAAGCCCACATCATGACCAGGAGAAGTTTCCTTTGTCTCCATAAAGCCCCTTCGAGTGAGGTGTTTACTGGAATCACAGGCTCCTGCTCCCTGCCGGTGACCTTCCTAACACTGTCCATTTTGAGGCCAGGAGGAAGCTCCCCTCTTTCCCACCCCTCAGAAGACAATATTGGTGCGACTCTTTCCAGGCCCTGGGGGACAGGGGCCATGTGGATAGGGATGGGGAGAAGGGACTGGGATGTCCAAGGTGCCTGTTCCCCCTGCTGAGGATGGGGCTTGGTTGGAAGCCAGTGGTGGATTTTAAACAGAAAGCATGCACCCTCTGTGCTCCTGGAGACCCGTGTTGGCATGGGCCTCAGGGGGTGGGACTGCAGATGGCCAGCACCGGGAGAAGGGGGCAGGGTCCAGAAGAGAGACCCTGGCACGGACCAGGGCGGTGGCAGAGTGAGAGGAGGCTCCGGTGGGGGTTCAGGGTTTAGTTGACAGACAGAGGCAGTAGAAAGGGGTTTAGCTACCCCAGGGGAGATGGATGAGAAGCCCAGGCCAGCTGCTGGAGCACAGCAGCTCTTTCATGCACACTGTTCCTGTTCCACACACCTTCGAAGGGCAGCACCGCTACCCAGGTGAGCGAGCCTTCTTAGCCTGGAAACAGACAGTCCCATGAGGGAACCCTGGGCAGCGACCTCTCAGGGCCTGGCTGGGGGAAGTGGCGAGCCAGGAGCCACTTGGCAATTTTGGGCAAGCCACACACTCGCTCTGGGGCTCCGTATGCCCTCCTGGAAGGTGCAGGCAGTGAGCCTTGCTTATTTTCCTTAGAGGGCTCTTCACAATATGAAGTGGGATGGTGGGGTCCCAGGGGCTGGAGGGTGAAGGGAGTCGACGGTGGATAAGGCCTGGGTGTGACCCACTGCTGGACACAAAGGGCTCTGGGGAAAGGACATTGGCAGGGTCTGTGCACCAAACATAACCAAACCCTATTACAAACATGGGGGGCACTTTCTGAAGACTTGAAGGAAAGAGAGCGAGGACAGAAATCTCCTGTCTCACCCTCCCACCCTGAATGCCCTCCCGTGCTGGGGCAGAGGGAAAAGGAAGCCCGTTCGCTTTCCTGGCTGTGCTGCCCGCGAGGGACTGGGGCTGCTGGCAGGCTGCACATCACCTTGACTGTGGCCCCGTCCAACCCCTGACTCCAGAAAATAGAGCCAGGGTGACACAGGAGGTGACCCAGCCAGGAGGAGTGAGACCCGCCTGGCTCAGCCCCTGCTGCTCTGTGGGCCCAGAGCTCCCTGTTCTTCTACAGTGGGGAGGCTGCCATCTGCTCTGCCCATCTCTTGGGATTACTGTGAGTTTCCATAAAATGAACAATGTCCACACAGGCACAAGCTTCGGAAACTGTCAACTGCTGTCCACGTATAACGACTACTCTGGTTTTCACATATGAACTCATGGATGCTTATTCAAGCTCCTGGGGTCAGGGGGACCACCCTCCTTCCTCAAAACAAGTCAGAAAATATCCAGAGTAAGTCTGGCATAAACTTCTAAAACCCAAAACCAGCTCTGTAATTGCAGGGCATGCTCATGATCCCTCCCCTCCCCCTGCTTCTCCCCACCATCCCCCTCATCCCCTTACCCTACCAGACTATAAACTCCTAGAAGGCAGGGCTGGTTTCTGGGGCCTCCTGACTGGGAACCCCACCAGAGAGGGAAGGAAATGAATATGCAGCCCTGGACTGTAAATCTCAATGTCTGGAAGGCACTCTTCCAAGACAGGAATGCGAGACGGCTAAAGCACCCTGGTTAATAGTGATGCATTGATAAAGTGATATTGATCATTATTGAGACTGGTCGGCCATCCATGGGGAAACACAAAACCAGCAGGGCAGCCCGGGCGAGCATGCACCTCTGTGGGCCGACCCGAGGGACAGCCGGCCCTCATAAGTGCCGCGATGATGATGAACATGTATTGATTTCTTTACTGTCTCTCCTCAGCCCCAGAGCACTTCATGCACTTATTGGAAAGTGCCTGAAACCAAATTGAAGACAGGCCCAACGAGGAGTATCAATCCAAACGTTAAGGGCATCGGAGGGCTCTGGAGCCAAGGAGGAGAGACAACAGGTCTTCAGCTTCCCCGGTTCCAAACACTTAAGGAAGTGCTGTGCCCCACTCTGTTCAATAGCTGCCTCTGCCTTGCCAGGAAGACAAAAAAGAAGAGGTTAGTGTCTACACACGGCTTCCAGGGAAGGAGCTCGAGCAGTCTGCAGATCCGCGGACATCCCTGCACACTGTGCCCCTCACTTCCCCTCCCCTGTCTTGAGTCTTGGGGCAGTTCGGCAGCCACCCGCCAAGGCCAAGGCTCTGAGTCCCCTGTGGAGGGGCTGCTTTGTGGCATGGCCACCTGCAACTCCACAGTCCTCGGGAACCCATGGGGTAGCTTGCCAGGGAGCAATGCAGGATGTCTCGGCCCCAGAAAACATAACCATTTAGTAAAACTAAAACCATTGAGTCTTATTTGGGAAGAATTTCAAACTCATAGGAACACTGCAAGAATAACAATACTGCAAACACCCATCGACCCTGCACCCAGATTTGTTACTGACACCGTTAATGTTGTCATCATGGACTTCTCCGCCTACAACTGTGTATTTTCTGAGCCACTGTTGGGGGAGATGAACGCACTGTGGCTTTTCATCCCCATACACTTTCTGAGAGGAAAGCATTAGGGACACAGCCTCAGTGCAGTCGCCAGCTCCGAGGTGTAATGCGGACACAGCACTCTCTCATTCACAGTCCTTTGTTGTCAATTAACCTAGTAATCTCCTTTCTAACATTTTTTTTTTCTTTTAGTCCAGGATTCAGTCCATCGCAGTTAATTGCCATGTCTCTTTAGTCTTCTTTTATCTGGAACGTCCTCACAACATTTTGTCCTGTCTGACATCGACATTTTTGAAGAAACACCCAAGCTTTTGTTGCAGCTTGCACACCGTGGCAGCTGGGCTGCAGGAACCTGCCTCCACCTCCCATGGACACGGGGACCAGCCCCAGCCCCAGCCCTCCAGCCACAGCCACGCCATGTCCCTAACCAGTGGGCTTTAGGGGTAAGCCTGTGGCTGCATGTTTGAAGGAGCCCCACAGTGGGCCTGGGGAACAGAGGCTGCATGTCTCTCCGGAGTGGGCTCTTTCTGGCCATGACTGTGGCTCACACACTCATGATGTAGGCAGCCCCTGCTCTGGGCGAGTAGGGTCTGTGGGGCCCAGCGACCACCAAAGCTCACACCAGAGCTCACCCACAGCTGGGAGGACCAACTCCTGCCTCAGCAGTGCCGCCAGAATCTCTGCGTGGGTGCGAGGGTGCTGGGCACTGGGCCAACCTGGCGAAGACTGGCATTCTGACTGAGGTTAAAGGCGATTTGAAGAAAGAGGAGCTGAGGGGATGAAAGAACCATCAGAAAACCCCTGTGTGTCTCATTCTGCTTTGGAGTGGGGTCCCCTGCAGAGCCCCGGGTGCTGCATGGGCCGGGCGGACTCCAGGGAAGTCCAGGCGAGTGCTGCCTCCTCGCCTGTCTCCCACCTTTGGAAACACCCAGGGCCCTGTGCTGGCAAGGTGCCCACCTCCCGAGGAGAGCAAGACCAGAAGCGCCCAGGAACACAACGAGCCAGCGGGTACTGCAGGAGTGCCGGGCTGGGGTGTGGGCCACCCCAGACACTGACACAGAACCCGGAGACGGTGGCCTTCCTGGCTGGTTCCATGAGCCCAGGTCATCTGTGGGCTGCACTGCAGCCAGGCGGATGGCCTTGAGGCCTCGGGGGCCTGGGACACTCCAAATGGCCTCGCTCCTCAGGCTCTGCAGCCCACTCTAGGACAGATCCCTTGAAAGACTGCCGATTAGGTTCTCAAGAGTTCCCTTAAGAAGAGGGAAAGGAGAAAGCAGGGAGGAGAAAGGGAGGCAGGTGCTTGGAAATGGGAGAGAGGGAGGTCAGCGGTGAGAGTGGGACAGTGGAGGCAGTGGCGGTGGGACAGCCTTGTGAGATGCCTGCTGACCCCCAGGAACGCTGGTCCAGGGCAGCTGCTCTGTGCAAGACAAGCACATGCCTTGTTCCTCAAAATGACCCTACCCTGCAGTGGCACCATGGCACAAACTCCCACAGAAAAGGCTTTGGCAGTTCCCTTGGAGAATTATATATTAGAATTTTACACCACTCCAAGCCTTGTACAGGAGAGAGGGCATCTTTTAGAAGCGATGTCCCTCGTGAACACTCTGTGTCATGGAGCCAGAGAAGGTGAAGCCATGGCTACAAAGAATAGGGACACTGAGGTTCAACCAGGACCTAGAAAGACCCATGAAATTAATCAACACCTGGTGTGGTAGACGCCTTCCTAAGTTTATCTTGAAAAGTCTTCTCATACTCCCTTTGCAGGTGACTTTGCTGTAACTGTCATGGGGACTGCGTCCCCTTCCCTTGGAGGTGTCTGCCCTGTGGCTTGCTTTGACCAACGGTAGGAACTGGCAGAAATGAAGCTGTGTGAGCTCGGGGGCCCAGCTCCAGCCAACACACCCCTGTCTCCACCCTCTTGATGCACAGCCCTGAGGCCAGAACATAAGGAAGCCTCCTGGGGGATGGAAACCATACAGGAGGGAACTGTGGGGCCCCCATCGACAGCAAGCAGCAGCTGGACAGGTGAGCCAGGCCATCCTGGACCCTCCCACCCAGCAAACCCTCGAGCTGAAGGAACCACGTGAGTAAGGAACTACCCAGCCAAGCACAGAACTGGGAGAAACAGCAAGGCATCACCGTTGAAGCACCGTGGTGGTCTGTTATGTAGTGACACATTACTGAAATGGAAGTTGGGTGCTGTTCTAACACGAACCTGAAACTTTGACCTGGTTTTCAAAGCAGGCATCAGGTGGAAGCTGGAAAGGTGCTGAGGAAGCACTGGGAGAGCCGTGAGGAGGGGACCATGGGAGGCTGGAGAAGAGCAACCTGAATGAAGCAGGGACAGAGCCACCAGCAGGACCATTGCCAGCAGTAACCTGGAAAATAGAAAATGTACCCAAATAATTTGTAAATATGGATGAAAACATTTCTTAGTAGAGTGTTGAAAGTGCCAATTAGGAAAATATATAGGAAAAGAGAGATGGGCTAAAAACCAAACCAAAACCAAAACAAACCCAAAATCCATTTAGTTTGCAAGCAGAATTCAGAGGGAACAGAAAAGTGTCAGGATTGGTTCGTTGAAAAATGGAAGTATTTCTCATTTTCGGTTTCAACAGTCAGCAAAATATCCCTAACGGAAGAAATGGCCTCAAAGAAAGGACTAATTTGAGGGTCTGCTCATGGGATCCTTTGCTGAGGCCTCAGAAAGACTGAAGGCAGTGCCTCAGGGAACCTCTCAACAAGGGGAAAGAGGCTTCCTAAGAACCCATGGAGCACTGTCTCATAGGAGCCTGACATATCCAAAGTGAAGAGGGGTCTGTCTTGAAAGGAATTACAGTTGTTCTTTTTTTGTGGGGTGGGGGTGGTGGTGCATAGAGAAGCCTCAAGCTCCAATAAGATTCATAGGAGACTCATAAAATTTTTGAGAGAAATGTATTAATAAGAGCACCACCAGCTTTCACTAAAAGGGGCTGATATCATTCAAAATTAAAAGACACTTCTGGGCCTCCAGCTTCCTATGGGCTGGAAACAGGAAAAGATGCTCATCTTCAAACATGGGCCATTTCTGATGGAAAATAAAAGATCCTTGGAGAATAGAACAAGAGAACAATGGAGAGAAAAAAGGACTAGGAAGCCCCTCCTGAGAGCATAACTGTGCCTTAATCAAGGAATATCTTCTTCCTCTAGAGTGGGGGGATCTGAATACCTGGGCCCTTCTGAAGCTTAGGATTGGTAAGAACCAGTGACCTCCATTGTGCCTCATGTTCCTCTCCTTTCAGATGGGGGTGACTGTTGTGGTCATCCTGGCCCTGTTGTGGGGTAACATGGCTTTTTAGTTCACAGATTTCTGGATCAAGAAGAATCACACCAGAAGAGCCATGTGTACATGTCCAGATGGACCTGATGTTGATCACAGCACTATGGTCTTTGAGCTAAGTGCCCTAACTGGGATAAGACTTTTAGCCATACTGGAATGGGAGAAAGAATATGGTGTATGTGGGAAGGAAATAAATAATTTGTGGCCACATTGTGGAACGTGATAAATTGTTTCATGGCCACAGATTCTTCCTTTGAAAAAGGCATGACCCTTTGCAATGAAACTCTGCCACATCTCCCATACATTTCTCAACTCTATTACATGAGGACTGGCCTTGTGACTTTGCCTTGGTCAATAACAGAATGTGGCAGAAGTCATGCTGTGTGCGTTCAGAGCCTGGGCCTCAGCTGGTCTTGGGGCTCCTGCCTTTGCCCTTTTGGATTCTTTCTTGAGACCACCATGTAAGAAAGAAGATCTAACCCACAGAAGGATGGCAGGCTACAAGAGACAGTGAAAAGGGCTAAACCTGTGAGTGGGACCAACCTGGACGGTCCAGCCCTATGGACCCTCTTGCAGAGTGGGGCCCACCCATGGGTGAACCCAGATGGAACCAGCAGAAGAGATGTCCAGTTCACCTACGGAAATGTGAGAAATAACAAATCATTGTTGCCTGAAGTGATTACATTTTGGGATAGTTGGTTATGCAGTAATAGAAAACCATAATATCTACCTGGCACTTTGGGAGGCCGAGGCAGGCAGATCACCTGAGGTCAGGAGTTCAAGACCAGCCTGGCCAATATGGTGAAACCCCGTCTCTACTAAAAATACAAGAATTAGCTGGGTGTGGTGGCATGTGCCTGTAATCCCAGCTACTTGGAAGGCTGAGGCAGGAGAATCACTTGAACCTGGTAGGTGGGAGCTGCAGCCTGGGTGATAGAGCAAAACACCATCTCAAAAAAAGAAAAAAAATAAAAAGAAAAGTATAATATCTAGCATGACTGATCCAGACCCAAACAAATAAAAAGGAAGGAAATATGAAATACTAATATCAGAATTTTTTTTAAAAGGGAGACATTTATAGATCCTAATGATATTGGGGTGAGTAAAGGGATATTGTGAACCTCATTATGCCACAAATTCAGCAAAGAGGAAATGGATAAATTCCTGGAAATACATAACTTTATAATAGACACAATATAAATAGAAAATGTGAACAGCCCCATATCTGTTGTTTAAATTGCATCTGTGATTAAAGATCTCCCCAAAAGAAAACTCCAGGCTCCAAAGGCTTCACTGGTAAATTCTACCAAATATATGAGAAATAAGTAAGACCAATTTTACACATTCTTTCAGAGAAGAGAGGAAGAGGTGACAATTCCCAATATATTTTATGAGTCCAGCATAAACCCAACATCAAAGCTGGAGAA
Organism: Homo sapiens; assembly: GCF_000001405.40. NCBI lineage: Eukaryota > Metazoa > Chordata > Mammalia > Primates > Hominidae > Homo > Homo sapiens. The sequence goes on along the minus strand of NC_000010.11, from coordinate 129,804,548 downwards.
TAATGAAAGAGCAAAAAAAATTATAGGCCAATATCATTCTTGAACAGAAACAAAAATCCTTCACAAATCAAATCCATAATGTGTAAGAAATAAAATATAATCATGATCAAATGAGTTTACTCCAGGAACTCAAGATTGTTTTAATATTTGAAAATCAATTGTAAGTCACATTAGCAGAGTAAAGAGAAAAATCATACAATCATCTCAAGAGACAAAGAAAAAGCATTCAACTCATTCATGGTGAAATTCAACTCGCTCATTTTGAAAACTCATTCATTTTGAAAACTCTCAGCAAATGAAGACTGGTAGAGAACTTCCTCAATGAACTGAAGGGCATCTATGAAAAACCTACAGCTAATATCACGCTTAATGGCAAGAGCCTGGATGATTTTCCCATAAGATGCAGAACATGGCAAGAATGTCCATTCTTTCCACTTCTACTCAACATTGACTGGAGATGGTAACCAGTGAAATAAGGCAAGAAAAAAAAAAGAAAGACATAAAGATGGGAGAGGAAAAAGTAAAACTATTATTTTTTCACAGATGACATGATCAGATATGATGAAAATCCTAAGTAATCTAAAACTATTAGGACTAGTTGGTATTTTTTTTAAGTTTATGAGCTTCATGGACATAATTAAAAATTAATTGAGTCAGTCGTGAAAGAACAGGAAAATCTAGGAAATGATCATGGATTGGAGGAGACTAAGGAGCTATGATGGCTAAATGCAATATGGTATCTTGGAATGGATCCTGGAATAGAAAACCAATGTTTGTGGAGAAACTGGTGCACTCCTAATAAAGTCTATAGTTCAGTTACCAGTGTTGAATTGTTGTTAAGTTCTTAGTTTTGACGATTCTACTATGGTTACATAAGAGGCTGATGTTATGGGGGTCAAGCTGGGTCAAGGCATATGGGAACCCTCTGTACTATCTTTGGAATTCTTTTTTTACGTCTAAAATTATGTCAGAATAAAAAGTTTAAAAACACAAAAGACAGGGGAGGCTTCTTGACTATGACAGAAGCAGAGTGATTCTGGAGGCAGCTGTGTGGCAACCACCCTGCCTCCGGGCCAGCTCTGCTGTCCACATCTGGAAGTTGTTCCTGAGAGCTCAGCCTTTTAAACTTCCTTCCAAACATCCTGAAGCTACTTAATACCCTATAATCAATCCCTTGCTGCTTAAAAGAAGTCTCTACTAAGAAAATGAAAAGCCATGGATTAGGAGAAAATATTCCTAACATGTAGAACTGACAGAGGGCTTGTTTCTTGAATATACAGAACTCCTACAACTCAATAAGGAGGTCACAGTATAAAAATGAGCAAGGTGGGGGCCGGGCACAGTGACGCACACCTGTAATCCCAGCACTTTGGGAGGCTGAGGTGGGCAGGTTGCTTGAGCTCAGGAGTTCCAGACCAGCCTGGACAACATGAAAACCCTCTCTATGAAAAAAAAGAAAAGAAAAGAAAGAGAAAAATGAGCAAGGGAGCAAACAACCACATCACCAAGATGTGCAAAAGCCAGGAAGTGCTCCACACCATCAGTCATCCAGGGAATGCACAATAAAACCACCACGAGACCACCCTTCACACCCACCAGGGCTGAAATAAAAAGGAATAGCAACCTTGAATGCTGTTGAGGATGATGGGCAACATACCTGGCTGGTGGGTGTGTAAAATGGTGCAGCCGCTTTGGAAACCCGATAGTGTCTCTAAAGGTGGATGTACAGCTGCCCAGCCATCGCCTCCCATGCATGCACCTGGGAGACAAAATGCCTGTCCACAAAGAGGCCTGAGAAAGAATGTCTACAGCAACTTGATTTATAAAAGCCAAGAGCCGGAAACAACTCAACGTCCATCAACAAAAGAATGAATGAAGAAACTGTGGCATGCTCTTAAAATGGAATATTAATCAGCCATCAAAAATGTTTGGACTTTTGAAACAGACAACAAGGCTGAATCTCAAAGCATTCTGTTGGACGAGGGAACCTGACTCAGGACAGTATACGGTGGGATTCCAGTTAGCTGCAGTTCAAACATGGCACCATCTGTCTCCAGCACTTTTTCATCTTCCTGATCTGAAATGCTGTCCTCATTATACCCTAGCTTCCTGCTTCCTTCTCCAGCAGCCCCTGGCAACCACTATTCTACTGTGTGTCTCCATGAATCTGACAATCCTATGTGTCGAATGTAAGGACAACCACACGTTCTGTGTTCTTTTCTGTCTGGCTGATACCACTGAGCCTAGCGTCTTCAAGGTTCATCCGTGTTGTAGCATGTGTGTGCATTTCCTTCATCTGTAAGGGTGAATATTCCATTGTGTGGATGTGCCACACTGTTTATCTATTCATCTATCCAAGGACATTTTGTGTTGTCTCCTTCTCTTAGCTGTTGTGAATGATGCTACTATGAACATGGGTGTGCAAATACCTGTTCGAGAAAAGGTCTCTACCTTGACTGGGGTGTTGGTTACACAGGGGTATACACCTCGAACTCACTAAATGCTACACAGAAAACCTTCATGTCCTGAGATCACCCCTATTCCCCTCGTGCACACCAGGGCAGGCTTCATGGCCATCTTCCATTCCTCTGTGCCACCTCCCCCTACCCCCGCTGGCCCCACCCTTGGGGACCTGGGAGGAGAGCCCCCTTCTGCCTCCCCTCCAGCCTTGGGGCAGACCTTGGTCGGGGGTCTCCTGACCCCTGCTTGAGCTGTTACTTAATTCAACTCCACACCCAGCTTGGCCTGGGAGACATGTTCCCAGTGGGAATGGGCACACGGACTCTGGCTGAACCCCTAGAAGCCACCTGTCTGGCTCATCCTCCCTCTGACCCACCTGGAGTGGCCCAGGGGCAGGACCAGGCCCCTGTGCCTTCGGGGAAGTGTCCTGTGTTCCCCTCGGCTTTTGGGGGCTCCTCGTGGAGCACATCAGGCTCTCCCAGCATGCTGGGGTGGCTGCATATTTATAAAAACAAATCAACAATAGAGTTGAAACGGGCTTAAGGATCTCTTGCTTTTCTGGAGGAAAGTTCAGTATCGCATTAATAAAGAGAAACAGTAGGAATCATGGCAAAAATAATAAAAAAGCAGCTCTGTTGGAAAGGAGGAGCTGAAGCCAGCAGCTCTCTAGGGAATCTATGCCTAGTCTTGAGCTAATACTTTTCTGAAATAAGTTTGATCTGCCTTAAACATAATTAAAACCGCTTACAGTTTCTGCAGAGAGGATGCAGTCGTCGAAGTTCTGAAGCTGAACTAACTTGTGTGGCCTGTCTGCTTGGGCATCAGTCTTAGCGGTGAGCTGCGTCTCACCCACGTGAGTATGAACTGAATTTTCTCTGTCCTGGTTATTGCACATGCTGGAGACCACACAAGCCCAGCGTGCTGGTATCAGCTGTTGGCAAGTCTGCTTCCCAGCTGGGCTGCAGGTCCCAGCCCCAGGGACTCCATCCAGTTGGCTTGTCTGCCCTTGTGGAGCTGAGGCAGGTGAAGAGAAGCCCGCCGTGGACAAAGCTGTCTGTCCAGTCTGCAGCTGCGGCCGCCTAAAGGCCTCCTGAGTACCACATACCCAGGCAACTCCACACCCAGGTGGGACACAGAGATCAGTGCCGCTCAGGGCAGGTTTCTGCTCCCATGGGGCTTGATAGGTGGTTTCTAAAGAGGCACGATCTGTGAAGCCTGCTTTGCTGCCTGGCATTTGGCAGTCGTGCTCAGAGCACCCCTGCAGCCTAAGTCCTCGTCTGGGTCTCTCCCCCTGCCTGCTTGAGGTTAAGGGGTCAGAGCTGCTTCCTATCCCAAGTTTCATCAGGGGGCCTCTCACATGCCCACAAACACAGGCTGGCCTTGGATGGCAGAAGCTGGCCTGTCCAAATGTCTTTCAAGCACTCTAATTTTCCTGGTGGTTCTTCATGGTTTCCCTCCATAAACTGATATTTAAGAGGGGTTATTTGATCTACAAAGCACACAATGTATCACTAGTTAATTCATTAATGACATCAAAATGATATATTTGGATAATAGATATACTAGCATTTTGTAAATGTTAAAACTTTTACATAAAATATTATTGCCAATAATATAAAAAATTACTATTGCTATAATGCCACACTGTCAGGATACCTTTGCCCTATGGAATTGTACTAATGTTAGGGTTCAATTCTGGAAATAGCATTGTATATGCAAAAATTCCAAAGGAAGGCCTGTTTAGTTAAAAATAAAAGTAAAAATGGTTCAATCTAATGCTAGATGTGTCATTACTGTAAACCCAGAGAACCTTTCTTGAGGTTACAAAAAAGACCATATGGTGCCCATTTTAAATTCACCAACTACATAAAAGAGGGAGGATATGAAACCATTTACTGAAGTCAGAAACCTGCTGAGCAGAGGCTGGGCCTGGAGCAGCCGTGGGGCTGCAGGCAGCTCTGGGGGGCATTCTCCACCAAGCCCACTGCATCGTGCAGGGCCGTGGGGGCTCCTCAAGACTGACCACATCCACATGGCTCACAGGCAGTGACTGACAATGCAAAGGGGGATAATGTGTGGCATAGCAGGTGGGGACAGCAATGAGCCTCAAACTTGATAGTCTATAACTGCTGTTGTTAACAGCATCCCTGCAGTGGTGTTCAACACAGTCAACATTTATCCCATTTTTCTTGCCTATCATCTATTTTTGGGATGGGGAACTGAAAGATATACTTACTTTAGAGCTGATTTTATTTTTTCAGCATCATCTTCTGTCCTTAAACTTTTTTTCCTTCAAATTACCTGGAAGCCCCTTGAAGCCATCTGGTGTTCATGGAATTTGCTCACATCTTACTTGCCTTCTGGAGCTGGTGACCATTGGTGACACGTGCGGCACTAGTGTTTGCCACGCCCTTTAACAAATACTGGAAAGACGTCAAGTAACAATGGTTGTAAAGAACCAGCACGTCTATCCCCAAATCATTTCCCGACACCATCTCAGTTCAGAGATTCCTTACAAAGGAAGCAGACGCAATGCTGCCCTTCACCAACCGAGGGACACCCCAAGGACAAAAGCCCAAAGATACTGACCACACAGGAAGCTGACTTTGAAAATTAAATACTTTTGGCAAAACGCATTTTTTCAAGTTTTTAACTTAAAGTGAGATCTGATTAAAATGTTTTATGTTGCATTATTTCCTTTTTTATGTGCTAAATTAAAAAGCAATCTTTTACCATGGAGGATTGCCAGCATATAGAAAATAAACAGAATAGTATAATGAGCCTCAGACACTTTTAATCCGGCTTCCACACCATCAACATTTTGCCAACCCTGCTTCATTTATGCTTCCTGCCCCCATTACTACTTCTTTCAAAATGTTTACATGCTTTGAAATGCACAAATCTTAATTGTATATGTTTGACAAATGATACATTCATTTAACCTATATACCCATCGAGCATCAATTTTCCATCACCCCAGGAAGTTCCTTCACGATTCTTCCTAGTTCAATCCACCTCACTCCACCCTGGGCGACTAACCTTCTGAATTTTGTTTCATCATGGATCAGCTAGGCATCTTCCAGAACATCACATAAATGAAATGCGATGAAGTGAAAAGCGTTTGTACCTCTGTGTTTAGCTTCTTTCACTCAGCATAACGCCTATGAAATTCATCTATGTTGTTGCATACATACATAGCTCATTTCTTTTTAGTTGAGTAGTATTCCATCGTATGAACATAACAAGATTGTTTATCCATTCTTCTGTTGGGTGCCGTTCAGTTGTTTCTCATTTTTGGTTATTATAAATACGGTTTGCCAAGGTATTCTGAATTTGTTCTTTTCCAAGCTTGCTTCACTCCTCTCAGTTCTTCGCATTTTCAGAGGCGGCTTTTAATTTTTTTGTCAGTACCTATAAAAGCCTGCTGGGATTGTGACTGGAACTGCTTTGAAATTTTAGGTTAATTTGGGGAAGAAATGACCACTTAATAAGATTGACTTTCCAATCCATGAACATTGTTTATCTCTCCATTTGTGTTTTCTTCAACTTCTCTAAGGAAGGTTTTGTGGGTCTCAGTACAGAGGTCTTACACATCATGTATTACATCCCTTGCTAAGCATTTTGGTTTTTATGCTATTATAAACAGTGTTGCTTTAAAATTTTCTATATTTCCAGTTGTTTGTTGACAGTAAATAGAAATGCCGTTGGTTTTTGCATATTGGTATTATATCCAATGACCTGGCTAAATATACTTAGTTTTTCCCTTGTTGATTCATTCACATTTTTATGTAAACAATCAAGTCATCTGCAAATAGTAGCAGTTTTACTTTTTCCTTTCCCCAACATTATGAATTTTGGTTTACTTGTTTCATTGCGCAGCCTGGCATGTCAGGTACAATGTTAAACGGAAGTGAGGAGAGCAGGCACACTGGCTGTGCCCCCATCTCAGAGGAAAAGCACGGCAATGTTTCACCATTAAGTATACTATCTGTGGACTTTTCATAGGTGACTTTTATCAGATTAGGATAGTTCCCATTTACAGTTTGCTGAGAAATTATAATAAAGGAGTGTTGAATTTCATCAAATATTTTTTCTACATCTACTGAGATGATTGTTTTTTTCTCCTTTATTATTCTGTTAATGTGTCAAATTACATTGACTGATTTCCAGACCCTAAACAAACCTTGCATTCCTGGGATAAACCCACTTGTTCATTGCTTGATTTGATTTCCTTTGCTAATATTTTGTAAAATATTTTTTTCATTTCTGTACATAAAAATATTGACATATCTTTTTTCTCAATATCTTGGTTAGGTTTTGGTACCAGGTTTATGACATAATCTTTCAAATCTGTTTTATTCAAATGTAACTACGTGTAACTTAAATGTAGATACAGACAGAAAGGAGAAAGGGCAGTCATGTCTCAGTGTTATTAGAATGAAAATATGTTTTTGCCATTGGGAAAACTGTTCTGGTCTGATGGAAGGAAGAGAAGGATAAAGCTGAACGAGGAGGAAAGGTGGGAATGAGGAGCTCAGAGCTGACGAGGCACGGCCAGTGGTTTAGGGCTCCTCACTTCTCCATTTATGATGCCTGACCTTGAACTTCACTGTCTTCTCAAAATGTTTCTTATTAGATTTTGGTTTTCAAGTTACAATCAAAGTCATTGGGAAATAGATTAATAATTGCTTTTAAAAATTAGGTCTAGAAATCAGCTGAAATAAGCCTATCAAATACTGTCTATAAAACAGCATTTTAAAGGTGATTGGAACAAACAGAGCTACCCCATTTAGCATCGCTGCCTATCAAGGGCCTGCCATGCCTGTGCAGTGCTGGCCGTTGGCTGGCGCCTGGGGGCAGTGACCAAGGGAGACACTGCTTTGCTTCTCAGGAGCCTGGAGCCCAGCAGGAAGACAAAAGGGAGGAGGCCCTGCCCTGGCAGGACTGGGAGGGCAGGTGTGGAGGCAGAGTGGTGCTGGAGGTGAGGTACAATGCAGCCAGCTGCATGGGAGAGGTGAGCAGGAGCAGCAGGACACCGTGACGGACAGTTGAACCAACTAAGGACCCTGGCGAGCTGAAGACGGCCCGAGGGATCACCACTATCTTCTGGGCCAGATGTGCCTGCCCTTCCGACATCCCACCCTGCGGGCTTTCAAAGCTCAGGCTGTCGAATGCAGACACCACAGCAACCCACTCTGCAGTTGCTAAGGTAACCACACTCTAATATAAGTAACAGAGTGAAATTAATCAGGGCCTGTAACTTGGGTAACTTCCTCATGCACCAGCGTAGCGTCTTTCTGTGGTGACAATGTGGGCAAGCCTTGTGCTCTCGTCCAATTTTTGAGTGTGAAAAAAATCACCAGGGCAATGGCACTGAGTACGCTGAGTTTGAATTGGGGTGACCAAGTCCACGCAGGCAGGGGCCATTCATTCTGGGGATGAAGGGCACCTTTGAAGAAGGGCAGATTTTGTCATCTGCTATCGGCCTTCTGTTTCTAAATTTGATCCCATCTTAAAACTTGCAAGATAGTAGATTACGAGGCACTTCCCAGTCTGACCTAAACCCCACTGCCTGTGCTCTCTTCATAGCAGAGCCATGATGTGAAATGTTATTACGGACTTTCTTCTTCATTATCTTCTCCACTAGAATGTAAACCCCACTGGGGCAGGGACTTCATGGTTATATCCCCAGACCCCAGAACAGTGCCTGGCCCATGGCAGGCTTGCAAATGCTTGTTGGAGGAATAAATGAATCCACTGGCGTATAAAATGGCAATTGTTGAATTTTATAGATTGAGAGTCCCTTTGAAAGTATCCAGTTCAATCCCTGGATACGGCTGACAGCACGAGAGACTTGGAGTCAAAAAAAGCCGGATTCAAGCCCTTCTGATGACAAGCATCTATGGGCCTTGGTGAGTTTTATATCCCAGCCTCAGTCTCCCTGTTGTAAAGTGGATGTAACAGGCCTGGCCTCACAGGCCTCTGGAGGACTAAGCGAGAAAACACGTCAAGGTGTTACTGAGGTTCTATGCGGGTGTGACGTGGCAGTTAGGATTTTAATGTGGAGAGAAAGAATCTGTCCACAAAAACCACGTGGCAGATCTGGCCCTTGTGGTCTGTGAAGAGGGTGGCTTTTGGAGGCTCAGGAGTGTTTTTTTTTTTTTTTTTTTTGGTATTGAAACTTAAAAAGGGATTAGAATTGCATTTTTAAAAACTGTTCAATAATGGAAGTTTCAATATCAGCTTAGGGAAACAAGTTTTGGGGGTGTACCATTTAATTTACGTGAATAAGTTATGTATGGAAGAATGTATGTTAACTCTTTCAGGACATAAGCCCAAAAGTCAACAGAAATTTGAATTTTTTTTTTCTATTTTCATGCTGAAATTTAATTCATCATGAATTTGTTTCCAAGGGTGAAATTTTCTTTCCTCAACTTTTACATGACTTTGTAATAAGAGCAGTTGTACGGGCTCACAAAAATAAAAGACGGATGATGGAGTAGAGATGTTCAGTGTAAATATTTAGTACAGGGGCTGGCGGCTTTTAAATTTGCATCTTGAGCTGAGTGTATCTGCTGATTTCCCATCTGCTAATATTTTCCCATCTGCTAAATACCTGCTACCAGGGGAAGAGGACGTCTCTGTCTTTCTGGCCTTGCTTAACCTCCATGTCCCCTTCACCTGAACTTGGAAATAGCTCCACTGTGTTCAGGAGAGCACAGGCAGACACACTCTGGCTCTGACCAGTGGCAACAGTGATGACCCAGGAGCACCACTGCAGAAGCTCGGTTAACCCAGGGGGCTCATCTTCCTCCAAAGGCCACCCTGGGGTCTCTTTCTGCCTCCATGGAGCTAGAAACCCAGGAAACAGCAGCTCTCTGAGGACTCAAGGCCAGCACTAGAGAAGAGGGTCTGTCTTTCAAACATCCGCTGCAAACAAGACAGCCCAAATAGTGCACTTAGGAGCTGCAGGCTTTGGGGTAGGGAGGCAGAGACGCGGCTGGGCAGTAGGAAGCCAGCAGGGACGGTGGGCCAGGTCTCCTTGCTTCTGCAGTCACCCAGGGAAGATCCTTGTGCTCAGGGGGGATTTGGCTTTGGTGCCCAGGAAAGGACTGGAGCCTCATCCCCTCACACACTGACTCCCTCCCCTGGTCTGCACCATCTCCCACAACAGGATGGGAGGTTGCATGGAGCATAATGTCAGCACTGGCCCCTCTGCCCGGGGTCCCTCACGTGCTCATTCTGGCTCCAAATGGAGGCTGTGTGCGAGTTACGGAACTCACGCAGCCTCTGCTCGCAATTTCCACCAGGAAGAGCTGCTCCTTTTTCACTTTTAAACCCCAAGTAGGGCTAAAGAGCTCTCAGCCGCTCCCTTCTAGAGGGCCCGGGAATGGCCAGCCAGGAACGCGGCTCTCCCGCGGCCACGGGAATGCCTGCTCTCTAGTGTCCCGACGAGCCCACAGGCAGGCCCCAGGAACAAAGAATGAAATGGCCCCAAAGAGCAAGAGTTACATTTCATGCTTAAAATCAAGGCCATCCCATGAGGAGCCAACCACGGAGACTCTTGATTGATGGCGGAGAATAATTATTCTCAGTGTTGCTGCGAGCTTGCCTTCGTAGAAAGCCAGAGATGAATAAAATATATGAGAGCATATCAAAATATAGTGCAAGGACAACATATACAAACAGTACGTTAAGCATTATGGAAGACAATAAACGGAGCTGGAAAACACATCCGAGTTAGCGCTGGGCCCGGAATCCGTGTGCATCTGCGCGAATGGGAAGCAGCGCCGCAGACGTCTCTGTGTGGCCCCTTCGGTCCTGGGAATACTTCATTAGTTGGAAAATCTGAGCAGATTAATTTCTACCGCCGCCTCCTTCCTGAAGGACAGGTTCCTGGGTGCACAGCGCGGCTGCGGCTGCTCCTCTGCCGCCAGGCCCCGGGCTTCCCTCCACACGCAGAGTGCAGTGTCAACAGAAATGCTACAGTGACATTTCTCTCTCTCTCAATTACTTGTAGGCTTTTCACTGCCTGTATAAAATACATATTGTGCTCCAGCGAGATCCATTGTACCGAGGTCAGCGGGAACTCATTGTCCTTTTTAGCTTCAGAACAAGACAATACTGACATCTGTAAGATTTGCTGTAAATAATCCAAGTGGTATAGGTACCGGGTCAGGGGCAGGAGAGGGTAAAAAAGAAAGGAGGAGGGAAGGAAAAGAGGAAGGAAGAGGGAGGGGGTGAGGTGGGGTGAGGTGGGGAGAAGGGGAGAGGGGAGAGGGAAGAGGGAGGCAGAAAGGTGTTGTGAAATTTACTGAATGCTAAATCATTCCGCATCCTGAATTGGTCATGGGAAGGCTTCACCAAATCGTTTGCATCATTTCAGGGAAAAATAAATATTTGGCAAATACCTACAGGACAGCATCGGCTTGCATGCCTACTGCAGATGGCCTTTGCTCCCAGGGCAGGATTTATCCTGCAAACCATCGCACCAGAGAGCCCTAGGTGCAGGGGCTGTGCCCAGCCCTCCAGCAGAGCCACACATGTGGAGCTCCGGTGCATGGCCTCGAATTCTAATTGGGATGGCAGAAGTCTATGATTCTGATTAAGTGCAACGGAGTCATTTACTTGACAGTTCAAATCAATAAGTTAAAATGGGGTGGGGGTGGGGGAACAACCTGCACAGTCAAAGATTCGAGAAGCAGAAAGGCCTACTGGGTGCCGGCTTTGCCCTGAACCGCCTGCCTTTTAAGTCGGTGTGTGAGAAAATCAAAAGCGTATTTGACAACCAGTCAGGGAGAAGCTCTTCTCCGAAGGAGAGATTTTTCATGGAAAAGAAAATTTGGCGACAGGCAGGGGACTGTGCCCGGGATGATAAATGAGGGAGAGAAATACTAATGGAGACTCCGTGCAGGCAGAAGTGAGACTCCTGGAAGCCCACTTGTCTTTTTCTTCTCTACCTGTGTAAGAGGCAGAGACCGTGCATGCATGTGCGAGTGTGCACGTGTAGGAGGGAGAGATGGAGCGTGTGTGCGTGAATGTGTAACAGGCTGAGACCAAGTGTGTGTGCATGTGTGTATGAGGCAGAGACCAAGTGTGTGTGTGTGAATGTGCATGCGTTGTGTTGGTGGGACACACAGTGTGTGCACATGTGTGCATGTGTGTGCCTGTCCCAACACACTTCTCCAGTCCCTGGTTTGAGACCCTGTCCGGGGGTGGATAGAGAGAGAGCTGCTGATGAACTTGGCTTCCAGTACAAATGCGGCTGCTTCTCTGGGTGGGAGGCGATCGCCACACTTCCTCAGTCATGGACAGTGCTGATTTTGAGGCTGGCCCAGCAATAAATTCATTTCCACTCGGGACTTTTACCCTTAAAGACAAAATCTCTTCAGCCTGTACCTTTTCCCTTCGGTCATATCCAGAAAAGTGAGCATGTGATTTCAATTTGAAATTAAAAGTCATGTCTGAATAACAGAACTGCATTCTCATTTCCTAATACCCTGGTTTTTACTACTTTGCATTCAACTGTGAAAAGTCTTTTAAAACTCGGAACAGCAGTAAAACTTGAATGAATTTTTGACCCATTATTGCATAGCGGGTGCGCCTTCCAAGTTGGAGAGACTGCCAAGTTCTCACCACCTAATATTTCCACTTTAATTGTGCCACTTGAGAAATTTACGTGCCTCAAAATATGGCATGAATCTTACGCTTATTGCAGTATCATTAGCAGCAACATTTAAGCAACATCTGTGTGCCATAGAACTAATTGAAGTAGCAGAAGTGGCAGCTGTAAATCCACAGGAAGATGGCAGTTTGTACCCAGCACTGCTGAGCTAGCTCCTAACTGTCAGCCTGTTCCTGCAATCTGCTCTCGAGTGCGGCAGTACAGGCACACAATGTCCAAAAAAATACAGCGAGTAGGCTAATGATCCTATTAACCACTTTGCTGCACCAATTTGGCTGTTTTTCCAGTTTCCTTGTTGAATTTCATTATAAGTTTTGCCATTCCTGTAAAAAGTCCAGTATGAGACATGTCTGACTTTAAACTACTTACCTGAGCCGAGAAACACTCGTCTGGCCAGGCCAAACTGAGGATTGATTTTTTTTTTATTATTTAATAATTCTTCCCACCACACCCCGGCTCCTTTCAATTGCTTAAAATTTTTTCACACACACATTTCTGTAAAACAAAAGAAAACAAAGCATTTAAATCTCTTGTAATGTTGATATTTAAAGAAATGGCATTTTCTTCCCATGGACATAACATTTTCAGTAATCAATACAAGATGGCAGCCCTAATTTATTATTGGTGGGGAGTGGAGGAAGAGGGCAGAGATGGTGAGGATCTCCCAGAGTCTGCTGAGGTATAGATGCGGTCAGCTTATCTGAGAGCCTGTGTCATCCCTCCACTACACAGTGGTTTGGACCCAAAATGCATTGACTGTTTTTCTTCAATGTGAAGAAAAATGAGGCTGATTCTCCCGCACAGAGTGCAAGCTAAGTTGGGAGCAAGGAAAGACCCTGGTGCCTCTTGTTGCAGAGAAACGAGGACTTAGGAGCCCCTGCTTTCCTTCCGAATATCCCCCCATTAAGCACAACTGGAAAAAACATTTCCAACACCTCCAAGAAAACCCAGCCCCATTTTGGTTTTAACTCTGCTTTTGCTTGTGTTTGTCTTGGCAGGGGACGGATGTTTCTCCCTTGGTGCCTGGCCCTCAGACAATGATGTAACTGGTATCTTTCGAAGCACTCAAGAGTGCTGGAAATACACAAAAGAAGACCTCCTTCAATATATGATGACTGGTGTGTTTGCCAACAACCCAACTTCATTAGAAAATTGGCACGTCCACCCAGCTGCCATGTGACACGCCGTTAACTCCGGACATTTGTTGTCTTAATGCTCAAGTACTCAGGGACTCAACTGATAAGGGAGAAACTGTTTGGAATCCACTGAACCCCACGCCTAGGGTGGCCGCCACCTCATGGTATTGAAAATCAATAGCCACATGACTGCTGAAAGGTTGGAGGCCTCCAGAATTAACTTCCTAGTACTAAATTACCATCCCTTCTTTCTTGGTTTATTTTCTAACAATAATACATTTTAAGGGCGCCTGGTTAAAAACCACTTACGAAACACACAACGAAGAAAACTGAATCACTGGCGAACAGCTGCCAGTTCCTCCCCCCAGCCCAGCGAACATGAGGATGAACGATGCTGACAGCTCCCTCGGCCTGCAGCCTGGGTTTGTTTCTTCAAAAAAATCTCGTTCTTTTTTGGTGGTGGTGTTTTAATCTTTATGGAAAAGGGTAAGCTTGTTTAGAAGCGATCCATCTCTGACTTACCAAATAATGCAGCTTAGTAATAAGTTGGGCACCACCACTGCCCTGGGATGCTGTCTCAAATGCCACATCACAGAAGGGAGACTCGGGAGAAGGGGAGGCTTGTGGCATTTCACTGTAGTTGAGAAATAAGCTCCCGTGGCTAACGATGTGGCATCATTTATTTAAGTTTTGAATTTCAATAGCTTTTGGGGTACAAGTGGTTTTTGGTTTCATGGATGAATTACAGAGCGGTGAATTCTGAGATTTTATTGCACCCATCACCCGAGTGGTGTCCGTTGTACCTAATGTGTAGTTTTTTCTTTTTTTTTTTTTCATCCCTAGCCTGCTTCCCACCCTCCCGCTTCTGAGTCTCTAAAGTCCGTATCACTCTGTATGCCTTTGTGGATTCATAGCTTAGCTCCCACTTATAAGCGAGAATGTATGGTTTTTAGTTTTCACTCCTGGGTTACTTCACTTAGAATAATGGCTTCCAGCTCCACCCAAGTTGCTGCAAAATACATTATTTCATTCCTTTTAACGGCTCAGTAGTATTCCATGGTGTATAGACACCACATTTTCCTTATCCACTTATTGGTTGATGGGCACTTAGGTTGGTTCCACATCTTTGCAATTGTGAATTGCACTGCTATAAACATATGTGTGCAAGTGTCTTTTTCATATAATGACTTCTTTTCCTTTGGGTTGATACCCAGGAGTGGGATTGCTGGATCGAATGGTAGATCTGCTTTTAGTTCTGTAGGGAATCTCCATACTGTTTTCCATAGTGGTTGTACTAATTGACCTTCCCACCAGCAGTGTAGAAGCATTCCCTTTCCCCACCCACACCAACAGCTTTTGTTTTTTAAACTTTAATAATGCCCATACTTGCGGGGTTAGGTGGTATCTCGTGGTTTTAATGTGCATTTCCCTGATGACTAGTGACGCTGAGCATTTTTTCATAGTTTTTTGGCCATTTGTGTATCTTCTTTTGAGAAATGTCTATTCGTGTCCTTTGCCCACTTTTTAATTAGATTGTTTTCTTTCTTGGTGATTTGTTAGAGTTCCTCGTAGATTCTGGATAGTAGTCCTTTGTATCCAGATGCGTAACTTGAAAATATTTTCTCCCATTCTGCGGGTTATCTGTTACTCTGCTGATTATTTCTTTTGGGTAACATCATTTTCTTTGGATGTAACTCTGGTAGGAAATTCTTAAGCATGAATGTCCCCCACTGCCCTTTTTAGAACGTGTGCTCTCTTCACCTTTATACTCATAAATATTGAGGTGGTCAATAATAGATATGTGGTTTCCATCTGTTGATAGCATACTAGAAAATGAAACTGAGAAATAAAAAGTATTAAAAATAATAAAACACTATTAACAAGCAGCATATATAATTTTAAAAACTGTATTTTTCCATAGCAAAATAAATTAGTAAGAAAAGTGGGCATGAGTTTTTTTTTTTTTTTTTTTTTTTAGACAGAGTCTCACTGGAGTGCAGTGGTGCAATCTCGGCTCACCACAACCTCCGCCTCCCAGGTTCAAGAGATTCTCCTGCCTCAGCCTCCCGAGTAGCTGGGATTACAGGCATACACCACCACGCCCGGCTAATTTTTGTATTTTTAGTAGAGACAGGGTTTCACCATGTTGGCCAGGCTGGTCTCGAGCTCTGACCTCAGGTGATCTGCCTGCCTTGGCCTCCCAAACTGCTGGGATTACAGGTATGAGCCACTGTGCCCTGCCTTGACTCATTTTTGAGAAAGGGTCTAGCAAACACCAGTCTCAGTAACCATCAGGCACTGGCGGGTCTTTTAATGTGAAGTTTGCTGAAAGTGTGGCCTTTGGAAGGGCTGGAGGCTCCTTCCCAGGCAGCAGCGTCCCTCCACTGAACCCCTTCTTCCACAGGCTCTCCTGAGAATTTCCTCCCAGGCCTGAAGGGCTCTTTGGGGCATTGGGTAAGTGATACTTCATAACCTTTGCCCTTTGCACCGGGTCCATGCACGAAGCCTGTGATTGGGGTGAGGTTATCTATCTAGATATGTTGCATCCCATCTTGCTCTGCTGCAGATCTGAATACTCTTGGGGCCAAGCCTTATTCTCCAAAACCCAGGCCCTGCAGGTAGGGGATCCCAAAGCCAAAGCCCTTGTGAGGTGGCGTTGGACTTGTTCTTGTCACCTGCTGACACATCTGGTCCTGCGAGAAGGAAGTGGATTCTAGAAGCAGTGCCTGTTCCGGAGCAGCTGCCTTGCTGAGTGACAGGGTGCACCCAGCGGCAGCTGCACAGCTTCTCAAGCTACCGGATCCTGCTCTTTGCCAAAGAGGACCTGAGGCTCCTCCCGGGATAGGAGGGTCCGGGCTCTGCCCACTGCTCCCGGTCACCCTCTGCCTCTGCACAGGGCACCCCAGGGCCTGTGGAGGGGATGTCCACAATGTTGGCAGAGCCTGGGTCCTTCGCCAGCTGGAGCTCTGCTCAGCCACTGAGCTGGGAGGAAACAACCCCTTGCCCAGAGCTGGCTGGAGGGGTCAGCACGCACAGCTGCTGGAGTTACCCTCTGCACCAAGTATCACCAGAAACGGGCATGCTGCTGTCCTGGACAGCGGCCTCATGACCTGCTTACATTTTTAAAAACTTGTGAAATATCTGAAACAAAAAAGCAAATATGTGTAAAATATATATGAAATATATTCTGTAAAATAATGTTTGACTCCAGTGCACACACAACCCAATTCAAAACCAGATCAACTTCCTGCTGATCTGATGGCCTGCCCTCCGCCTTGGCCCAGAGGGAACAGTTTATGTTTTTATTGATCATTCCCTTGCCTTTTAAAAGGGTTTATCATATATATGTGTATAATTGTGTGTATACATTTATTTCAAGAGATACATTTTCTTTAAGGCTTGTCTGTGAGATTTATAAACTAGTCTTCCACCACATGTAATCTCCTACAGCTTACTTGGTTGACGCTTCAAATCTCTCAGCTTCATTCATGCCATGGCTCCAATTGTTCATGTTCTCAGCTGCATAGTATTCCATCATGTGAACATGCCACTCTGCATTTCTTCGTTTTTCTTCATACAGATGTTTGGGTTGATTACGGTTTTTCATAAACAGCTGTGCTGTGGATGGCACTCCTGCAGCTGGTGCCTGTGCACACGTGCAGAGCTTCTCTAGGGGAATGTGCTCGGGAGAGGAATGGCTGCTCAGAGGGCGGGGGTATCCTGAACTCCATGGGATGATACCAAGTGACCATCCAACATCCTTCTTGGAACATTTAACCAGAGTGAGCTCTAAGTGTGCATGGGTATTTGTAGGGGATCTAGGCTTGACTCTAGAACGATAAGGAAGGGGCGTCATTACCTAGCAGGATCAGCACAGATGTTGGGGTGATGGACTCAGGCCCTAGTCTAGACATCCTGGTGAAAAGTGAGGTGATTCAGGGCAAAGCACTTACCTGTCCTGGGATGGCGGAGATACAGTATCTAACAGGATGTTGTGGGCGTCAGGGGTCTCAATATATGTGGAGGTGCTTGATCAAGAGCAGACATGTTGGCTTTTGTTGATGATGTTACCTGTTTCCTAAAACACTTGCTAAAGATGCCAGTGCCCTGATGTAGAGACCAACACGAGGAAAGTGGCCTGATCAGACCACGCCAAGCTGTTCACACCCCCTTGAGAGTCCTGGGCTGATCATTCAGGCTTGACAGCAGCATGAGGAGCACAAAAGACTGAAATGAGCAGCTCCTAGAGGACGCCTCCCCCAGTGCTGGACGGCACGGGGGTTCTCTCTCGGAACCAAGGCCTGGCCAGGCCGTGCCCAGCACACCCACTACCTGGCTTTTCACTTCTGTTGTGACTCAGTTGTTTTCTGCACCATTTGGTCACAAATTCTGTTTTCATTTTTTTTCTTCTTTGAGACAGAGTCTCACTCAGTCACCCGAGCTGGAGTTCAGTAGCGTGATCTGGGCTCACTGCAACCTCTGCCTCCCAGGTTCAAACTATTCTCCTGCCTCAGCCTTCTGAGTAGCTAAGACTACAGGCACATGTCATCATGCCTGGCTAATGTTTTGTATTTTTAGTACTAATGGGGTTTCAACATGTTGGCCAGGCTGGTCTCAAACTCCTGACCTCGGATGATCCACCTGTCTCAGCCTCCCAAAGTGCTGCGATTACGGGCATGAGCCACCGTGTCAGGCCCCCAAATTCTTTTTTTTTTTTTTTAATAACTTAAAACAGTTCTTTTCAGAAATGCTTTTCTCCAGCTGGTTTGTCAGAACCACATTCCTGCAAGGTTGGGCCAGAATGCTGTGCCCCGAGCAGCTCCATCTACTCTGCCAACAGCAGCCCTCCAGCCTCTGCGGGAAGCACGCCTCCCCACGCCAACACCCTGTAGACTCCTGGCCCCGTGGACTGTCAGGCAGTTATTTTGGCCTGGGACGTGGCTCTGCTAACTGGCTGCTGTGTTTTTCCAGTTGTGAGAAGAGCTTCCAGGGGAGTTCTTCAGATAATCATCATCTTGATCTTAAATGTAAATATTGTCACCGTGGTTTAAAGAGAGATTAATGATTTGCCGACAGCTCCATACATCCTTAGGAAGTGAACACTTGATTGTCTATCTTATTTCCAATAATACTAGAGGAAAAGGCACACCCTACAGGTGGCTGCAGGTGCCACCGGAGCTTGGAGCGAGTGAAGGCCGAGCCTCGGACTCGGGTATCATTTCTGAATAGCTCGCCAACTGTGAAGGAAGTTCTGCGGTTCTCTGTCACGGAGGAAAACAGCAGTGAGTGCCATCCGCCAGGCTGTGTGCCAGGTGTCCCGTAATCCCGTCTTTACCTTCTGGAGGAGCTGCGAGGCGGCGTCATTAGCTCCGTTTCAGAGAAGAGAAGGCGGAGGGCAAAGCAGGTTTGCTGAGGCATGGCCAGTCATGGGCAGTGTCCAGAGCCAAACCCGGGGCTTGCCACATCCGGCTCCCCTGACCTCGGCCACCACCAGTCTGTGGAAGCCCAGGCACTCCCAGGGGGAAGCTCCAGCCCTCAGGCCATGTCAGCACCTCCCTGTGGCTCCGACGGGCTCTGAGCCCATGGTCCCCTGACCTGGCTGCCCCTGCCTCAAGGTGCCGGGGTAGCAAGGCAGATGGCCCCTGGATAGTTCCCTTTTTGTTGTCCCCACGTGGCCTACAGCTGGCTAAGCAGGGCAGGGTGTGTGGCCGGCAGCCCTGGGGCTTCAGAACAGGTGTCTCAATTATGCCACCGCCTCCAAGACCCATCCCTCCTGATGCAGCCAGGCCCGCGGCTCTACCAGGGACACTGTGCGAGCATCAATGCCGGGAGGACTGGGACATTACACTCTACATCTGAATTTCTTATATTTTCCAAGTGTTCTACACTAATTAGTTAGTTCTGTTAGCTCTAAGGATTAGTAGCTTCTCTAACAAGACACAGCGACATTAAGTGACTTACCTAATTATGTAAAACACGGGGACACTAGACGAGAAGGCAAGCTTTCCTCGAGCTGGGCTCAGGCCTGCTCCGCCCCACTGCAGCGCCCATCCGTCTTCTTTCTCTGGGTCCCCAGGGCACAGGAAACAGGAACCGCAGGTCTGGCCTCAGAGACTACTCCACACGGAGTGTTGCCACACCTACGTCCTCGGGCCTGCCCTCCTTACGGCCTGCCTCCTTGGCCAGGACCACAGGGCCTCTCAGATGCTTCCTGGACAGAGGAGCTGACTTGAAAGAGAGCCTGTCCCAGGGCAGTAGGTGCTGGGCAGGCCTGGAGGCTCCATCACATGTGGCCGGGGTGCTGGGCCCACTGTGTCCCCTGTGAAAGAGAGTAGATGACCACCACGTCCTGCTGTCCTCTGACTGGTCACCATCTGAAATGTCACTAAGAACTGGCCCCACATTGCCTGTGCTCATGGCAAAGGGGTCTGCCCTCTCCCAGCCTGGCCCTCCAGTCCCCAAGTCTCATCTTGTAGGGACCGTGGCACCTGGGCCCTCCTCTCCTCTTCCCTGGAGTCCAGTTGCTTCTTTTACTCAAGATGCCCTCTATGTCCTGCCCAGCTCCAGCTGATGCAGTTTGATTGCCACCTCCTTCAGGACGCCCCTCTTCATTTTCTAGTTCACCCTTTCCCCTCCCTCTGAGACCTCACAGCCCTGAAGTGATACTGCATTTATGTTGATGTGCTATCTGATGACAGGCTGGGCATGACCTCACCTGGAGTATTTGTGCTCAGCTGCCCTGCAAGTGGAGAGGCGAAGCTGATAAACAGCTGGTCAAGCACGTGACACCAGTCACGTGGTCAGATGCGTGGGCCCATGCTGTCTTCTTAGTACATGTGTCAGGGTCCTTCCTCTTCACCCAGTAAGTGTGTTCTTTTATGATTACAAACATAATGCATTTCCATGGCAAAAATTGAGAATGTACAGTTAAGCACACAAAAAATGAAGTGATTTCCTCGTGCTGAGATAATCACTGAAGCACCTTGCTCTGCAGATGGTCTTTTTAAAAAATGTTACAACATGGCCATATATATAGTTTTAAAACACAATCATGGATCATATTTTCAAAGTGATAACAACTATTTCTTTCTTAGAAAATAAAGACATTTTTATAAGAGTTGAATAACTCTGAAAAGCAACACAACACACACACAGACACACTCACTCACAGACACACAAAGCAATTCTTCCCAACTCACTCACACACAGGCCCACACACCAAAGCGACTCTGCACAACTCACTCACACACAGGCCCACACACCAAAGTAATTCTCCCCAACTCACTCACACATAGGCACACAACCAAAGCAGCTCTCTCCAACTGTCCAACTTCCACTAAGATGTCTTCCTGCAAATAATCTGATGATCTCTCTTCCACAATTTTATGTCTGTAAGCACAATTTAAAAATTTAGTTTAATAAAACACCACTGATCGTACCTGATGTTTTCTTTTCTTTTTTTTTTTTTGAGACAGAGTCTTGCTCTGTCACCCAGGCTGGAGTGCAGTGGTGCGATCTCGGCTCACTGCAAGCTCTGCCTCCCAGGTTCATGTCATTCTCCTGCCTCAGCCTCCCAAGTAGCTGAGACTACAGGCGCCCGCCACCATGCCCAGCTAATTTTTTTTTGTATTTTTAGTAGAGACGGGGTTTCACCGTGTCAGCCAGGATGGTCTCGATCTCCTGACTTTGTGATCTGCCCGCCTCGGCCTCCCAAAGTGCTGGGATTACAGACGTGAGCCACCGCACCCAGCCTGATGTTTTCTTATATGCCTTTTTCACTCAGCAGTGAGTCATGACTACCTTCCCATGTCAGTAAATAGAGGGCTACTCTACCACGTTTAATAGCAGAATTGTTCTGTGTTGTGTGGACATATTTACTGGGATGTATCCAGCCAACCCCATGCCCATGGGACATTTGTGCTGTTCCCCATTTGTTGCTGTTACAAACAACAGTGCCATGTGTATCCTTGTAGCTACAGCCTTATATACTCATGGAAATAACTCTGTAGAATAGATTCCTAAAAGTGGAATTGTTTGGTCAAATGGCATAGGCATTTACCATTTTAATCAATACTGCCTCACTACCCTCCAAAAACATGCCAACATTACTACCAACAGTGAATGCCTGCCCCTTCTCTACACTGTGGACAAAGAATTACACGTCGTTTGCATTTTTCACCCAGATCACAACAAAATGCTATCTCCTGCTTTAATTTGTCATGCTATGATCACTCGTGAGGTGGGAGGTCCCCTGGAGGTCACTCCAGGTGATCACTCTCAAGCTTACTGGGTCCTTCTGCTGCTCTTTCTAGAGGCTTCCAGCTGCTGCTTGTATGTTTCCCTTTACGAAGTGCCTGTCTATATTCCTTGCTCATCTATCTTCTGGGTGGTTTGCCTTTTCCTTATTGATTTGTAGAAGTTTTTTATATATTGTGGACACAATCTTTCTGTCTTACATGTTGCCAATGGTTTCTCCTAGGGTACCATTTGTCTTCTGTTTCCAACAGGTTCATGAGGTCAGGCAAGTCAACCTTCTTCTTTATGACTTCTGAGTTCTTTTTTTTTGAGATGGAGTCTCGCTGTGTCACCCAGGCTAGAGTGCTGGAGTGCAGTGGCTCGATCTCGGCTCACTGCAAGCTCCACCTCCCGGGTCCACGCCATTCTCCTGCCTCATCCTCCCGAGTAGCTGGGACTACAGGCGCCCGCCACTACGCCCAGCTAATTTTTTCTATTTTTTAGTAGAGATGGGGTTTCACTGTGTTAGCCAGGATGGTCTCGATCTCCTGACCTCGTGATCCGCCCACCTTTGCCTCCCAGAGTGCTCGGATTACAGGCGTGAGCCACTGTGCCCGGCCAGCTTCTGAGTTCTTGCCGTGTTCTCAGGCACTTCCTGCAAATGCAGACATGGATGCATGTTTCTCCTATTTTCAGCTGATACAGTAACAGTTAAAACCCAATTTAACAAATGTTTAGAACCCTAAGGTTTCTGGAATTGCGTTATTTCCAAATAGCTTGGCCAGTTTGTCCTGATACCATGTATTAAATGACTCCTTTCCCCACGGAACTGAAATGCCATATGATGACATCCTGAGATTCCACAGACCTGTGGCTGTTTCTGGACGGGCCAGTTGGCTCCATTGATCTACTTATGTCTGTTGTGGCATTGGCCCTACAATGCTTTATTTACAGTGGCTTTAGGATTCATTTTGATGCCATTAGTATTAAAAATGTACCTTGCTGTTTTTGAGCAAATACATGTCCCCAGTGACCAAGCTTAGCTGTGAATGTTGTCGTGGACATCAGAGGCAGGCCTAGCCAGTGGGGGGCATGGGCTTTGGGAATCCTTATTTGTTGCTGCTTTTAAAAATGTGGCTCATAAATGCCCCTGGCATTTGCTGTCAGAGAGGCCCTTCTGAGTGTCCCTGACATAGGGCACAGTCTCGCAGGGTGGCCACCTTAAGCTGCAACCCCAGTTATAGGTTCGTCAAAGATCCAGTTGTGATGTTACACACCCATGCCAGGTGCACATCACAATCCCACGAACCTCCATGTTCAACAGCTTTCCATCCAGAAAAGACGCTGCATAAATTCCCCACCCTTCAGGGACGGCCTAGGGTACTGAAGTCAGTGGTCTGGGCATTACCCCGTCATACAAAATGACAGGCACGTTGCATGGGCAACGGAAAGAACTTTCCATTAAATGCCAAAGAAGACCTGCAGGGTGGACACGTGCCTGCTTTTCCTCAGGTGAGGCAGCTGTGGCTTCTGAGAGCAAATACATCCCTGAGGGTCCCACAGCTAGGAATTAGGGACTGGAACCTGGGCTTGTCTGATGCAAAAATCTAACCTGAAGCCGCCACCACAATCTGAGCACTCTGCACATGCCAGGAAGCCAAGGAGCCGCCACCACAATCTGAGCACTCTGCACATGCCAGGAAGCCAGGTCGCCTTCACTGGAACCTGGGTATGGCCTCGTGAGGGCGGCCGCTGCCATCCCTGTTCTGCAGGTGAGGTGGCTGCAGGAGCTCCTGGGGCTGCTGCAACAAATTCCACCAACTGGGGGGATGAAAGCAGCAGAAATGTCTTCTCCTACAGTTCTGGAGTTTGTAATCAGGTGCTGGCGGGACCAGACTCCCTCCGAAGGCGTGAGGGGAGCAGTCTCCTTTCCCTCCCCCAGCTGCTGGTGACTCCAGGTGTTTCTCAGCTGGTGGCTGCCATCACTTCCATCTCTGCCTCTGTCTTTGCATGGCTTTCTCCATTGCGTCTGTGTCTTCCCCTTTTCTCTTTTTTGGAGGCAGGGTTTTTTCTCTGTCGCCCAGGCTGGGGTACAGTGGTGTTATCATAGCTCACCGTAGCCTTGACCACCTGGGCTCAAGTGATCCTCCTCCATCTTCAGCCTTCTGAGTAGTTGGGACTACAGGTGTGTGCCACCTGCCTGGCCAATCTTTAAAGTATTTTTTAGAGAGACAAGGTCTTGCTAAGTTGCCCAGACTGGTTTCAACTCCTGGCTTTAAGTAATCCTCCTGCCTTGGCATCCCAAAGTATTAGGATCACAGGCGTGAGCTGCTGCATCCGGCCCTTTTCTGTCTATTATAAGGGCAACTGTCATTGGATTTAGGACCCACCAGGATAATCCAGCATGATCTCATCTTGAGCTCCTTAACGTAATCATATCTGGTAAGGCCCTTTTTCCAAATAAGATCACATTCACGGGTTCCAGGAATTTAATGTAGACCTCTCTGTGGGCCCCCATTCAATCCACTGCAGAAACCAAGGAATGGAGAGGTTATCCAGCCCGCACAAGAAGCTGTCTCTAAAGCAGATGTGCTGGACTCTGATCCTGAACCGAGCATGACTGCCCCATCCCCCACTCCCCACTGCAACGGGCCAAAGGTTCCCAATCTGTGGGGCTTCTGCAAAGGCAGGGCCCAAATGTGGCACTGTCTCTCTGAGCACTGAAACCTGAAGGCCACGATGGCTCCACTGCAGCCTGGGGGGAACCTGCGTGATGGAAGTCCATGCTGGTTGAGGCAAGCCAGGGGACCTGCTCAGGGAGTGGAGTTTCTGGGGGGCCTTCCTGGAGGAGGGAGGGGAAGAGGAGGAGGGAGAGGGGGAAGAGGAGGAGGGAGAGGGGGAAGAGGAGGAGGGAGAGGGGGAAGAGGAGGAGGGAGAGGGGGAAGAGGAGGAGGGAGAGGGGGAAGAGGAGGAGGGAGAGGGGGAAGAGGAGGAGGGAGAGGGGGGAGAGGGGGGGAAGAGGAGAAGGGAGAGGGGGAAGAGGAGAAGGGAGAGGGGGAAGAGGAGAAGGGAGAGGGGGAAGAGGAGAAGGGAGAGCAGGAAGAGGAGAAGGGAGAGCGGGAAGAGGAGAAGGGAGAGCGGGAAGAGGAGAAGGGAGAGGGGGAGGAGATGGCGGCTTCCATCCTTAGCCAGGAACGAACGAACTCGCAGCACCTGGCAGGCTCAGGCCCAGCACATGACAAACTTCCATCCTTTCCTTGTGAAAATCTGTTCATCTACATCTGAGACCAATTTGCTTGAAACTACAGAATACCTGTCATATTGCTTCCTGGCACAGCAGTCAGATGTTTGCTCGGAAAAATACAGGCAGCTACATACTTCTTGGTGCTGTACTATTTAGATGTGTCATTCTGTGTCTCAAAGAAGCAGCAGCTTCAAATAAATGAGTGTTCTCAGCTTGGCTCGAGTCCTCCTGGCCTGGAGACCGCGCAGGAGCTGGCCACCTCCCTCCAGCAGCTGAGCAGAACCCATGCTTGGCTTTTTCAACCATGGCTCGAATTCAGCGCCGACGCGGATGCACCCGGTGCCATCTCGGGCCCTTGGTCTTAAGTCACACTGAGGTCCAGACGTGGGTTCGTATGTTTGGGAACTGGGTCACGTGGCATCGTGGTCAGAGCATACAGTCCTCGACATAAACGACCACACGGGCACTCACGCCCACACTGCAGGGCGGTAAGCGGTGTGCAGCCCTGCGCTAGGAAGGAGCTGAGCTTCAGGGCAGCCCGCACTGGCTGGGTCCTAGGCAAGCGCAGCGTGGCGACCGTCTTGGCGTTCTGAAGTCAGGCGCATAAGGAGAGTGTTTTGATGTTGCTCCCTTTTTAGGAAGGGAGGAAGGGATTTAGAAGCTGCTGGAGGATGCAGTGCTCAGGTCTTCTCAGTGCTATCGGGGGACTCCGAATCGCTTTGTATTATGTGTAATTTGATTTTCTCATGAAATTATGTATAGTGTGTTGCAACAAATTTTTGTTGTTGATTTTTGAGCTGATTTTCCCTTTAAGTGGCTGAAAATAGGCCGTCTATGTTCCCCCAACACCCAATGCTTCTTGTGGGCTGCTGGGCACTGTGAGGACCACCAGCCAGGGACATGGGTGTTGGCACTCCCAGTGTGCAGGCGGGGCAGAGGCAGCAGGCGTGCTGTGTCCAAAGACTCCTGCCAGGCCTGCGCGTCCACCGGAAGACAGCAGCAGTGTGGAAAGCCACTGCTTCAGAAGCAGATGAGGCCTACGTGCCCACGGGCTTCATGTCTTCCATGGCTGAAAGCTTCATCTTCACAAAAAGCATTGAAGGATAAGAAAAGAAACACCTCCTGACCTCATCGAGGTGACTTTAGTAGCTGGCACGGTGGCCGTGCTGCCCCGCGGTCTGGGCTTTCCCCATTTCTTTGGGGGCTTCTGAAACCTGCTGATCTTGTCCTCTGCAGGTGTGAGACGGCGTCTCTGCTGTGTGAGACGATGTCTCTGCTGTGTGCACTTCCATCTCCCTGGCCTTGAAGATCCTCCTGCTCGTGTGCTCCCAGCTCCAGGAAGCTCCACGAGGAGGCCTTGAGCCAGGAAAGACTCCAGTGGGGGCCCAGGAAAGGAAATCAGCACAAACCAGGGGCTGTCAAGAGTTCCCGGCATCTGGCCCCAGCTTGTCTAGCACCCAGCAGACAAACTGAGAAGGGGCTGGGAAAGTGTGGACCCCAGGCAGCTCTCACAGGGCTGGGACCGGCCCTTGCGGCCAAGGGGTTTAGACCGCTCGCCCAGTGCTGCTTTCAGGAAGACGAGTAAATGAGGCTGGCTGGTGATCTCTGAACTCGCTACCAAAGGCACCCTCTGTACTTTCTCAACAGAAACAAGAGTTATAACAATGGCAGCCACAACGAGGCAGAATCTGCAAAAATGAAATTTAAAAACCGACTATGCTTCCCCCATTCCCTAAGTGTTTTCTCCACGCAGGTGAAAAACCTCCACGTGTCCTCTTGGCCCCCACAGCTGTCCCTCAGGGTCCAGCCGCTGGCGTCCAGTTCCTCACATCCCTGGGCAGCCTGGACCACGGGAGGGCACTGGTGCTAAAGGGCACGCCTCCATGGCTTCCTGCGCGGCCCCTGAGCTGGGCTGCTGGAAGGAGACACGTGATGAAGTTGTAACGCGCATGCACCGAACACCGAACTCCTCCGCCCCCAGGTTAGGAAACCCCCGACACAACCTGTGTACAGGAGGTGCAGAGACAACATACCTCTCTTCTCAAGGGGTTTCTGCAGCCCCCATGAATCTGCTGTCACGCGTGCATACCTCACGTCATTTAAAATCATAAAAGCCATAAGACACACAGAGGCTCTTGTGTACCTGGGATGAGAGCGCTTTCGCAATCCTGGGTGGTACGCACTCTCTGGGGGCAGATGCTAGTTTCTGTCTACATTCTGGTCGTTGCCTTAAAAGCATCCTTTAGAGTAACTTCTTAACAAAATGATAACTCTTCCCCGGAGAACACAGCCACGGAGCTGGCCAGGCACAGCTTCCTCTACCCCTAGACCCTCGGTCAATAACTTATGAACCAACTACTTCAAAGACCACTTCTCCTCAGACCCCGGGGTCTTCCTGAGAAAGTAAATGAACACTAACAGGTATTTCTTCTTATAAACCTCCTTGGGAATTGGTCTCTTCAAATCGAGAACTGTGTTCCTCATGTGGGTCCTGGGGGTCTGCGCTGTGTGGAGGGGTTCCGCTGCTTCCTCTCTCTTGAGCTTTCTTTGTAAAAAATAGAGATTCCTCGCAAATTGCTTCAGCCCCTGTGGGAAGCAGTTTGGAGATTTTTCAGAGAACTTAAAACAGAACTACCATTCAATCCAGCAATCCCGTCACTGGGTATCTACTAAAAAAAATTGTTCAACTGAAAAGACACACGCACCCCTATGCTCATTGCAGCACTATTCACAATAGCAAAGACATGGAATAAACCTAGGTGTCCATCAACAGTGGACTGGATAAAGTCCACTTTATCCAGTATACACCATGGGATACTATGCAGCCATAAAAAAAGAAGAAAACCACGTCTTTGCAGCAACATGGAGGCAGCTGAAGTCCATGATCCTAAGCAAATTAATGCAAGAACAGAAATCCAAATACCCCATGTTCTCACTTATAAGTGGGAACTAAGTCTTGGGTACACACAGACATAAAGATGGGAACAACAGACCCTGGGGACTCCAAAGGGAGGGAAGAGGGGGTAAGGGCTGAAAATTTTCCTATTGGATACAGATGTTCACTATCTGGGTGACAGGATCGATAGAAGCCCAAACTTCGGCATCATGCAATACACCCTTGTGACAAACCTGCACATGCCTCCCCTGAATCTAAAATAAAAATGGAAATGAAAAGCAAATTTTAAAAACCTTCACATGTTACAGGCTGCATTTAAAAAACCTGAGATTCCTTCCTTCCTTCCTTTGTTCCTCCCTCCTGAGGTAGTGTGTATAGTATATGTGTGTGTGTGTGTTTGTATACACACACCTGCATATCTAGGTAGCAAGAAGGGAAACTGCTTGTAATCCCCTCACCCAGAGACAGGTGATGAGCTCTGGCCTGTTTCTGGGCATCGCACCTGGGCACATGCCTTACGTGTCATCTTGCTACTCTGTAGGGATGGGCCTCTTCCCCTTAGAAGACAAACAGGCTGAGATCACACCCATTCTACTGAATGTTTCCAGTGGATGTATCCAGTCCCTCATTGCTGGGTCACTGGGTTGATCCCATTTCTTTGCATAACACAACTTTGGTTGTGTTATGCAAAACATATCCTTGGCCATACTTCTTTGCATGTGCCTTGGAGAGATTTTGTGATCACTGTATTTTTTTGTGTGCCTTGTAAAGTTTTCAAAGATCTTTGAAGTCTCTTGCTATTTCCAGCACTCTTTTGAGGCAAGCTCCCCCATTGCTGTTTTGCAGACATGAACACCGAGGACCTCCCTGGGCAGGTCGGGTCAGGGAGGCCCATATTTACCACCCTGGCTCCATGCGTTGGCCCCCTGCTCTGAATGGCAGGACCTGGCTCCATGCAGTGGCCTCCCGTCTGAGTGGCAGGACCTGGCCCTCCCGAGTCAGGGGAAGATGTCCCTCCACCTTAGAAGCAAGGCGGGTCCCGGCAGGAGGCCTAATGGGAGGAGGCCCAGCCCACTTCAGGCTTTGGTTCAGAGGGGGACACAGCAGAAGGTCGAGAGGAACATGCTCACCCCACAGATGCAATCATTAAAAGGTGATGAAAAGAACCAGCCCATCTGTGGGGCCACCAGCCTCGACCTCTCCCAGGCCTGAACCACAACATCCTACATCTCATCTGCCATCCTCATTGTCACAGTTTATTAGCGGAATGTCTGTGAGCACCAGCAGCTGACATGGCTATGGCCCTTTTTTTTTTTTTACCTGTCTGAACATTCTGGATTTACCCTGTGCATGCCATCCAGGGCTGCATCCCTGCAGCTGAAGGACATTCCTGGGAGGCCCAAGTGTGCCTGGGGAAAGTGCCTGACACTCGGTCAGGGCTACAGACACCAGGATTCCCTCTGGCTTCTGGGCATGGTCACTCAGGCCTGACATCCCTGGATCAGGAAGATTCTGGGATTGGATGTCCTGAGATACTCTGGACCTTCTACCACAGGTCACAGTCCTGGCCTAAAACCCAGCCACACGGGGTATCCAGAAGCCTGCAAAGCCCTGAACTGGGCCCAGTGCCCATGGCACTCAGATGCCTCTGGGACATCAGAGCTGGCCTGAGGCCTTCGTCCCTCTCCCCCGTCACCTCTGGGTACTTTCTCCCACCACCCACCCCGCCAGGCTTTCAGTGCATGCAGGAGCCCAGGGACTGGGGTTCCATGGCTGCTCCGTTGCCTGCTCCTTGAGCCCTGTGAGCCGCACTTCCACATCAGAGTGAAGGCAGTGACCCCTGCAGATCTGGGGTAGCCAGAGCCCGGCTGTCTCCTCCAGTGGCCTTGCGGGGGCTCCGAGAGCATGCTCACTGTGCAGGTTCTTTGGGAAAGGGGCTTCTCTCCACAGTTCCTCAGGCCCTTGTTTCCCCAGTTCAGCTCACTGTGGCCTCTGCAGACCACGTGCTGGGTGTGGCCGCCTTGGGGGAGGGGGAGGTGGAGGCAGCCAGTGGCCCACGGTGGTCTTGTGTTTGGTTAACCTAGAGTCAAGGCAGGGCTGTGAGCTTCCTGCTTGGGTGGCTAGAACGCCTCTGGCCACTGCTGGTATGGAGCAGGGCTGCTCTCCACTCCTGCACAGCTGGAGGACAGCAGCCAAAGGGCAGGGGAGTTAGCACCCTGGGGGACCTCACGTGGTGGGAACACTGCCCTCCAATACTCCTGTGGGTGAGGGAGGCCCACCCTCTGTGGCTGTGGGGGAAGGATCAAAGCCTGCTGGGGACCCAGGAAGCCGACAGCGACACCCTGGAGTGGGGCCTTCTGATGAGAGCCACCCGATCCTGGCCTGGGGGGCGGGGGAGCACAGGGTCCTTCTGTCCCAAGGGTCTGCTTCACCCATCAGCAATGAGAGAGGCAGTCTGTGCACTGGCGTGCAGCCCCTTGGGGGCCTCCTGTTCCAGAGCTCCACAGCCACCACCAGGCCAACTTCTCCATGGAACTGGTGGTGCCAACTCCCAGCCCACAGCTCTTGCAAGAGAGCTGGCTCCAGAGTGTTCCAGAACGTCCCAGGTCTGGCTCAGGGATTCTCTTCCATGTACTCACCTGGACCTGAGGCTCCCTGAAGGCTGGAGTCCAGCCTTGGGTGCGCTGGTGGATGGCCCGTCTGGTCAGGTGGGAGGAGCCCTTGGTCGGGATACTCCGCCGTCTCCAGCGAGGGGCTCAGGGGAGGTGAGTGCCAGTCCCCAGGGCCACCATGCAGAGTCCACGAAAGGCTTTTTCCCAAGAAAGCCCTCCAGAATGGTGGCTTAGAAGACGGCTCCCTGAGTGAGAATACCTAAGTTCTGGAAACAGCAAGACTCTGGGAAAGGTGCATTTCAGGGATGCCTGCCCAGATGAGGTTTGAATTGCAAAGTGTGGGGCAGGGAGCGTCACATGGCAGATACTGGGTTTGACAACTGCAAAACAGCTCCCCTCCCTGCCAGTTCCAGGGTCAGCCACGGCTCTGGACCTTGCAAGTATCTTCCATCCCTGGTGAAGCCAGGCCAAAGCAGACCACTCGGCAACCCACCTCTCCTTCTGGGTGGTGGTGGTGGTGGTGCCAGCAGAAGACCCCTTGGGAGGGGGCTGGGGGCCGGCTTAGCTGTGATGATGATTTATGGGTGTTTGTGCCCATGATTTCAAGTTACCTCTTGGTCACTGGGGTGGCTTTCAAAGAAAGGCAGGATGTCTCTGCTTCGCCTCCTGGGCGCCTCCCACATCAGGCTACACCCTGCTGAGTGGTGATGGAGATGAAGACTTGGCAGGACCCGCCCCAGCAGGCCACACCTTGGAGGGACACCCCAGCAGGCCACACCTTGGAGGGACACCCCAGCAGGCCACACCTTGGAGGGACACCCCAGCAGGCCACGCCTTGGAGGGACACCCCAGCAGGCCACGCCTTGGAGGGACACCCCAGCAGGCCACGCCTTGCAGGGACACCCCAGCAGGCCACGCCTTGGAGGGACACCCCAGCAGGCCACACCTTGGAGGGACACCCCAGCAGGCCACACCTTGGAGGGACACCCCAGCAGGCCACACCTTGGAGGGACACCCCAGTAGGCCACACCTTGCAGGGACAGAAGGATCCTCACGGGCCCTCCAGTGGTGTTGGGAATCTACAGGAAATAGGGGCCAGGGCCATTCCTCATTGGCAGACATGTGAACAGTCTTAGAAAAGCCACTATGTGCCATATGGAAGCCAGGCCTGCACTTTCCCCAAAACCACCTGCAAGCAGTGTCGGCACCCAGGCAGGTGTACGCAGAGGACACAGGTGTGCCGGGTGTGCTCAGGCTCACACCAATTATGTAAACCCTGCCTCATTTCACAAATGCTTTCCCATTGCAGAGGAATCTTCTCCGGAGGGGACAGCTGCGCTGCCCGTAACTGGGATGTGTGAGGCCTCCAAGGTCTGCAGAGGGTTTCTCCAGCAGAGTCTCTGGTTTATGGCCAGTGTGGCAATGATGATGGTGAGGCCTCCTCCTGAAAATGCTGCTCAATCTCTTCAGGACTGGGGGGACATTTAAAATTCCCCTTCCTGAAAATTGACAAAGTGAGCAAAGCTGCAAGAGGAAGGAGGCACCTGGAGAACCTGCCAGTCCCGGAGAGCACCCACTCCGGCTGGGTGGTGCCCGGTGAGTGATGTCTCACTGCCACACCTAGAGAACCTGCCAGTCCCGGGGAGCGCCCGCCCCGGCTGGGTGGTGCCCGGTGAGTGCAGGTGTCTCGTTGCCACACCTGGGAGCACTGGGGCTTTTGCTCAGTAACAGTATCATACACTTACATGATGCCTTTCATCTGGAAGGATCTCATGGCTTCCTAAAATTTAACTCCCCGTGGGGACTGTTTTACCCCAAAAAGAAACACATCGTGGGAGTGAATCAAAGCCTGGAGCTCCTGAGAAACGAAGCCTTCTCTGTCCGACGGGGACTGCAGGACGGTCCCCCAAACCCTGGGTTAGCGCCAGGTACAGACACCCTCCTTGTCTGGTTAGAAAGTGGGCAGTGACAGGAAGGTCACACCAAAGCCCTCTCAGAGGCCAGCCTAGAGGGCAGAGCTTTCCCACCAAGGCCCAGAGCGGAGCGGCCTTTGGGCAGGGATCCAGGGCCAATTCCACCGCCTTGGAGGACCGCCTGCTTGCTCAGGACCTGATTCCATGTCCATACATGCTTCCTTGTCACCAGCCAAGTCTCACACGTGCATCCATTTCTTCTCGTAGCCATGGCAATCACAACACACAAAAGCAATCCTTTTTGCATAATATCGCAGGTTGCTTAACGTTAGGACCCTGATACTTTCTCCAGCTGGGTTTCCTTAATGTGAGTCAACAAATCAACCTGGAATCATGCGTTCCGCTGGTGTTTGGGATCCAAACAGCAGTGACGTGTAACTCGAAGACCTGTAAAGAACCGTTGGGTATGCCCGTGTGTGGTGCTGTGTGTACAATGTCGGGGCTGGCTCAGCCCCCTCGCCCAAGGGCTTGAGCATCTCTGGTGAGAACCATGGGCACCACGTGCACTCTGCTCAGACGCACTCCTTGGGGCTCACTCGGAGCTGAGAAGAACTCCAGCTTCTCCATGGCAGCAGATCCATCAGATCCTTCCCCACCCTTCCTTGCCTGACTGCATCAGAGTCCGTGACAACTAAAGCTCAGGGGCTCCACTCTCCATCCTCAGGCCACAGTAGAAACATTACCTGTGAGGCCGACCACATCACATCTGCGGAACGTGCCTGACTGCCCAGGTACCCACACTGCCAGGGACTTTCAACAGCCTGGAAAATGGCAGCTTGAAAATAAGTCTTTAATAGGAGGGTGGATAATTTTTTCCTAAAGGCTCCCAAACATTGATACCATACTGTACGGGATCGATCTTAATTACTGTCCATGTGGAATTTTTTTCTGGTGGCTTTTTTTTCCAACGAAAAAAACATTAATGAGAAACTTTAAAGGCTTGTTAACAATGTCCTTTCATCAATCAAAGGTGCTGTCGGGCTGGGCTCTGCCGTCAGTTCACACCTCGCTGCCCAGCATCCACTTCCTACTTTCTCATCCACCCCCACCCCTGCCCCCATTACAGATCCTTGTCGGGGCGACCCGGGTGATGGAGGCCAGACGTTTCACATCTGTCAGCAGCTGGAGCCATGGGGTCCCGAGGACACTGGATGGCTGCCCTCAGTGGCTTAGAGACAGGTCAGTACCTGCAGTTTCTCCACCTTCCCGTCCCTTCAGACAGACAGACAGACAGACGGCGCTGCTTGGCAGAGGTCTTGGGCAGAGCCGTGTTTAGATCTCAATGTCTTTCAAACTGATAAGTAAAACTGATGTGAAGTTCAGCTCTTTAAACACAAACTTTTAATCAAATGCCCATGAACAGGAAAGAAAGAAAGAAAAAAAAACCCACACGGTCTGAGGTCTGAGGGAAGCCAAAAATTTAAATCCCCCACCCCAGGGCCTTGGACTGTTTCCGGGGACTCCACTGCCCCGATGGCAACAAGAAGACATGCAGACAAACAGGGGAGGCCCGAGGACATCCCAGCAGCTGTGGCCGAAGCAAGGGCCGTTTCGGGATTGGTCTTTCAGTAAAATCTTCCTAGTAAAATAAAACACTTTCCCCCTTGCTCATACATGAAGCCAATTTATCTCTCACTTCAGAATCCTCCTCTGTGCTGTGAGAAGCCCAAGTAGCACTAAGATCTGTAGCTTCATGAACAATCTCACATTAGCTCAGTGTGACATCCTGCCCGCTCCAACGGGGTGAAGTCCGAGCTGGCGCCACCGCCCATGGTCACAGCTACGGGTGCATGGACAGCCAAGGTGAGCAAGCGGCAGATGAGACCGGGAGGGGACGTGGCCCCCAGGGCTGTTCTGTCCTTGTAGGCCAGGTCAGGGGATACAGCAACATCCGTAAATGCATTTCTGTGAGGAGGATGCCTCACATTGCTGCGAGAATCTCACTGACCAGCTACTCCCCAGAGTCCGCCACTCCACAGGGCTCCAGCGGGTCACACCACCTCTTACGTTTCTCAGCAATTCAGGTGGATGGGATTTTATCCTTATCTTACAGTTCTGTAGGAAACAAGTTCCAGGATAATACTGCTGTTTACAAACGATGTAAGAAACAAAACTGATGGCTTCAGTATAAACCTATCTATATTGGACTTGCTTGGCCCCTCCAAACGGGATTCTGGAGAAGCACGTGGGGCGCGACGCACCAGAGAAGCTTAAGTCGCAGAGATGGTTTCAGTTGCTAGCACATCATCCAGCCACCCGAGGGGTGTTCAGTAAGCTGTTTCTGCTGGGTAAGAAGTGTATACAAATTACAAACCCCAAGTAAGTTCTCTACAAGGTGAGCTTGCCCACTTCCTCTGCAACGCCCGG
Source organism: Homo sapiens (assembly GCF_000001405.40). Classification (NCBI taxonomy): domain Eukaryota; kingdom Metazoa; phylum Chordata; class Mammalia; order Primates; family Hominidae; genus Homo; species Homo sapiens. Next base: position 129,769,940 of record NC_000010.11, on the reverse strand, counting down.
TGCCTGCAACCTTCACATCTGGAAGTGCAAATTCATGCCCCTAAGTTCTGCAATTCCTCATGCAAGAGCTCCTCCAAGCTTCCTGATTCCGCATCAGCCAACACCATAACATGCATGTTTGCACGGTCATAGCTTCTCTTCTCTGGCCTCACAGACTCACCACTGGAGGCGGCCACAGGACACGTGGAATGCAGGTGGGTTTACTGGACACTTCTGTTCCCAGCGGGAAGAGAGACTGGGAGAAGGACAACCCCTCACAAAACTCAGTCTCCTGCGTGGCCAAAGGCAACTTATTTTGCCACAAGTGTGGTTCTGCAAAAACAAGTATTACTTCTGACTCTCTCATCTCTCTGGAAACAGGGGAGCGTGGTCCGCCGGTCTGAGTGGCTGCGAGGTGGCTGTCGTGCACGGCGGGTCTCGGTGTCGGCCTTCAAAGCATCACAGTGCTGGGAAATGCGACAGGGTGAGGGGGACCCAGGGCCAAGGCTGAAGAACACAGCTTTCTTGTTTCGACATTTCTTTTTATTTGGAAAATAGTTTTGTATTTCTTTGTGCCTTCCCTCTCCCTCTGTATTTTCACGAACGGCGCTGCAGCTTGGAGGCAGAGCGGCTCTAGGCGACCCGCGTGCTGGCTTTTCATGTCGGCCTCGGCAGAGCTTGTCCTTGGAGCGGTACACGGCCCCGCCGGTTTGAGCCCTGCTGCTGCGGCTGTCAGAGGGAACCTCCGGGCATCTATCAAGCCTGTTCTGACAGGGCCGCGGAAACCCTCGGAGAGGAAGCAGAACATGGTTTTGTACTGCACCAAGGGCATGGTCCGAGCAGGCCCACCTGTGCTCCCAGGCCACACGGATTTGCTGGCTCACCTTGGACGGCTTTGACGGGCAGGTCCCCTGCCACCAGGAGCTGACCTGGATTCTGGGGGCTCGGCCCTCGCTGGCTGCAGTCATGTGGCCCCAGGACCCTCCCTCAGAGCCTGTGCCTGATGAGAGACCTGAAGATCTCACTGGGAGGCTTCCATCGTTCATGGGACCCAAACAGCGGAGGCAGCCTGCCTGCAGCGTGCATGCCTGCCGGTCCAGGTGTGGCTGCAGAGGGCGGCCTGTAGGGTCTCAGGGAGCACAGGGAGCCATCGGGGTGCCGCCCAGCCACCCTCCTTCAAATCCATCCTCCAGCAGGGGAAGTGGTGCTGGGGTCTCCACAGCACACCGCACGGCTCTGGTGCCCTCTGTTGGAAAGCACTCGCGGCTCGCACACCCGGGCCACCAGGCCCCAAGCTGCTGCCTTGGAGAGCCAGAAGCTTCTGTTCTGTTCATGCAGAGGGGAAAGCCGTGCCTGGTGACCGGCCATCACTGGGGAGGGCCATCATCTGTGGGGGACACAGGGCACCACCTTTGGGGCAGAGTGCACCCAGCTTTTCCCACTCACCTTCAGCAACGTCAAAAATGACCAGACAGCCTGCGAGTCCTGACGGTGACGCGGCGTGCGGCACCTGAGGCCTGCCAGGAGCAAGGAGGCCCAGGGCCTGTCCCACAAAACAGCACGTGTCTACGTGACCCGCTGTGTGACTTATCCTGCTTCAAAAATACCAAGAGTTAAGACAACGGGGTAAGAGTCACATCACTTCATGTCATAGGAAAAACCGAGATTTTGGCTGATGCCAGAAAGGGATATAATAAATCATAAATCAGCGAAAAACGTCTGAAATCGGTTTTCTTTCGTTGGTGTTAAGATAAAATGAAATAGAAGGCGGGTCCCAACCATACACATCGTGAGGCCACATTTTCATCCAGGCCTCGGTGACGTGTAGAACCATGCGAGCTTCCCTGCTGTGGTTCACACCGTGGCAAGGAATGCTGGGTAAGAACATGGCGCTCTAGTGCACAGCTGGGTGCAGTTCATTTTCTCTATACATCATATGCTCTGTTTTATTTCTCCATATGCAGAGCTACAGGTTTCCCTTCCGGCTTTTGGATATAGTTAATTATACAGCTAGGATGACAACACAATAATGAAGTATCAGACAGCAGCGCACCGCCCATGCTGGAAACCCTGCCTGCTGCCATCAGTGACATGAGCTGGCCCCCCACAGTCGTGACCTTTGACTTCCAGGATCGACACTGGGGTGCTGGGGTCCTAACAGGCCCATGGTCCCTGAGGGCCCTTTGGGGCAGCCCTTGAGATGAGAGGTCCCTGTCCCTTCCTACCTGCTGCCCAGAGCACACTAGGCCAGGGAGTATGGAGAGAGGGTGAGACTTGACTTCAGCTCTCAGAGAGGTGCAAGCTCCATCGAACCCGTGTCCAGAGAGCTCTCTGTCTTTCCAAATCTTGGCAAATGGTTATTTTCTATTCACCTGATACAGACCATAAGTGGATGCATCTTGCATTAGCCTTTTTGGCAGGTAGGAAACAAAGCTAGAAAACCTCTGTAAGCACTGACTGCCATGGCCTGTTCCCCTTTCTTTCAGTGAGACCTGGGTGTGGGATGCTAGGAACTGCTGAGTGGAGAATGCCATCACAGCCATGGACACAGCCAGGAAGGGAGGCATGGTGGGGATGGGGCAGGGCCAGCTTTCTAGTGTGGACGGCCTGGGATGGGCCTTAGCTGGCCCTGGACAGCGGCTATGGCAGCCGTCTGTGGCCTGAGGGTGCCAGACTGCCCCATCCTGGGCTGTGGCCCAACATGAGCCAGGCCTTCCACACTCACTTGGCCTGTTTTAATGGACATGAAAAATAGAGCAAGGGCAGCGTTAGAGAAGGAAACAAATGTGTGCAGGACCGCGGGCGTCTGAACTCATCCTGCTGTAAAATATGGAAACAGAAAGGGCAGACACGCTTGTTCCCAGGACACTGCCACTTCCTTTAATACAGCGGTGCCTCCACGCCCCGCATCCGATGCAGTGTTACACGTGTGTGTCGCTCAAACATCCATCCTACTGCACATACTCAGTTTCGGCCAGCAGGCGGGGAGCCCGAGGTAGCTCCCGCTCCCTTGAGCCAGGCCCCTGCCAGACCTGAGCTCCCTCCCAAGCCTGGCTTCCCCAACCGGTGGCCTTCATGGGCCAGAAGCCATTCCTTCACGGCCAGTCCTCCGGAGTAGTTGCCCACGGCTCCGCTGCTGCAGACCACTCTGTGGCACGGGATGAGGATGGGGACCTGGAAGACAGGGGGGCAGCCACTGTCAGTCAGGGATCTGGACAACGAGGTCTTTGGGGTCAAGGCCAAGGCCCTGACTGACAGGAGTCCTGTGCCCACCAAGCAGGGGCCTGTGCCAGGGGCAGGCTGTTGGCATGGGTGGGTGTCAGCTATGTCTCAGCATGGACTTCCCCTCCCCTGAGGCCCTTGAGTCCCTGGGGGTCTCAGCACGGGTTGGGGGAGGGACGAGTGTCCTGAGGTGACGTGGGGCATCCTCAGAGAATTGCTTTAGGCCCACGATTTGGGAGGAGAAAACTTAATTTCATCCGGTGAGTAATATACAACGTTCGCTTACAAAACTGAAAACTACGTTTCCGAGTTCTGGTGGTATGTGACGCTCTCAAACACTCCCCAGGTACCACGCAGGCATCACAGGACGCATCAGAGAAGACCGTACCTGCACGGGCCTCTCCAGCCCATGGCCGGCCAACTGTGGCTGTGGGCGCACGCAGCCCACCACCTGCTTTTGCAAATGAAGCTTTACTGGAACGCAGCCATGCCTTTTTCTCCATACTGGCTGTGGCTGCTTTGCCAAGCCTAACATATTTACTCTCTGGCCCTTGACAGGAGGACTTGGCCAACCCCTGCCTCAGGATGCCCTGTGCTGATAGGGGCTGATCCAGAGTGAGGACCACAACCACGCAGCCATACACAGGCCCCGGATCCTGCCTACCAACTGCTTCTTTATGGCCAGTCCCACCAGGGGAAGGGAATCCCTGTTCCCTCCAGAGGGGCGGGCGCCTCCTTCAGTGCAGTCCTCAGGGAGACTCTGCTTTGGTCCTTTGGCGTTGCCCGAGCTGTGTAGACAGGAGGAGCTCCATGGGTCCACTGTCTGGCTGAAGCTCTGAGAGCCACCTGTGGTGGGTGGGGGCAGGTGCTGTGGCCCCTGCCTCTGGTTTCCATGTAGGTGCTGGCCTCCTCCACTCTCACACCCACAAGGGAGAATGAGTCACTGACCACCGACAAGGGAGGAAGAGAGGGGTATGCCCAGCTTAGCACTGTTAGGGCTCCTGCAGGTGACCTGCCTGCCCCAGGGTTCGGGGCGCCCTGATCTCTTCTGAGATGGTCAGCCCCTGCCTTGGCTGGGGAGGCCAGAGCTTAGCCAGAGGGGACAGTGATGGCGAATGTAATTCTTGTGGGAATTACTGGGAAGCCACCATGGCCATGCCACTGGCCCCCCACCCCCTGCCTTCAATCTCGCTTTTACCCTAATAAAGCTAAAATCTTGAGGTCTGCTATCCATTTCTCAGCTGGCTCAGAAAGGTGAAAGACAAGGCAGTAACATATGGGCATCTCTCTGGTTGTCCCCCTCTGCCTGGGCAGACAGGGATGGCCACACAGCCTGCATGGCCACCGCAGGGGACTCTGGGGGCTCTGGGGGCTCCAGGGCCATTTGCTTAAGCTTCCCAACAAGCAGTTACTGTGAAGATCTGCTCCAGAATGGCTTCCCAGGAGCATGTGGGGAAGTCTTGCACAGATTTCTAAAGAAAGAATTGGCTGGAGAGCCTCCCAGGCAACAGCCTTCATCCCTAAGTAGCTCCTGGCGCCTGGGGAGCAGGTGTATGGGTGGGCAGCCACTAAGGGGCCAGGACATCTCGGGGGACGTGTGGGGGGACATGCCTCATCATCGTGCAAAGCATCACAGTGGCTGCTCCGTGAAGAAGGTAAACTGCCAATGAGCATGACCACAGGAGCCAGGGCAGGCTCCAGAAGAATGGGGAAGGGCACCAAGCTCGCTCTGGAAGGTTCTCAGCTGGCACGACACGTAGAAGGCACATGGGAGATGCCTAACGATCGCTTACTGCCTGGCCCCCCTTCCTCCCTTCCTCCTGAGCTGGAGGGCAGCACATTCATCCCCGCAACCTAGATGGCCCAGACACGGATGCTGCAGACCCGGGGCCTCTCCCTGGGCCCTCACACATGGCTGCCCTGCTCCCAGCATCCTGCCCTGATGAGAACAAACAGCTGTTTCTGCAGGATCCCAAGGTTGGGGCGTGTCCAGGCTACCTCCGGGTATCACTCCGGGTACCCCCGGGTATCACTCCGACTCCACTCTTCTTTTTCTCTCCAGCTGAGCGTATCCCCAGCTCAACAGAGAAATGATTTCTGCCCATGCCCAGCTTCCCCACGCTCCACCCTCCAAAGCCAGTGAACTGGACAAAGCAACCAGCTACTGGTCAGGTGAGCTTTTAGAGGAAGCAGCTGGGGGCGTGTGCCCAGCATCTCCAAGCTCTATTTCTTGGGCACCTCTGCTTCCTGGGGAGGTGACTGCTACTTTTGCATCCCCTGAGGCTTTTGGTGCAGGCAGCTTGTGTCACTGCCACACATGTACCTGCCACAGATTTCACCTGGTGGGTGTGGCCCTCTGTGGGGCCCAGCTACACACGTCCCCGAGGGAGGTGGGGGAAGCCCCAGCCCCCCTTGGAAAAGGTGCTTAAAGCCCCTGGGAGCGGGTGTGCCCATGCCTGATGCTGCTGCATCTTCGACCCCATCTATGGCCCCCATCACCCCGCAAGGCCCCACCAGGCCTGTCTCAGCCTCCGGCCGAATGGAGTCTCGTGCCCAAGTTCATAAAGCTGTTAAGTGGCAAAGAAGGGGCTCTAACCACTCTCCTGCATGGCTCCACGCACCACACTTCTCCTCCTTGACGTGGACTGTTGAGGTGGGACCTTGTGGGGTGACAGCCGGTGCCAGCAGATGACATGGCTGCAAGGTGGGACTCTGGCTTCCGGCACATCACACAGCTCATCCTAATTTGACGATGAGTTTGGTAACGTGCACCAATGACGCAGTCTAAGAGGCTTCTGACGACTATGACATGGGAACATGCAGGTGGCGGAGGGCTGACTGTTTTTAACATTGAGTTTACTAGAGTGAGGTGTAGTAACTGCCAAGTTCTGGAACAGCTGAGAATCCCAGTCTTCCAGAAGGAGTCACAGGAAATCTCCAGGATGGAATATTTACCCTGATTGATGATTTTTATCAAATACAACAGTCCCATTAATAATTGCTGTGAGGGCATTATTAGATAATACACAATTCACGTTTTTGACTGATAAAGAGGTAGGCATTTAATTCAATCTAGTTTTATAAACATTTAGGCACCAATTCAATTTTCCTACCTAATAGCAGATTTCACAGCAGAGCTTTGGTTTTTCTTCTCTCCCTCTCAATGAGCTATGAAATTATAAAAATGAGTAAAATAAACATGTCTCCCTCTCCCTCTTCCTGTACATCAATGCAGAGGCCAGGACAGATGGCACGGAATAACAATGACCCCGACAGCTGTGACCGGTCCTCACCTTAGCATGCTGTGATGGGGAAGAGGTGACTTACCAAATAGGCACTATTTTTACCGTTAGAAATAGGGAACGCTGCTTCTGTTTGTGTGAATTTTGGTGGCAGGTTTCAGACTATTAAGATAATGAAACCTGCTGAAATTTATTGGGGCCCTAAGGACATTTTCAAAGGATCTGTACCCTCTATGCCCTCTCCTTTAAAGCATGTGCTGCATAAAATGTAATTTTTATCAATAACCAAGAAGCTCATAATATCACAGCTGCATTGAAATCTTCATGCTGTGAAATCTAATTCATCCAATACGTGAATCCATCACTTATGCAGCCCCTTTCTCAAACGCTATAAAACTTCCAAACCCATAGATTTGTTTCCAACAAAAATAACATGAAGGGGCCTTTCAGTCAATGATGGAATCCCTCTGATTCTGGTACCGGCTGAATATTTTTTCCAACTTCGCCTTTGTTCTTCTGGGCAGCAGCCCACAAGGGAAAGAGCTTGTTTTCACTCGCAGCCTCATCAATACCTAAATCCTGGTGAACAAGTGACACCGAGAAGCTGTAATCAATAGCTCCCTGTGCGTTTTTTTCTTCTGGTCAAATGGTTCAGCTCCACTGACAACCTTGACACTTAGAACATGATGCTAAGTCTTTATCAGCAGCCATCCGGGTGACGGGCAGAACAAGCCTCGGGGGGTCATTAACGCTCATGGCAATCCGTGAATAAACTAACTCCTCAGGAATGCATTTGTTCAGAAAAAGGTGGGGAGACTCTCTGTGCAATGTATCGATTGCCTTTGAACTGCATTTAGCAAATTCTGTCTGAGGATGAAGAGGAAGGGTGCTTTGTGGAGGGGGTGGGTCGTGAGGAGTTTTCTACTCAATATACTGGGAAACTGACCATCCTCTCCCGCTGAGTTGGGGAGACAGCCTTCCAGGAATGCTGACCAACCACCTTACACCGGCTGGTGAGTCCTTCCTGGAGGATTCTGGAGAAATCAAGCTCCTAGGATAGAGGAAAGCTCCGCATGGCAAAAGCCATCCCTTACTCCGGTTGGGGAAGAGAAACTCATGCCGACAGCAAATGCAGTAATATGAACCAGCACGTGCTCCTGTTTATTGCAAGCCACCTAAGGAATTAATGCACAATGAGCTTTACGATGTTTTCTAACATTCCAAGTCCATTTTTCACTCTCCTCCCTTAAATGCACAATCACTCTATTCATCCTGAATATAAGGGATGTTTTCAATGAGCGAGTCTCAGCGACGCACCGTCTGGGCTGGAGTGGATGTGCGCAGCCTTCCGGCTGGGACACTGCTGTCAGCGCCAAAGGGAAACATTCCTGAGGACACTGACAGCAGCAATGGCTCACTGCTGGCCAGCGCCCTTCCTCTAGCAAGTCCCTGGGTCACCTTTTCATCCTCCTAGCCCATTCTAATGAGGTTTCTAATGGGAACTTGGGAGGCTGTCAACCTGAACCATAGTAAACTACGTAGCTGAAGGCTTCTTGCAGGAATATCTCTGGCATATCTGTGCTATAATTTGAGGCGTCTGTGGGTACCGTAGCCACAGGTCCTGCTGCAGCCCCCTCCTCAGGCTGAAGGTCACTGCACACGGTGGAGCCCACAGAAAGGCCACGAGAAGCCACCACCGCCTGGCTGCCCTCGGCACAGGAGGCATGTGGACGCCGAGAAGGGCGAGACTTGGTGCCTGTAGAACCCTCCTGCCTGATGCTGTGCTCACCTCCAGTCTTGGCTTTGCCATGGGACAGGGTGCCGATGTGTGGACTTTACAGACATTAGGGTTTTACATCCCATGTGATACTACTTTATACATTTCAGTGACTGAGGCCATACTGGAACAGAGACACTCATAGAGATTAATAGCAGGAGAAGAGAGTCACGCTGGTTTGCAGAACAATAAATGTCTCCGAATATCGCCACAAGCAGGATTGCTAACCAGCGACGGCATCTCCACTGCAGAGTGAGAAACTGCTGGCATCACCAAAGGCTGGTGGGGGAGGGTGCTGCCACGCTGCACATGTCAGTTAGTGGAGCTTGTCCTTACAGCAAAAGGGGAGCTGCACACACAAGGGAGCGAGCAGTCGGCGCCCGCTGACGGGGCCACTCCCATCTTCATGTGTGTGCACGGAGGGAGCAGAATCCACCTCAGTGGGGAGAAGACAAGGACTTACTCTCCTCGGGGGGCACAAAGAGTAGACACTGCCTGAAACAGTCACTGCACTGATGCAGGAAGAGCACCCCCAAAACCCCATTCGCATCCACAGTTCTCATGGGCCCTACACGGAGCCACAACACAACAGCATCTGAGCTGCCTTTTCATCAGGTTGAACACCTCAAAATTGACTCACAACCGGGGAGAAGACAGCAGCCTTCCAGAGGGGCATGTAGGTTAAGTTTTATTGGGAAATGTCAAAAACCATCCTCAGAAATTTGATTCGGAAATATCCCCCAACGCGCCGTAAAAATCAGATCCCTACTGCGTGGTGCAGATGTTTTATGACAATGTAGCTGAAGACATTGCAATTAATGTGCAACAGGTGCAAAAGGAAGGGTCAATTGCGCCCACCAGCCACTGTCACCAAAACTGAGGACAGGAAGAGATGGAGGAGGTGGGGATGGTGGCTGTCCCTGTGGTATCTCACTCCTGGGATATTTGGGATATTTTAATAGGGTAGAAAGCTCGCCTAGATTAGGGTGTACATTACGACAATGCAATCCACTACAAACCTACCAGAGTTGCTTTTTAAGGACTAACAATGCAGTTTTGTGCAAAAGCCTACGTAACTGTCATCTCCTAGAAACGGAGGCTCTGCCCCCAGGCTGCTGCAGCGGGCAGCAGGAGCAGCAGGCTGTGGTATGAACACGCCGGCCTCTCCCCTGTGAGCAGGGATATAAGTAGTTTTGGAAATAGACAGTAAAGCCACAGCAATTTTTCAAAAAGTGAGGTCTATCTGATTTAGTAATTTCCCATCCCATGATGGAGTGATCATATTTGTGCTCCCTGATCAGATGGTATGCTTCCATCATGCTAGAAACTTTCACAGAGCTTTCGGGAGAAGACACTGCCAACGTGACCACACACCATCACTGGGTGAATATTCCAGGGGCATTCTTGAGGTTGTGTGGGTTCTCCCAATGGGCCACGCAGACGGGGCACCCTTTCTGCCCCCACACACACAGGCACGTGTGGCCTTGGCCGGGCGCACATGGCATGCTGTGACTTACCACCTCATGCCAGATGCCAGATGGCCCGCGGCCCAGCTGCCAGGCCTGGGTGCTGTGAGATGGGAGAGCAACGGCACCCACGTGGCCCCCAGGCACCACAGGCCACGCTGCCCCACCCATGCTGTGTCCCGGTTGGGCCTTGTCCTCTGGGGAGCATGGCCTGAGGCTGCATAGCCTGGGAGCCTGGAGTTTAGTGAAATCTGACTGCAGACGCATGGGAAGGACGAGGACACAGAAGGGCTCTGGGGAGGGCGCCATCCCTGGTGAGACACGAGGTGCGTGTGGTCTAGGTCCCTTGTCCCATGCTGCAAGGCCTCCTGCCTCGTGTGCTCACGTGTGGTGCTTTAGCTCTTGGGACCCAGGGAGCCCTGGGCCTCAGGGGGAGTGCAGCCCACAGAGAGATGGGGTTGGATGTGCACCCTTGCTTGGCCATCCTGCTAGGATGCAGGCACCTCGCAGGTAGACCTTTCTGTCTGTTAGCTGCTGTACTCTGGGCACCTAGAAGAGTGTGGGCCATAAAACAGGCACCCAACACGTCCACCTCCTGAGTGAGCAGGTGGGGCACCCTCTGCCCGCTTGCCACTCCTCCAGGCTCCCTCCTCTCCTGCTCACTGTGACAACCAGGAGCTCATGCAGTGGAGATGTGCTCCCGGTAGGGGGGAGCTTCCAGGAGTGTAGTGCTGGGGTAGCCTCCTTGCCTCTTCTGGAGGCATCTGGCATAATGGTCCCCATCACAGATATCGCCCCTCTGCCCACCCCAGCAGCACAGCCTGCCTTCCGAGGAAACACGTGGGATCAGATGACACCCTGCCACCTGCACGCACCCGCCACCCACAGCCATGCTTGCGCCATGAGAACTCACAGGATTGCCTCTCATTGCTCCTCCCACTGCTCGCGCGGCTTTGGGGTTGCCTGCCAGGGCTGCTAATTGCTGGTAAGAAATCACTTCTCCGAATTTCACAACCTTCAGCAGCTTCCATAACACCTGTCTGGTGAACGACTCTGAAAGGAAGAATGCAGGATAATGTTATTTGGACAAACGGCTTCAGCAGCTCTGATATAAATAGCCACTAGTCCCAAAACAGGAAACGCATCTACACAAATAGAGGTATTATACTCAATTAAAACACGGCCTCCATGCACTGCTGCCACCATGTCACCAGGCGAGGAGACGCAAGCATGTGGCAGGCCACCATGCAGGCTGGCCCCTTGGAAGGCATCCTTGGAGCTGGCACCACAGGTTTGCAATTTCTTTCCATCTTCCCGTGTTCCGCGTGGGGTTGCGTGTGCCACTCTTCTAGCGACTGGGCGTGTGTAAGTGAGCTCATGGCTCAATTAATACACACAGAAGTCCCTGCCTGCCCGCCTGCTTGGAAATCTTTTGTACTGCTGGTTAATTTCCAACTTCAACTGGGACAAAGAAGGCAAAAGCAGCCACAGGCCAGGCTGCGATATTATGCCGGCTGTCCACCTCCAGCCGCGTGCAGGATTCCCCCAGCTACTGCTCGGAGTGCCAAGCACCACAGTACGCAGGGGCTGGCGGTGACCTTGGTTACAGGCATCTTTAGTGAATAGGGCTGCAAAAATAAAATGACTTGATTCCCATTTTAATTGACTAACCACATCCAACTGCATTTGTGCCGCATCCTGCTGCAGGAATGAGGAGGTGACTGCAGGAGAACATTCTCTCCCTCTGCCTCCAGGTTTCAGAACTGTTACCTGGGAGTGGTGTCGGTGGGAGAGAAACTGGGGCACGCGAAGAAGGCCTGTCTGAATCAGTACCTATTGTCTTTCCAAGGGGGACATGCAGCTCAGGAGCACTGGAGACAGAGCCATGTCCTCCATCGCAGGGGCTCCAGCCCCTCCAGGGGCAGGAGTTTCTGAATAGCAGCAACAAAGGGAAGGCTTCCGCGGGCAGGAACGATGTTCTGAGTGTGTCCACAAGAACACTAATTACACTTGGTGCCAAGCTGGCAAAGTGTGATTTGGTTCTTAAAGGAAACACACCCTTACATGTGTGTTAAATAATAAAAATCACTTCTTAACTGAAGGGAACGATAATCACTTCACTGGGAAAAAAATCTGTTTAGTCTTTATTATAACATTAAGCAAATTAAACATCAGCATAATCCAGGTGATACTAGAAAAGGGTCATCAAAGAAATTAACTTTGTTGTTCATTAATTTACATGGATTAGTAGAGGGCAAAAAGATAGCAAATGTGCTCTAGTTTTTTATGATATAATTTCAAACTGTACACCATTTGTGGCAGGAGGGTGACTTTGGGGTTAATCAGACTGATTTGTCCTTTTAATTGCTTTCTATTCAAAGAAAATTCATTAGATAATGTTCTCTTCAAAATTCATGAATCAATTTAACTGAAGAAACCACATTAACAGCTTTGGGTTCATTAGCACATGCAGTTGTATTACCGGCTGATGGCTGGCGGGGTGGTGGATTTCCCTGGGCAAATGCACTGTTTACTGTCATTTCTTCAGAAAACGTTTTGAAATCAAACTGTTAATCATTATCATGGTTGCTGTTGTTGTTATGCCTAACTTTAAAAAAAAGCAAAGCAAAGCAAGGTAGCCTGCTGTTGACTTGGAGGTAAAGAGATTTCGGGGACAGCTGTCTTGGAAAAGAAACAATGAAAGCAGCACGTCAATACCGCAAGAAGCAGAGGCCAATTTCCTGCCTTCCTCGGCGAACACAGAGTTGGTGGTTTTGTTTTCTGTGCTTTCCGTTAGGTGTTCTGGGAGAACGGCCTGGAACTTTACTAAACTTGTAGGAATGAAACGAGGGAGGTGTGTGCAAACCTAACCGGAGCACAGAGCAGTTCCGAGAAACAATGGCATGGTTCCAAGGGCCTCATCTGAGCGCCAGCCTTGAGTGCTGCTCTGACAAATTGCTGCCAAATTACGGAGCACCTTTCTTTCCAAGTGTAAAAGTATCGTATAATAAAACAATTATATGTCCATAGATGAGCACAGAGTTTATCAAACATGTTCAGCTTCATTGTCAGTTTCTCATGGGAAACCATTTCTTAACTGGTCCGTACCAGGCAACATATGAGGAAGTATAGCTCAAACAATGTAGTATTTAGCAATCAGGCACCTGATTTTACAAATGTATCTGAAAACTCTGTTTCACCCTGCAGCGAACGAATGCAGTAATTAGTTGAAGCAGCTCTCAAAGAGCACAGTGCTTCGAACCCTAGCCTGTGCAGAATCACATGGCTGAATGACACCCGTTCTTGAAGAAGGGCAATCCTTGCTGTTAAGCATCATATTCTATAATGGAGTGAAATCCACTCATAGACATTAACTCATGTGGAAAATAGAAGTTCTTGAGGTTGAGGTGACCACATCAGTCCTCAGCAGCTGGAACAATCACTTCAGGTGGCCCAAAGGGGCAACCATTAAAACAGCAGCCTTCTGGTCCAGGCGCGGTGGCTCACGCCTGTAATCCCAGCACTTTGGGAGGCCGAGGCGGGCGGATCACGAGGTCAGGAGTTCAAGACCATCCTAGCCAATATGGTGAAACCCCATCTCTACTAAAAATAAAAAAATTAGCCAGGCGTGGTGGTGCTCGTCTGCAGTCCCAGCTACTCGGGAGGGTGAGGCAGAAGAATCACTTGAACCCGGGAGGCAGAGGTTGCAGTGATCTGAGATTGTGCCACTGCGCTCCAGCCTGGGCGACAGAGCGAGACTCCGTCTCAAAAAACAAAAAACAAAACAAAAAAAACCCCAGCAGCCTTCTCTCTTTCACCATGGGCCTCCCCAGAGGGCAGCCCCGAGACCTTGGGGCTCTGTGACGCGGCCTCCGAACGCCACATTCTGGATGTTCCTCTCTTACCCCTCCACTTCCCTTGTCTCCTTCCCACACTCGCCCTTCCTCCTGCCTGTCCTGTGGTGCTGGGTACCTTGGGCTGGGCTTCTGTGGCTGGGGTCAAGGGAGAGGACCTGCATCTTGGAGTCTCTGCATCTGAAGGACATGGCTATTTTCATTTCGGCTTGGGCAGCTATTTAAATGTGTGCACCATAACTGCCTCACCCAGAGAAGACTGTTTTCTAAACCCTCTGCCTGCATTGTGCATCCTCCGCCAAGGGTCTGGATGCCCTTTTCTCATGCTGGTCACGGGAGAAATCGTTTTGTGTCACAGACACTGGGTTTTTATGCGAGGTGTTTTCATGCCACGCCATGGAGTGGAGCTCAAGGCTCTGAGCAGGCCTGACACCTGAACCTGGACCAACTCAGCCAAACCCAGCTCCAATAAGGAAGACAACACACACCAGAGCACGGCAGGAGGACACAGACCGGGACCAGCCTGGCTCTGCCACCGCTGTGCTCAGACTCATCACTTCCTTATCCTGGGTGTCCATCTCTCCTCGGTGATAATCTGCTACGAGCCACCTCAGCAAACACACCTGTGCGTCCACTGCACACGGCCAGGCTCAGAGCACAGGCAACAGCAGAGCTGGCCAGGCAGCTGGCCCTCTCTGAGATCAGGGCTCCGACAAGCACTGAGGCTCTCTTTCCTGGGAGGCAGGCCATTGTGCTTCCAAGTTCTTGAGGAGGAGTCTCCTTTCCCTCAACCATCACAGCTCCATGGGTGGTGACCTGTCAAGGTCCGTGTGGCTTCCTGGGGGGAAGGGGCATCCTTCAGCAGCCCAGGCTTTGGGACTTTTCCTTAGCCAGGCTGCAGCTAGCAGGGGCATACTCAGGCCCATACACACAGGTGCTACCTGCCGGGTCATGCTTGCAGAGCATCTCAGTAGCTGTGCTGTGGCCATGGCCAACAAAGAGCAACAGAGAGCAAGAAAGAGCAGGTCCTCAGCTCCTGCAGGACATCCCTGTGCAGCAGCCACTGGCCTGGAAGGGGAATCCCCAGGAGCTGGTGTCCCTGGCACAAGTCACAGCTATTTGACCTAATGCTCCCTGGCCATCAAAAGCAGCCAGAATAAACTAACCTGAAACACAAATGGAGGGAAAGGGGGATTCTGGTTCCAGGTAAAATGAAGCAAGCACTCTATACTTGTTTCTTCTACTGAATGTCTTTATAAAACCTGGGCAGAAGGCACAGAGCAGCTACGTGAGGGCTGAGAAGAGTCAGTAGTAGTTGGCAGCCTTGGAAAGAAGATAAGAATTTCAAGTACCATGGAAAAGATGAATGGGCTTCCTGGGTTATCCCTCTGTTGTCCTCAGCCCGAACTTACTACAGCCTGAGCCCTGGAGGCAAAGCCTGGCACAGCTGGGGAGCCCCCTAGGGGCTCGGCTCTAATCCACTTTGAGGAAGGAAAAGCATCACCTGCTGCTAAGGTTTCAATGTGTTCCTGTGTTGGAAACAACTGCCACTGTGACAGTGTTAAGATGTGATTAGGTCATGAGGGCCCCTCCCTCAGGAATGGATGAATGCTGTTACTGCTGGAATTGGTTACTGAGGGACTCTGGCCCCTTTTCTCCTGTCTGGCATGCTTCCTCGCCATGGAATGCCTTCCACCACGGGGTGGCCCTCAGCAGATGCCGGCGTCATGCTCTTGGACTTCTCAGCCTCCAGAGCTGTGAGCCCAATAAATTCCTATTCTTTATCAATTACCTAGATGGCAGTGTTGTTATAGCAGCAGAAAATGGGCTGAGACAACTATGTTCAGGGCGAGTGAGGAATCATCCCTTTTTGGTGTTATCTCTGAGCCCTTGAACGTCAGCTCCTCCCTAAGCAATCCTGTGGTGTGGGGGACAACAGGGGCCGCAGGAGCCCAAACCAGTGAGGGGGAGATGGTCCCTTTCTGATGGGAAGAGGTGTGCTCCCCCTAAGAGGTGGGCGAAATGTCTTTGCTCTTTACCTCTGTCTTCCTAATGCTTGGACCCAGATTGAGGTTTAGTAATAGGAAGAGTTTAGCGGAGTGGGGAAAAGCCCCAGCTGTCTGTCCAGGGGACTGAGGAGGGAGCCCTGAGAACTAAAAAGTGCCAAAAAGATTGTGGAGGAAAAGGAGTTCATGGAAGCAAACCAAAAAGCTGTTGATAGATTTCTGGACTCACCTGTTCGGGTGAGCTGTCTACTTCCCCGCCTATGCACATGTGTATCTGACCCTAAACCACAGACTTTGAGAACTGCTGTAAGAATTCGGCACTGCCAGTTCCCAAACTGGCTGGTGAGTGGTGCACAAAAGAACTGATGTTAAGAGGACGGAAAAGGGTTTGAAAATTGAACAAATATTGAAGGCTGGTCAGAACTTATGAACTAACTAAATCCAACCAGGTTGACTACCTCCTAAAACAAAAATATCAACATTATCTGTAGGATTTATATAAAACCCAGAGTCTCATAATATTCAAAATGACCAGGATACAATCCAAAATTACCAAGCATGCAAATAATCAGAAAAATAAACTCACCAGGGAAAAAATCAACTCATGCCAAGGCTGAGATGACCCAAAAGTTGAAATCATCTGACAAAAAGTTTAAGAGATCTGTTATAAAAATGCTGCAAGGGAAGACACTCTTGAAACAAATGAAAAAACACAAATAGAAGCTATCAAGAATAATAAAGTAGAAAATTTAGTGTTGAAAAATACAATAACCAAAATTAAAAACTGTACTGCATAGGATCAATAGTAGAATGGAGATGCCGAGAAAAGAGTCAATAAAACTGAAGCCAAGTTAACAAAAAATCATCCAAACAACAGAAAAAAAAGTATTTAAAATAGACAAAAAGAGAACACGTGAGACAAGGTCAACAGATCTATTTATGTCACTGGAGTTACAGAAAAAGAGGAAAAAAAGTGTAGTACGGGAAAAAATTCAAATAAACGATAGCTAAAATTTTGTCAAATTTGGCAAAAGATACACAACTGTAGATTTAAGATGCCCAAAAAACTGCAAACAGGACACATTCAAAGAAATCCATTCCCAGATAAATCATGATCAAACTGCTGAAAGCTTCAGAGAAAGTCTTGAAAGCCACTAGAAACAAACAATGCATTATGTACAAGGCAACAGTCATTTGAATGTGGAATTCTCATCAGAAACTACTGAGTCCAGAGGAAGTAAAACAGCACTTTTGAAGTGCTGAAAGAAAGAAAAAAACCTGACAACTCAGGATTCTATATCCGATGTTTAAGAATCCTTCAGGAATGAAGTTAGAGTTAGAGACATTTGCTGATAAAAAGGAAAATCTAAGGTAATTCAGTGCCAGTAGATCTGATCTTTAGAATGGCTAAAGGAAATTCTTTAGAAAAAAGGGAAATGATGGTTATAGTTATCCATATACTTACTCTAAAGAAGCTTGGAACATCAGGAATGCAGGCAGAGTAAGAAAAATGTAAGTATATGGAAAACTATTACAGGCTATTTTCCTCAAGTTTTTCAAGATATGTTTATTAGCCAAAAGCAAAAATTATGACATATGAAATGAGATTTTCAATTTATGTAAACATAATGCATGATATTATAACATAATGGGAGAGCTAAAAGGATCTATATAGTCATAAGATTTCTATATTCCACTTAAAAAGGTAAAACAGTGATTCTAATTAGACTGTGAAAGAAAGTATTATAATCCCTAAAACAGTCACTAGAAAAACTATATGAAGAGATATAGTAAAAACCACAACAAATAAAACAAAACACTAAAACAAGTTAAAAATAGCCCAAAAGAAGGAAGAAAAAGGAAAAAAAGAGGGCACAAACAATAAAATGTTAGACCTAAATTGAAACATTAATAATTACATTAAATGTAAATGATCTAACCATGCCAAGGAAAAGATAGAGACTGTCACAATAGATTTTTAAAAACATGCACAAGAAAATGCCGTCATAAAGAATTCACTTCAAATGATACCTGTAGGTAGGTTAAAAGTAAACGGATAGAAAAAGATATACCATGCAAACACAAATGTAAAAAAAAATTAATAAAAGACAAAGCAGACTTAAGAACAAATAAAATTCCCAGAGGGTAAAAAGGAATATTACATAGTGAGAGGGTCAATTCACAAAAAGAAATCATCAATTCTAAATGTATATGTGTCTTACAACAGATTTCAAAACTCATGAAAAAATTCAAGGAAAATTAGACAAATCTAGAATTATATGTGGAGACCTAAACACCTCTTTCTCAATAATCAATAGAACTAGGTGACAGAAAATCAGCAAAGATACACAAATAAAAAATATTATCAACCGATTGGATTTAATGGATATTTACAGAACACTCCACCCAATAACAGTAGAATCTATACTCTTTTCAAGTGTGCATAAAACATTGACAAAGATATGCCATATTCTTCTGGGCCATAAACCTTAACACATGCAAAATGACTGCAATCATATAAGTTACATCCTCTGATCATAATGGAATTAGACTAGAAATCGACAAAAACCATAATAGAAAATTCTCCAAACATTTGAACAGTAAACATATCACTTCTAAATAATCAATAGGTCAAAGAGAAAGTCTGAAGGAAAATTAAAAGAGTATACTGAACAGAATGAAACTGAAAATAAAGCATATTAAAATTTATGGGACAAAGCTAAAACAATATTTAGAGGAAAATTTATAGTATTAAGTGTCTATATTAAAAAAGAAAGGTCTCAATAATCTAAACTTCCAACTTAAGAAACCAGAAAAAGAAGAGAAAAATAAACTCAAAACAACCAGAAAGGAAATAATAAAGGCAAAGGCGAAAATCAACAAAATTGAAAACAGACAAATGATAAGAGTAAAATCCAAGAAATTAAAAATGAGTTCCATGAAATGATCAATAAAATTTATAAATCTCTAAAAGACTGACAGAAAAGAAGAAACAAATAATCAATATCAGGAATAAAAGAGAAGATATTGCCACAGATCCCACAGATATTAAAGAGATAATAAGGTATTCCTACAAATAACTGTGTACTAAAATCCAACAACTGCGAATAGACCAATGCATCAAAAACTACAAACTACCAAACTTATCCAAGATGAAACTGAATACTCCTATAATTATTAAAGAAGTTGAATTCATAGCTTACAATCTTCTGAAAAAGAAACCTCTAGGGCCAAGATGGTTTTACCAGTGAATTCTATAAAATGTTTTAAAAATAAGATTGATTTGACATAATTTTTTCCAGAGAAAGGAACATTTTCTAAAGTGTTTTATGAGACCAGCATTACTCCACCATCAAAACCAGAAAAAGTCAGAAACCAAAAGAGTACAGTTCAGTATCTCTTATGAACACAGGGTAAAAATCCTCAACAAAATATTGGCAAATCAAATCCAGCAATATATAAAAAGAACAAGACATCAAAATTAAGTGGGGTTTGTCCCAGGAAAGCAAGGCTGATTCAATATTTGAAAATAAATCTACATTATGAAACTACAGTAATCAAGACAGGGTGGCATTGGTAAAAGAACAGACACAAAGGTCAATGAAACAGGCACACACAGATATACAGTCATTCCTTGGTATCCATTGGGTATTGGTTCCAGGACCCTTCTAGAATACCAAAATCCATGGATGCTTAAGTTCCTGATATAAAATGGCATAGTATTTGCATATAACCCTTGCACATCCTCCTGTAGACTTTAAATCATTTCTAGATTACTTAGGATATCTAGAATAATGTAAATGCTATGTAAATAGCTGTTATACTGTATTGTTGAGAGGATAATGACAAGGAGAAAAAGTCTGTACGCTTTCAGTAAAGATGCAACCATTCTTTCCTTGTTGTTGAACATTTTTTATCTGCAGTTGGTTGAATACATGGATGTGGAACCCATAAATACAAGGGCCAAATTTAGACTTTGACAAAGATCTTTGACAAAAAAAAGCAAAAAGCAATTCAATGGAGAAAGCATAGTCTTTTAAACAAATGGCCCTGGAACAATTAGACATCACACGAAAAAGAAGTGAATCCAGATACAGACTTTATACCTTTCTCAAAAATGAACTCAAAATGGATCATGGACCTAAATCTAAAAGGGAAAATCATAAACTTTCAGAATATAACACAGGAGAAAATCTAAGCAACCTTAGGTTGGGAGAAGAGTTTTTAGATACAACATGATTCATGAAAGAAAAAAATGAATAAGCTGGAGTTTATTAAAATTAAAAACTTCTTTACTACAAAAGATGCTGAGACTCTGAAAACGAGAGGCAGACTAGGAGAAGATATATGTAAGACACATATCTGAAAAAAGACTTGCATCTAAAATATATTATAAAAAGACTCTTAAAATTCAACAAGAAAAAAGTCAAACAACCCAATTAAAAAATGGGCAAGTCTTAACAGACACTTCACCAAAGAATATATATAGGTGACAAATAAGCACAAGGAAAGATATTTAACATAATTTGTCTTTAGGAGCTGCACACTAAAATAATGAATATGATTACAATGGCTTTTAGAATGGCTAAAAATCCAAACAGTGACAGTACCAAAAACTGCTGGCAAGGATGTGGAGCAAAAAGGATGCTTAATCATTGCTGATGGGAATGCAAAATGGTAAAGCCACTTTGGAAGACTGTTTTGCAATTTCTTTCAAAGACAGAGCCTTACCATGTGATCTGGCAATTGCACACCTAGGTATTTACTCTACTGATTTGAAAACTGACATCCTCACAAAAACCTGCCTGTGAATGTTTATAGCAGCTTTATTAACACTGCCAAAAGTTGTAAGTGACCAAAATGTTGTTCGATAGGTGAACGGATAAACAACTATGGTACATCCATACAATGGAATATTATTCAGTGAAAAAAATGAGCTATGCAGAAGACACGGAGAAAACTAAATGTATATTGCTAAGCAAAGGAAGCCAGCCGAAAAGGCTACATACTGTATGATCCCAACTAGATGACATTCTGGAAGAAGCAAAACTATATAGACAGAAAAAAGATAAGTGGTTGCCGGGGCACTTTCAGAAGGAGCGGGGGACTGAATAGGTGGAGCACAGGGGGATTTTTAGGGTGTAAAATTATTCTGCATGTTACTGTAATGGTGAAAACATGATATCATACATCTATCAAAGGCCATAGAAGCTTACAGCACAAAGAGTGAATCTAAGCAATGTATGTAAATTAACAACAACAAAATATTTAGGAGATCAGGGGATCCTGGGAAGAAACACAGACTGTGACAAGAGAATCTGACTGTATTATAAACTTATAAAACGTCCTCACTGAATGGGGGAGGGGAGCTGATTTCTCCAAAAGTAACTTGAAAGTGAGTGGAGTCTGTAAGACTAAAGGCAAAAGGAACTGTACATAAATACTGAACTCTAGTTGATAAAGTTGTTTCCCATGAGCACAGGTGTTAAACTCTCTGATACTATTCTATATGTATACTGGGCTTGAATAATTAAGTAAATGGATGGCAGAAAGTGTGAGCCAGGTTTCTCATTGTGAGTGGGATTTTACAGATAAGTAAGGAGAGGAGGCTAGAAGAATCCATGTGGTAATGGATTAGAGTTGCAGATATCAATAGGAACTAATGTTTAGCTTAATATAGACACAGATAATTGCATACAGAAATGTTTACAATATTTATCTGTCCGTGGGTTAGTATACAGAAAGCTACTTCTGTGGTCTGTCAACTGAGAAGACTTAGAAACAACACCACCCCCATAGCAAGGAGCAAACCTAGTGCCCAGTCCATGGTTTCTCATGCATTTTATAATAAAAGACACAAGACTCCTTCAAGAACTGGCCTTTTCCTCCCTAGGACTGGGACAGGAAATACACAAGATGAGCCTTGAGAATCTTGCAGTATCAGAAAGTCAGGACACACTCCAAAATGAAATGAAGCAAAAGAACAAAGACAAACATTCCAGTCAAACCACGATGAGGAGAGTACGACAAAGGGACACAGGAGCAAACTGCACAATCTCCCAAATGGCCAAAACTGGGATAATCTCAGCAACAAAATAAAGTAGTATTGGAAGACAACCCAAAATATCAATATCCCTGAGTCCATACTAACATAAAAAAATGACTGAATACAGAAATAGGTGAGGGAGAAGAACTCTCCCATGCAGAAGCATTCCCAGTAACTTATGTAGATACTCTGTCTTCAAGGAGCGTAACTCCCCATTCCTAAGTGTGTTAGGTACAGCAACTTCTTCGGGACGAGTGCAGTACGCAGGGGAGATGGGGGAAGGTAACTTTATCATAGAGTCACCTGACAAACACCACTACCCAGCCAGGTAATCAAAGTTGACATCAACAATGATAAATGACACTGACAGCATGACTCCTTGATACGATCTCAGGAAAATGACAGCTTACCTATGTGGTTTTTCTCCTCACACACTGTAACTCCAGTCAAATCATGAGAAAAGCATAAAACATTCCAAAAGAGGAACATTCTACAAAATAGTTAATCAGTACTCCTTAACACTGTCTAGGCCATCTAAAACTAAGGACCTGTCACAGCCAAGAGGGGCCAAAGGAGCTAGGAATGCAGTATCCAAGGCAGGATCCTGGAATGGAAGAAGGGCAGTAGGTAAAAACTAAGAAAACTTCAAGATCATAGGACTTTAGTTAATATTAAGGTACCAACAATGGTTCATGAATCATAACACATGTACCGTACTAATGTAAGATGTCAAGTGTAAATGTCATCATAATAAGAATCAATGGTATAATTTGGGAAAATAGGTGTGCAGTATCAGAGAACCCTACTGATTTTTCAATTTTTCTGTAAATCCGAAACTATTCTAAAAACAAAGGCTATTAAAAACGAACAATAGCTATCATATTAATATCCTAGAAAAACACATAATCTATATCCAGTCAGAAAAAATATTTAATACAATTTAACACCTATTCATGATAAAAGCTCTCAGCAACCTAAGAACAGAAGGTAACATCCTCAATCTGACAACTGTATCTGCAAAAAACCCACAGTTAACATCATACCTAACTGTGCAAAAAAAGCAAGATGAGGAAATAGAAGACAATTGTTTTAGAAAAGAAGAAACAAACTCTCCCTATTTGCAGACAACATAATTGTCTATGGGAAAATACCCAGGAAATAATAGAAAAGTCTTAGAACTAATAAGTGAGTTTAGCAAAGTCACTAGATACAAGGTTACTAAATAAAAATCAATCACCTTTCTATATACCACTGATAATGGCTCCAACCAAATAAAATACTTAGATGTAAATCTAACAATTTGTATATAGGCTCTGTTTGTTGGAAATTACAAAATGCTGAAAAAGTAATCACAAGAATGTCTGAATAACTGAGGAGACATATCATGTTCATGGAAATCTCAATATCATAAAATTTGAATTCTAACAAACTGACCTATAGGTTTATTATCATTCCAATTAAAAAACCCTAGAAGAATTTATTGCAGATAGACATGTTGACTCTAAAATTTAGATGAAAGGGCAAAGGATTGAGACTAGCCAACATATTTTACAAGAGACAAAAAAGGTTAGAGAAATCACACTGACAGGTTTCAAGACTTACTATACATAATAATAATTATGTATTTGCAAAGGGATAAATACCCAGCTTGTTGGAGTATTGATGGAGTTACTGGATGGAGTTAACAGAATAGAAGAGAGATTTCCAAAATAGACCTACTGAAGCACGACCAAATGTTTATTGACAAAGGTGCAAAGGGATTTCAATGAAGAAAGCATATTATTTTCAAAAAGAGGTGCTGGAAAATTGGATATCCATAGGCAAATAGTGAAACGTGATGTAAATCTCATGACTTACTTAAACAAATTAACTCAAAATATATCATAGATTTAAATGTAAAACATTAAACTAAAAAAAAAAAGAAACTATATGACAAATCTTCATGACCTGGGGTTAGGCAAACAGTTGTTAGATATGTCCTTCAAATCATGATAAAAAAAAGAGAGAGATAAATTGAACTTCATTAAAAAGGGAAAAAAAACTTGTTTGTGAAAAAGTTTGGTCTATGAAAGTCAGGTGTTTTTTTTTGTTTGTTTTTTTTTTTTTTTTTGAGACAGAGTCTCGCTCTGTCCCCTAGGCTGGAGCAAAGTGGTGCGATCTCGGCTCACTGCAAGCTCTGCCTCCCGGGTTCACGCCATTCTCCTGCTTCAGCCTCCTGAGTAGCTGGGACTACAGGCGCCTGCCACCACGCCTGGCTAATTTTTTTTGTATTTTTTTAGTAGAGACAGGGTTTCACTGTGTCAGCCAGGATGCAGTCGATCTCCTGACCTCATGATCCGCCCCCTTGGCCTCCCAAAGTGCTGGGATTACAGGCATGAGCTTCCGCACCCGGCTGAAAGTCAGTGTTAAGAGAATAAAAGACTAGCTACTACTAGCTAGGAGAAAATATTTGGAAATAAGAAATCCAACAAGAGTCCTATCCTATCCAGAATATATAAAGATTTTTCCAAACTCAACAGTTCCAAACTGAAACTCAACAAACCACCTAACTTAAAAAAAAGGCAAAAGACTTGAATTGACACTTCCCCAAAGAGGATATAAGGAGGGGTCAATAACCACAAAAGAAGATGTTCAACATAACTGGCCATCGGGGAAACGCAAATGAAAACAATGAGATATCATTACATATCTATTAGAATGGCCAAAATAAAAAACAGATCAATGGAGATATACCCACACGGTAGCGTACACTCAGCAAGAAAAATGAATAAGCTGTAGATACATGCAACAACTTGGATGAATCTCAAAGGCATTAACCTGAGTGAAAAAAGCCAGGCTCCAAAGGTTAAATACTGTCTGATTCCATTTATAAGACATTCTCAAAAACACAAAGCCACGGTGTTGGAGAACACGTCGCAGTTGCTGAGAGCTGGAATGGGGGTGGGGAGAGGCCGTGGCTGCCAGGGGGCGGCGTGGGGGTGTCCAGGTGGTGGAACTCCTCTGCACCCTGATTTTGGGGGTGGTTACAGAAACACACACACGCGTTAACATTCACGGGACTGTATACCCCACAAAAAGCCAATTTCACTACATGTTAATTTAAAAAATAAATTAACAAAAAGATGAGGGAAAACACATTTCCAAGTTACCTTCTCTTTAATCAAAGGGAGTTTTCTCCCCAAAGTTCAAGACACTAGGGACCAGTATTTCCTATTTAAAAGGGAATCTAGGTCACATTTTCTGCAAAATCTTTCCCTCTACGAGGCCCCACCACCTGCCATGCTCTCACAGAAGGCTGTCACCACGGAGGGCTCCTCCACCAGACTCACGGAGGACCAGGCACCTACCTCCCGGGGCTCTATCCCAACACTCAGCACTGTGGATGACCTAGAGTAGACATACAGTAAGCGCCTACTGGGTGAAGCAAGGTGGGTGGTGTCAGCATGGAGCCTGGGGACCATCCTTTCCTGGGAGGCTGGAAGACAGTGAAGGGCAGCATCTTCTGTAAACACAACCAGGGCCTACAGATCCCCACCCGGCATCTACTTCAACCTGGCCAAGAGGAACCTGATAAACCTTGCGCACACGGCTGGCGATGTGGCGGGCCAGGAGCTCCTGTGGTCTGTGGTCCCTGTGGAGGCGCACACTGAGAGTGAGCGGGAGGAGGTGCCTGCAGCCCCACTGGCTGGCTCTCCGTGGCACGCAGGAAAGCCATAGGGCCTGTGTGGCCCAGGCCTCTGCAGGCAGCCTTTGCCAGGCCTGTGAGGGCTCAGGCTCAGGTCAGGCATGGGGTTCACAGCAGGGGGAAGGTGCTGCTAGCTGCTTTAGTATGGTCCCTGGAGGAGGTGCGCCCAGCTTCACGGTGCTTGGCCAGCCAGTGGGTGACCTGCAGAAGGAACAGCCCCTGACATCTGGCTTGTGGCTTGCTCACTCCGAAGGCAGGGACACGATGTCACACACTTTCCATGGGACTGGGCTACCAGGTTAGTTTGGACGTGCTCTGTATGCCATGGAGCTCATAGCCAGCTTGTGCACAGCTGCCCAGGCATGGAGGTGGCCTGGCGCACACCCACAGCAGCCCCGTCCAATGCCTTGTGTAGAGACTCAGCAGTGGGGTTCTCTGGGCTTGCCAGGAGCCAGACTGAGTCCCAGCGCTCACTGACCCCTAAGCAAGACTCCCCTGGGCCTGGACAACCTGGCCTCTAGAAGGACAGGACACCACCACTGCCTGGTTTTTGGAATGTCTTTGGGGCAAGCTTTCAAACACGTACTTGAGGCTGAACAAGCACAGGCTTTCCTCCTACCCAGCCAGATGCTGTTTTATTCATCATGGAAGCAGAGGCTGTCCTCCTCTGTCCTCACCAGGTCATCCCATCCCAGCCAGGCATGGCCAGCATGAGCGCTGCGGGGCCTCCACAAATAAAAACAAATACACTGAGGATGGCCCTCCAAAGCTCCAGAGTCAAGCCCAACTGGCCTGGCTGCTTCCGCCATTAGGATGACCATCTGTAGCCAGTCTGGACACAATCTCTTCTTTCCATACGCCTTACACACTATTATATATACGCATATGACACAGCGGCTATGGAATACAATGTGGTTTAAGTGAAAACAATGGCATTTGTTTCAGCATGTCAGCTGTGACCTCTATGACCCCACAGGGAAGAAGGAAGCAGCTAACATGGAAGAAGACAGTCTCCCCAAAGGTCCAGGAGTGCACCCAACCAACACACTACGTGAATTAAATGCACGCACTTGCACTTGAGGGTGCCAGACTGGGGCATGGAGGGAATGAGTGTGCGGACAATGGGCAGGGACAGACTGAGTTGGTGAAACACAGACACCTCTGTCAGAACTGTGGGCCGGTGAGGCCACGATGCCACCAACCAACGCACTGATGCACCTCTGTCCACTGACAGCTGCTGCACCCAACAGGGTCGGCCAACGGAGGGCCACAGAGGACATCTCTGTCTCCTGAAAACGGATGCGTGACAGCACCTGTGGATGAACAAAGCCCCAACTCAACGTGGGTTTCCAACAAGCTATGAGATATGCTGCAAAAAATGGTGGCGTTCGCCGGCAAGCACCAGTGGAACCCTCCTGAGTGAGGTGATGGCGAACGAGGTGCCAGAGTGGAAGTGACAGGTGGGCCTGGGTCTTGGATGGGTAGCAGTTTGCTGGGTAGAGATAAAGCGGGTATTCCAGATAGATCAGTAACGACCCGCCCCGCTCCACCCAACAGCCCACCATATACCACCCACATAGCGGCCAAGGGGAAATTAGGGAAGACAGTGATTAGGTGGTAGGATTTCAGAGGCTCTTGAATCCAGGCATGGCTCCGTTTTTTTATCGTTTACCACCTCTTTGAAGGCTAAGCATCAAGTTGCCATCTTCCGGCCCTGATGACCTGGCTCTGAGCATGGGCAGCTGCGGTGGTGGGGCAGTGCTGAATGCCCCGGCCCTGAAGACCTGGCTCTGAGCATGGGCCACTGCAGTCGTGCGGCACTGCTGAACGCCCCGGCCCTGAGAACCTGGCTCTGAGCATGGGCCGTTGCAGTTGTGAGGCACTGCTGAATGCCCCGGCCCTGATGACCTGGCTCTGAGCATGGGCTGCTATGGTAGTGGGGCACTGCTGAACGCCCCAGCCCTGAGGACCTGGCTCTGAGCATGGGCCGCTGCAGCCGTGGGGCACTGCTGAATGCCCCGGCCCTGATGACCTGGCTCTGAGCATGGGCTGCTGTGGTAGTGGGGCACTGCTGAACGCCCCAGCCCTGAGGACCTGGCTCTGAGCATGGGCCGCTGCAGCCGTGGGGCACTGCTGAATGCCCTGGCCCTGATGACCTGGCTCTGAGCATGGGCTGCTATGGTAGTGGGGCACTGCTGAATGCCCCGGCCCTGAGGACCTGGCTCTGAGCATGGGCTGCTGCGGTCCTGGGGCACTGCTGAACGCCCCGGGTCGCGCACCGAGGTGGGACTCCATCCCAGTGCTCCTTCCAGCCCTACGCATGGTGTGAAGTCATTTTCCTGCGGATGGTAGAGTTACTGGAGATCATAGGCTAAGGGTGAATTCATGACCTCTGGCCCAATAACTTTTAAGAAAAAAGGGAGTTTCTGGCTCCTCCCACACAAGGACCTGCCCCACCCAGTAGGCACATGACCTCCCCAGACAGAACACTGAGAGCAAGTCCTGACACAGAGGTGCAGCTCAGCGCTCGAGCCAACGATGGGAGGATGCCACACTGGGCAGGTGCCTGGCCATCAGTCCCTTAAGTCCTGCTCTAGCATTTTGGGAGCCAATTTCTACTTCCCCAATCATTATCCTTCCCCCAAAGTCTCCCCAGAGCCCCTCAGTGAGCCCTGACAACCACTTTGCAAAGCTGGCGTTGCAACTCCCATTTAGAAAGGAGCACTAGGCTCAGAGCCACGGCCTGACCTGGCTGATGGGGGCTCCGAGCCTCACTGATGCTCTCTCAGGCCTGGACGGTGGGCCCAGGCACCCAAATGCTGACACAGGCTTTGGGTCATCTCTGTCTGGAGCCAGCCCAGCTTCTGCAGCTCTGCTCTGGATGAGTCT
The DNA here is from genome assembly GCF_000001405.40 of Homo sapiens. NCBI lineage: Eukaryota > Metazoa > Chordata > Mammalia > Primates > Hominidae > Homo > Homo sapiens. Next base: position 129,741,774 of record NC_000010.11, on the reverse strand, counting down.
CAACCGACTCAGGGCCCAGGCACTGGCCACCTCTGGGAAACGGGATGCATGAGAAAGCTGAGTGGTGGAAAGCAGCCTTGGTGGTGTGAGTGTGATGGTGACCCCACTCGAAATATCAGTCCCTCCTCGAACACAGTGGTAATGGTAAGCTGGGAAGAAAACCGCCTCCCTCTCCCCAAAATGGAGACACTGATGTCTACACCTCAGAGACTCTCGTATAAACATCAAGGCCGACCACACAGCACTCACCACCTCCACCATGGGTCAGGTTCTTGGTGCGAGGGCCACATGCAGTCCTGGCGAACCTCCCAGCCTCCTTTCCCATGCAGGGGAGCCCTCAGGGATGGGCTGCACGCCTCGCACCACACGCGTGGCCACTCAACTGCAGGTTCAGCTTGCTGGCAAGGCCAACAGCAGCCTCCCGGGTGTTGCCGTTCAATGTAACCTTTTAGGGAGAGTTAACATTTTTCAAAAATACAGGGCTTCTTCAGATGGGACCTACTGGGCCAACTGATAAGGCTTCAGCTCAAGTAGACACGGCCTGTTATTTTGTGGACTCAACTCACCTGGGTCCAAAACTATTTCTGCTGTGACCAGGGCTGGGGAGGCTGACTTTCAGACCACTTTTCAAAAGTCAAATCTGTTCTTGGGGAAGAAAGTTTGCCAAAACAGAGCATTCCAGAGTGCCCGCCATGGTCCTTGGTACCCAGTGGCCAGCCAATAAGCGTGGAAAGCTGTACGTGGTGCAAGGGCCAAAGGCATCCAACAGACGCTCCTCAGAAAATGCAAGTTTGAGCAACGTTAGGGAAACGGGTAGGGGCACTCATTTGAAGATGGTAACGTAGGTCTGGAAATTTTGGTAGCTGGGCTTAAAATGCAATTATCACAGTAAGTGCCAAGACTTACTGAGTGCTTACTAGGTACCAGGCTCGGTTCAGTGTGCTTTCTCCTGTTCAGTCCTCAAGGTCCCCCATCATCCACTCTGCAGGTGAGAAGTCTCCCAGGCCCAGACGGCAGCCTATCCAAGGTCGCCCTGGGGGCCTGCAGGTGGGGCCAGCGCTCTCCTGAAAGCCTCTCTGCAGGCATCCCATGCCTGCTGCTGTCCCTGAGAGCTCACCACAAAATGTCCACAGCTGAGCTACTTCCTAGAACGCTGTCCTGTCGCCCCTCCGTTTCCTCCTGGTAAAATGAGGTTCCCACAACAGTAAGTGCCATCTGAGGGTAAATGAGCTCACCTGTGTGAAAGGTGCTTTGTATGTGGAAAGGACAGTGCAGATTTTAAGGACTGATTTTCTATCCCTTGACTCTCCCGTCCCCCTTCGTAAGGCATTCTTAACTACATGGTAGTTGGTAAGAGGACATGAGTCCTTAGAAGACCTTCTTGCTCTCCCTGGTTTCCTGGGGGCCTCTTCCCATCTCCTGTAGTGCTACCCCCAGATGGCCTCTCTCAGGCTTTAAAAACACCGGACCTCAGCAGCTGTGGCTCCACAGGCCCAGGCACCCAGGGCCCATGTGATATACTCCAGGCAGGGCAAGGGGGCTGATGGCATCCTGGGGTCAATGAGAGCCCACTTGGAGCACCTGATGCATGTTAGCCTCAGAAACAAGCACCCTTTCCCGGACCCCGACTTCTAACTCCACACTCAAGCTCTTTGCTCCCTGCAGACTGATTCTTGGCTCTGCTAACGAGAAAATACACAACGTTTTAAACATCTTTAGATTTCCCTTTAATGACTGTTGATTAAAACAGGCCAGGTGGAAGGAAGTGCCTCTGAGGCAGAGCCCATCCTGGGCCCCCAGTGGCCACACGACCTTACATTTCCAACCTGTCCACTGTGGGGACAGGATGTAGGGCCTCTGACCTGGATCTGATCTGACCAAGGTGTAGGGCAGGGGTGTCTAATCTTTTGGCTTCCCTGAGCCATACTGGAAGAATTGTCTTAGGCCACATATAAAATAACTAACACTAATGATAGCTGAGGAGTTAAAAAAAATCATAAAAAAACTCATAATGTGTTAAGAAAGTTTATGAATTTATGTTGGGCCACATTCAAAGCTATCCTGGGCTGCAGGTGGCTCGCAGGCTGAGGATTGGACAAGCTTGGTATAGGGGTTCTGACCTGGTTCTGATCTGACTGTGGTGTAGGGGAGTTCTGACCTGGTTCTGATCTGACCAGGGCGTAGGGGCTCTGACCTGGTTCTGATTTGGCTGATGCTCGTCCCAGTGTTAGAGGCAGGTCAACAGAGATGCACAAAGCAGACACTGATGGACAAGCACAGCACGTGCACCTCCTGCTGCACACCAAGAAGAGTGAACTCTGCTGTAATTTTTTCGAAAATAAAAAAGAGGAGATTTTGGGCTGAGACAATGGGGTTTTCTAAATATAGAATCATGTCATCTGCAAACAGAGACAACTGACTTCCTCTTTTCCTAATTGAATACCCTTTATTTCTTTCTCTTGCCTGATTGCCCTAGCCAGAACTTCCAGCAGTATGTTGAACAGGAGTGGTGAGAGACTGCATCCTTGTCTTGTGCCGATTTTCAAAGTGAATGTTTCCAGTTTTGCCCATTCAGTATGATATTGGCTGTGGGTTTGTCATAAATAGCTCTTATTATTTGAGATACGTTCCGTCAATACCTAGTTTACTGAGAGTTTTTAGCATGAAGCGCTGCTGAATTTTGTTGAAGGCCTTTTCTGCATCTATTGAGATAATCATATGGTTTTTGTCTTTGGTTCTGTTTACGTGATGGAACATGTTTATTGATTTGTGTATGTTGAACCAGCCTTGGATCCCAGGGATGAAGCCGACTTGATGGTGGTGGATAAACTTTTTGATGTGCTGCTGGATTCGGTTTGCCAGCATTTTATTGAAGATTTTCACATCAATGTTCATCAGGGATATTGGCCTAAAATTCTCTTTTTTTGTTGTGTCTCTGCCAGCCTTTGGTATTAGGATGATGCTGGCCTCATAAAATGAGTTAGTGAGGATTCCCTCTTTTTCTATTCATTGGAATAGTTTCAGAAGGAATGGTACCAGCTCTTCTTTGTACCTCTGGTAGAATTCAGCTGTGAATCATGCTACTATAAAGACACATGCACATGTATGTTTACTGCGGCACTATTCACAATAGCAAAGACTTGGAACCAACCCAAATGCCCATCAATGATGTGGATTAAGAAAATGTGGCACATGGGGAGGAGCCAAGATGGCCGAATAGGAACAGCTCTGGTCTACAGCTCCCAGTGTGAGCGACGCAGAAGATGGGTGATTTCTGCATTTCCATCTGAGGTACCGGATTCATCTCACTAGGGAGTGCCAGACAGTGGGCGCAGGTCAGTGGGTGCGTGCACCGTGCGCGAGCCAAAGCAGGGCGAGGCATTGCCTCACTCCGGAAGCGCAAGGGGTCAGGGAGTTCCCTTTCCTAGTCAAAGAAATTGGTGACAGACGGCACCTGGAAAATCGGGTCACTCCCACCTGAATACTGCCCTTTTCCGACGGGCTTAAAAAACGGCGCACCAGGAGATTATATCCCGCACCTGGCTTGGAGGGTCCTATGCCCACGGAGTCTCGCTGATTGCTAGCACAGCAGTCTGAGATCAAACTGCAAGGTGGCAGCGAGGCTTGGGGAGGGGCACCCGCCATTGCCCAGGCTTGCTTAGGTTAACAACGCAGCCGGGAAGCTCGAACTGGGTGGAGCCCACCACAGCTCAAGGAGGCCTGCCTGCCTCTGTAGGCTCCACCTCTGGGGGCAGGGCACAGACCAACAAAAAGACAGCAGTAACCTCTGCAGACTTAAATGTCCCTGTCTGACAGCTTTGAAGAGAGCAGTGGTTCTCCCAGCACGCAGCTACAGATCTGAGAACGGGCAGACTGCCTCCTCAAGTGGGTCCCTGACCCCTGACCCTCAAGCAGCCTAACTGGGAGGCACCCCCCAGCAGGGCCAGACTGACACCTCACACGGCCGGGTACTCCAACAGACCTGCAGCTGAGGGTCCTGTATGTTAGAAGGAAAACTAACAAACAGAAAGGACATCCACACCAAAAACCCATCTGTACATCACCATCATCAAAGACCAAAGGTAGATAAAACCACAAAGATGGGGAAAAAACAGAGCAGAAAAACTGGAAACTCTAAAAAGCAGAGCGCCTCTCCTCCTCCAAAGGAACGCAGTTCCTCACCAGCAACGGAACAAAGCTGGATGGAGAATGACTTTGACGAGTTGAGAGAAGAAGGCTTCAGACGATCAAATTACTCCGAGCTACGGGAGGACATTCAAACCAAAGGCAAAGAAGTTGAAAACTTTGAAAAAAATTTAGAAGAATGTATAACTAGAGTAACCAATACAGAGAAGTGCTTAAAGGAGCTGATGGAGCTGAAAACCAAGGCTCGAGAACTACGTGAAGAATGCAGAAGCCTCAGGAGCCGATGCAATCAACTGGAAGAAAGGGTATCAGCGATGGAAGATGAAATGAATGAAATGAAGCGAGAAGTTTAGAGAAAAAAGAATAAAAAGAAACGCGCACAGCCTCCAAGAAATATGGGACTATGTGAAAATACCAAATCTATGTCTGATTGGTGTACCTGAAAGTGACAGGGAGAATGGAACCAAGTTGGAAAACACTCTGCAGGATATTATCCAGGAGAACTTCCCCAATCTAGCAAGGCAGGCCAACATTCAGATTCAGGAAATACAGAGAATGCCACAAAGATACTCCTCGAGAAGAGCAACTCCAAGACACATAATTGTCAGATTCACCAAAGTTGAAATGAAGGAAAAATGTTAAGGGCAGCCAGAGAGAAAGGTCGGGTTACCCTCAAAGGGAAGCCCATCAGACTAACAGCAGATCTCTTGGCAGAAACTCTACAAGCCAGAAGAGAATGGGGGCCAATATTCAACATTCTTAAAGAAAAGAATTTTCAACCCAGAATTTCATATCCAGCCAAACTAAGCTTCTTAAGTGAAGGAGAAATAAAATACTTTACAGACAAGCAAATGCTGAGAGATTTTGTCACCACCAGGCCTGCCCTAAAAGAGCTCCTGAAGGAAGCACTAAACATGGAAAGGAACAACCGGTACCAGCCGCTGCAAAATCATGCCAAAATGTAGACCATCAAGACTAGGAAAAAACTGCATCAACTAACGAGCAAAATAACCAGCTAACATCATAATGACAGGATCAAATTCACACATAACAATATTAACTTTAAATGTAAATGGACTAAATGCTCCAATTAAAAGACACAGACTGGCAAATTGGATAAAGAGTCAAGACCCATCAGTGTGCTGTATTCAGGAAACCCATCTCACGGGCAGAGACACACACAGGCTCAAAATAAAAGGATGGAGGAAGATCTACCAAGCAAATGGAAAACAAAAAAAGGCAGGGGTTGCAATCCTAGTCTCTGATAAAACACACTTTAAACCAACAAAGATCAAAAGAGACAAAGAAGGCCATTACTTAATGGTAAAGGGATCAATTCAACAAGAAGAGCTAACTATCCTAAATATATATGCACCCAATACAGGAGCACCCAGATTCGTAAAGCAAGTCCTGAGTGACCTACAAAGAGACTTAGACTCCCACACATTAATAATGGGAGACTTTAACACCCCACTGTCAACATTAGACAGATCAACGAGACAGAAAGTCAACAAGGATACCCAGGAATTGAACTCAGCTCTGCACCAAGAGGACCTAATAGACATCTACAGAACTCTCCACCCCAAATCAACAGAATATACATTTTTTTCAGCACCACACCACACCTATTCCAAAATTGACCACATACTTGGAAGTAAAGCTCTCCTCAGCAAATGTAAAAGAACAGAAATTATAACAAACTATCTCTCAGACCACAGTGCAATCAAACTAGAACTCAGGATTAAGAATCTCACTCAAAACCGCTCAACTACATGGAAACTGAACAACCTGCTCCTGAATGACTACTGGGTACATAATGAAATGAAGGCAGAAATAAAGATGTTCTTTGAAACCAACGAGAACAAAGACACAACATACCAGAATCTCTGGGACGCATTCAAAGCAGTGTGTAGAGGGAAATTTATAGCACTAAATGCCCACAAGAGAAAGCAGGAAAGATCCAAAATTGACACCCTAACATCACAATTAAAAGAACTAGAAAAGCAAGAGCAAACACATTCAAAAGCTAGCAGAAGGCAAGAAATAACTAAAATCAGAGCAGAACTGAAGGAAATAGAGACACAAAAAACCCTTCAAAAAATTAACGAATCCAGGAGTTGGCTTTTTGAAAGGATCAACAAAATTGATAGACCGCTAGCAAGACTAATAAAGAAAAAGAGAGAGAAGAATCAAATAGACGCAATAAAAAATGATAAAGGGGATATCATCACCAATCCCACAGAAATACAAACTACCATCAGAGAATACTACAAACACCTCTACACAAATAAACTAGAAAATCTAGAAGAAATGGATAAATTCCTTGACACATACACTCTCCCAAGACTAAACCAGGAAGAAGTTGAATCTCTGAATAGACCAATAACAGGAGCTGAAATTGTGGCAATAATCAATAGCTTATCAACAAAAAGAGTCCAGGACCAGATGGATTCACAGCCGAATTCTACCAGAGGTACAAGGAGGAACTGGTACCATTGCTTCTGAAACTATTCCAATCAATAGAAAAGGAGGGAATCCTCCCTAACTCATTTTATGAGGCCAGCATCATCCTGATACCAAAGCTGGGCAGAGACACAACCAAAAAAGAGAATTTTAGACCAATATCCTTAATTAACATTGATGCAAAAATCCTCAATAAAATACTGGCAAACCGAATCCAGCAGCACATCAAAAAGCTGATCCACCATGATCAAGTGGGCTTCATCCCTGGGATGCAAGGCTGGTTCAATATATGCAAATCAATAAATGTAATCCAGCATATAAACAGAACCAAAGACAAAAACTACATGATTATCTCAATAGATGCAGAAAAGGCCTTTGACAAAATTCAACAACCCTTCATGCTAAAAACTCTCAATAAATTAGGTATTGATGGGACGTATCTCAAAATAATAAGTGCTATCTATGACAAACCCACAGCCAATATCATACTGAATGGGCAAAAACTGGAAGCATTCCCTTTGAAAACTGGCACAAGACAGGGATACCCTCTCTCACCACTCCTATTCAACATAGTGTTGGAAGTTCTGGCCAGGGCAATCAGGCAGGAGAAGGAAATAAAGGGTATTCAATTAGGAAAAGAGGAAGTAAAATTGTCCCTGTTTGCAGATGACATGATTGTATATCCAGAAGACCCCACTGTCTCAGCCCAAAATCTCCTTAAGCTGAAAAGCAACTTCAGCAAAGTCTCAGGATACAAAATCAATGTACAAAAATCACAAGCATTCTTATACACCAATAACAGACAAACAGAGAGCCAAATCATGAGTGAACTCCCATTCACAATCACTTCAAAGAGAATAAAATACCTAGGAATCCAACTTACAAGGGATGTGAAGGACCTCTTCAAGGAGAACTACAAACCACTGCTCAATGAAATAAAAGAGGATACAAACAAATGGAAGAACATTCCATGCTCATGGGTAGGAAGAATCAATATCGTGAAAATGGCCATACTGCCCAAGGTAATTTACAGATTCAGTGCCATCCCCATCAAGCTACCAATGACTTTCTTCACAGAATTGGAAAAAACTACTTTAAAGTTCGTATGGAACCAAAAAAGAGCCCGCATCGCCAAGTCAATCCTAAGCCAAAAGAACAAAGCTGGAGGCATCACACTACCTGACTTCAAACTATACTACAAGGCTACAGTAACCAAAACAGCATGGTACTGGTACCAAAACAGAGATATAGACCAATGGAACAGAACAGAGTCCTCAGAAATAACGCCGCATATCTACAACTATCTGATCTTTGACAAACCTGACAAAAACAAGCAATGGGGAAAGTATTCCCTATTTAATAAATGGTGCTGGGAAAACTGGCTAGCCATATGTAGAAAGTTGAAACTGGATCCCTTCCTTACACCTTATACAAAAATCAATTCAAGATGGATTAAAGACTTAAACGTTAGACCTAAAACCATAAAAAACCTAGAAGAAAACCTAGGCATTACCATTCAGGACATAGGCATGGGCAAGGACTTCATGTCTAAGACACCAAAAGCAATGGCAACAAAAGACAAAATTGACAAATGGGATCTAATTAAACTAAAGAGCTTCTGCACAGCAAAAGAAACTACCATCAGAGTGAACAGGCAACCTACAAAATGGGAGAAAATTTTCGCAACCTACTCATCTGACAAAGGGCTAATATCCAGAATCTACAATGAACTCAAACAAATTTACAAGAAAAAAACAAACAACCCCATCAAAAAAGTGGGCGAAGGACATGAACAGACACTTCTCAAAAGTAGACATTTATGCAGCCAAAAAACACATGAAAAAATGCTCACCATCACTGGCCATCAGAGAAATGCAAATCCAAACCACAATGAGATACCGTCTCACACCAGTTAGAATGGCAATCATTAAAAAGTCAGGAAACAACAGGTGCTGGAGAGGATGTGGAGAAATAGGAACACTTTTACACTGTTGGTGGGACTGTAAACTAGTTCAACCATTGTGGAAGTCAGTGTGGCGATTCCTCAGGGATCTAGAACTAGAAATACCATTTGACCCAGCCATCCCATTACTGGGTATATACCCAAAGGACTATAAATCATGCTGCTATAAAGACACGTGCACACGTATGTTTATTGCGGCATTATTTACAATAGCAAAGACTTGGAACCAACCCAAATGTCCAACAATGATAGACTGGATTAAGAAAATGTGGCACATATACACCATGGAATACTATGCAGCCATAAAAAATGATGAGTTCATGTCCTTTGTAGGGACATGGATGAAATTGGAAATCATCATTCTCAGTAAACTATCGCAAGAACAAAAAACCAAACACTGCATATTCTCACTCATAGGTGGGAACTGAACAATGAGAACACATGGACACAGGAAGGCGAACATCACATTCTGGGGACTGTTGTGGGGTGGGGGGACGGGGGAGGGATAGCATTGGGAGATATACCTAATGCTAGATGACGAGTTAGTGGGTGCAGTGCACAAGCATGGCACATGTATACATATGTAACTAACCTGCACATTATGCACATGCACCCTAAAACTTAAAGTATAATAATAATAAATTAAAAAAAATGCCAAAAAAAAAGAAAATGTGGCATGTGTACACTATGGAATACCATGCAGCCATAAAAAAGGATGAGTTCATGTCCTTTGCAGGGACATGGATGAAGTTGGAAACCATCATTCTAAGCAAACTATCACAAGGACAGAAAACCAAACACCGCATGTTCTCACTCACAGGTGGGAACTGAACAATGAGAACACATGGACACAGGGCAGGGAACATCACACACTGGGGCCTGTCGGGGGGTGGGGGGTTGGGGGAGGGATAGCATTAGGAGAAATACCTAATATAAATGACGAATAGATGGGTGCAGCACACCAACATAGCACATGTATACCTACGTAACAAACCTGCACATTGTGTACATGTACCCTAGAACTTAAAGTATAATAAAAAAAATTTAAAAAAGGAGGAGCCCACAACATATCAGGCAATGTGAGTAATATTTTAGAGTAAAAGAAATGGACTTTTTAGAACAGAGATTCTCAAAATGTGGTCTAGGGATCATCAGGGGTCACTGAGACCCCTTTAGGGGGTTTGTGAGGTCAAAATCATTTCCATAGCAATACTAGGATGTTATTTGCCTTTTAGATTCTCATTCTCTTACAGGTGACAAAAGAGTTTTCTGGGGGCTACGTGATGTGACAACACAACGGATTAAACGCAGAGGCAGATCTGAGAACCCAGCTGTCTTCCACTGAGGCAGGCATCAAGGCATTCCATTCTGCAAAAATGGACAACAGTGCCACTCTCCTCAAGTGTCTGTCTTGGAAAACTCATTTCCAGAAGCATATTACCTATGATATCCTGCCATAGGTTTACTGTTGTTATTTTTAAATAAGTTAATACATTTAAAAAGTCTCAGGGCAGGGCGTGGTGGCTCAGGCCTGTAATCCCAGCACTTTGGGAGGCCGAGGCAGGTGGATCACAAGATCAGGAGTTCAAGACCAGCCTGGCCAAAATGGTGAAACCGCAACTCTACTAAAAACACTAAAATCAGCCGGGTGTGGTGGCGGGTGCCTGTAATCCCAGCTGTACTGCTTGAGGAGGCAGCCGGCATATGCAGGGTGTATGAAGCTGAGGCAGAAGAATCTCTTGAACCCAGGAGGCAGATGTTGCAGTAAGCCGAGATCGTGTCACTGCACTCAAGCTTGGGCAACAGAGCGAGACTCCGTCGCAAAAAAAAAAAAAAAAAAAAAAAAGTCTTAGGTTTAATTTCCAATATGGCAAATGTGCACAATATAGCCCTTATCATCAAAAGCTCTTTGGGGTCGTCAATCATCTTAAAGAGGGGTCCAGAGGAATCGAGGGTCTGAAGGGTTAATTTAAGCCCACTCTGAGCCCGACCGGGCCTGGCAGGGCTCTGTGTCACACATAGGAATGCCCCGGTAGGCTCCATCTAGTCCTGGGCACGCCAGAACACGACCTCAGAGCTCACCTGGAGGCCAGATTATGCTACCAGCCCTCGGAAATGGACCTTCCTCCTGGCTGAAGTGTGGGGCGCCTAGTGACAGTTTCACCTAGGAGGCTCGCTCCTGGAGGTGAGGCACCACATCCTTGAAGCTCCCCCAGAGGCGTATTTATACTCACTTTCCCAATACTTAGAGCCTCCTAAACTTATTTAACAAAAGAATTATGCCTAAGACTTTAAGCACAAACTTAAGGAAGCCTACAGAGAAATGATTAAACTGTGACTGTCCTGGTATGAATGTGAATAATTATACATTAACACCCTTTACCATTCAAATAATTGTCATTCAGCTCAAAGCTGAATAACTGACTTCTGAATAGGTGCTAATGGTTTCTGAACAATAGCAGAAATAGAATCATGCTGTGCAAAAAAAAATCAGAGGAGGGCAGGGCAAGCAGGACAGCAAGTGCTCAAGCACATGGACCTCAGCGCAGTCAAGGTATCCCTGAGGTTAATTATAGAAGGGAGGGAAATCAAGTCTGAGGAATTCTGCGAATTTCATTTGTCATCCTCATGCCTGCAAACCTCGCGTCTGCTCTGCTGTCTTTGGAGCACTGGCTTTCTCTGCCTTCCCTTAGAAACACGCCAGACCTTGCAGACACAGGATGCTCTGATTCCTCCCCAGCCTCCTCTGCAGTAGAATGAATACGCACGCTCGCCTCACACAATCCCAGACTCACAGGGCACAACCTTGTTATCGAACAACATGAAAGTAGAAAATCTGATTCCAGATGACACATTATCAATGCATGCAAAACAATAATGTCCCTCGTCTTGCCCAGAGTCATTAGGGCCAGCATCAGTTCACGTCTTCCATTTGTTGGTTTCACTGCAGTTGGTAGTGAGTTTCAGCTCCACGCCATTTCATGCTCAATGCGCCAATGGTTGCTAAAAACGCACTGACCTCCCCAAAGAACCTAAGTATGTAGGCTGCCCCTCTCAGCCAGTACAGGAACTCCTATTTGTTCATCAGAAACATCTAGAAGCTTCTTGCTGGTGTTCAGAAGGGAGGAGAAGTCGTGCTGGCTTTACCAGTAGACACTTCACGCTGCTTCTACAAGGCTAAAAATAAGCTGCTTCCCAAACTAGGGCAGTACCCCATCCACCCCACTGTCCACGCCCAGCAGACACCTCATATCAACACCGTCTGACTGTGTTTCAGGGAATGCTGACAAATCTAAGGGGGTGGGTGGGTCTGACTGCTCTCCACCCAGGTGGCTCCTTGAGCTGGTCTGAAGCAGCCCTGAGCTCTGTTCAATAATTTTCCATTGATCATCGTGCTGCTGCCGCCATTAGTTAACTTTTGAAGACCAACCCAACGGAAAGGAGCTGGGCCCTAAATTTCTTAATGAATTATTCTTTACCACGGGACACGGATTATGCCACGCGGCAGGCATATCATTACTGACAGAGCTGTCAGAAGGACGGGCAAAAGGAAACTGGCAAGCTTTAATTTCTCTGCAGAGAAATGAGAAGCTCTTTGGGGATTAATCTCAGTATCAACATTGAGCCCCTGCCTCGGGGCAGCTGAGGAATTCAAAAGGAGCTGTGCCTGGATTTTGAGTGATGGAATCCGGCTCCAACGGCACAGCTGACTTTGGTTGCTCACCTATTCAAATGAGGACGAGAGGCACGCAGGTGAGGCTGGCAGCTCGGCAGGACAGGGACACGCAGGTGCCGGCAGGGGAGTGGGACAGGGAGGCCAAGGTGCTTGCAAAGTCATTGAGGGCAGAGGGGCCAGGCTAGCAAGACATTGCGACCTGCTGCTCTCCTGGCTGGGACTGGGGTGCAAAGGTGCCTTCCCTGTGCAGTGGGTAACACCATCAGACACAGCCCGTGGGGCCCTTTCGTTTTTCACACGAGGCACGAAGTTTGTCCCCTGAAGAGTCCATGCTCATCCTGTTACAGAGGATGAGCTCAGAGGGTCTCCCTGTCCACTCAGGTCAAGAAGCTCTGCACCCTCCAACTCCTTGGGGTCCCTGGCACAGTCTGGTCCCCACCCCTCCCCACCCAGTGGCAGGGGCCCCATGCCAGGGCCATCTCCCTTCAATGCGGGGATTTCTAAGGTCACTAGAGAAAGAGCCTGATGTCTTCTGGAAATATGGATGTTCCAAGTTCAGGCTCACGTGACATGGGGAAAAGACCCAGTGTGGGCATGTTAAGATTTACCAATTAGTCCCTTTATTAATTTCTTATTCTTAATAAATATTCTGTGAGCAGCTACCTCGTGCTGACCTTTGTGATGCTGGTGACGCTGATGGCGATGGGAGGCGGGGGCATTGGGGCTGGCATTCAGCAGTTACCACAAGCAGACGAACCAATACCAGGGGGACAGAGAACAGGGGGTGGTGGGGCACACAACAGGGACCATGGTCAGGGAGGCTTCTGGGGAGGCAACGCTGGTGCTGAGACCTGCAGGCGGGCAGTGGCGGGAGGGCCTATGGCTGATGCAGGTGGAGTGTGGCTTGGCCAGGAGGAGGGGCATGGGCAAGAGCCAGGGAGCAGCACATGCCACACAGCGGGCCATGAGAGGGCTGGGTCTGACCCTGATAGCGTCAGGAGACCAAGCAGAATTTACAAGTGAGGATGGCATAATCAGGTCCTCTTCTGCGACCCCTGAACTCCCCCAAGGCAATCACCACCATTATGGACCCTGCGGGGTCCGCCCCCTTGGCCCCTTCCTCTGGTCACACCACATCAGCCATCACTGGCGTCACCCACTCCCTATGCTGCCTCACCTTCTTCAGCCTTTTTCTCACCCACTTGTATGGGTTCATCGCTCACGTCCATGCCACTGACCCTAATCCCTAACCTTCCCATCTCTGTCATTCTCAAGTGACTGCTGCAATTCCCAACTCTATGCCAAAATGAATCCCTTCTTCTTCTTTTCCCTGCCATCCACGGTCACAGCTGCTTCAGGTCCCCCTTGTCCCCTGGTG